>NC_000021.9:9848505-10169868 GCF_000001405.40 Homo sapiens
AGCCAAATTCATTGCCTTAACTCGAGCGTCACTCTTGCAAAGGGACTACACATCAATATTTAAACTGACTCTAAATATGCCTTCCATATCCTATGCCACCATACCATTATATGGGCAGAAAGAGGTTTCCTCACTGCGCAAGGGTCCTCCATCATTAATGCCTCTTTAATAAAAGCTCTTCTCAAGGCCACTTTACTTCCAAAGGAAGCTGGAGTCATTCACTGCAAAGGCCATCAAAAGGCATCAGATCCCATTGCTCAGGGCAATGCTTATGCTGATAAAATAGCTAAAGAAGCAGCTAGCATTCCAACTTCTGTCCCTCACGGCCAGTTTTTCTCCTTCTAATTGGTCACTCCCACCTACTCACCGACTGAAACTTCCACCTATCAATCTCTTCCCACACAAGGCAAATGGTTCTTTGACCAAGGAAAATATCTCCTTCCAGCCTCACAGGCCCATTCTATTCTGTCGTCATTGCATAACCTCTTCCATGTAGGTTACAAGCTGCTAGCCCACCTCTTAGAACCTCTCATTTCCTTTCCATTGTGGAAATCTATCCTCAAAAAATCACTTCTCAGTGTTCCATCTGCTATTCTACTACTCCTCAGGGATTATTCAGGCCCCCTCCCTTCCCTACACATCAAGCTCAGGGATTTGCCCCCACCCAGGACTGGCAAATTGACTTCACTCACATGCTCTGAGTCAGGAAACTAAAATACCTCTTGGTCTGGGTAGACACTTTCACTGGATGGGTAGAGGCCTTTCCCGCAGGGTCTGAGAAGGCCACCACGATGATTTCTTCCCTTCTGTCAGACACAATTCTTTGGTTTGGACTTCCCTCCTCTATACAGTCTGATAACGGACCAGCCTTTATTAGTCAAATCCCCCAAGCATTTTCTTAGGCTCTTGGTATTCAGTAAAACCTTTATACCCCTCACCATCCTGAATCTTCAGGAATGGTAGAACGGACTAATTGTCTTTTAAAAATACACCTCACCAAGCTCAGCCTCCAACTTAAAACAAAAAAGAGGACTCTGTCAAGGATAGAGCCCCAAAACTCACCAACCAAACAAGTAATTATGCTGAACCCCCTTGAGCACTCTCTAATTGGATGTCCTGGGTCCTCCCAATTCTTAGTCATTTAATACCTGTTTTTCTCCTTCACTTATTCACACCTTGTGTCTTCCGTTTAGTTTCTCAATTCATACAAAACCGCATCCAGGCCATTACCAATCATTCCATATGACAAATGCTCCTCTTAACAACCCCGCAATTCTTACCACAAAATCTTCCTTCAGCTTAATCTCTCCCACTCTAGGTTCCCATGCCTCCCCTAATCCCACTCGAAGCAGCCCTGAGAAACATCACCCATTATCTCTCCATAGCACCCCCCAAAATTTTCACCACCCCAACACTTCAACACTATTTTGTTTTATTTTTCTTATTAATATAAGAAGACAGGAATGTCAGGCCTCTGAGCCCAAGCTAAGCCATCGTATCTCCTGTGACCTGCACGTATACATCCAGATGGCCTGAAACAAGTGAAGAATCAAAAGAAGTGAAAATGGCTGGCTCCTGCCTTAACTGATGACATTACTTTGTGAAATTCCTTCTCCTGGCTCAGAAGCTCCCCCACTGAGCACCTTGTGACCCCCGCCCCTGCCTGCCAGAGAATAACCCCCTTTGACTGTAATTTTCCACTACCTACCCAAATCCTATAAAACGGCCCCACCCCATCTTCCTTCACTGACTCTCTTTTTGGATTCAGCCTGCCTGCACCCAGGTGAAATAAACAGTCTTGTTGCTCACAAAAAGCCTGTTTGGTGGTCTCTTCACACTGATGCACTGATGCATGACAATGCCATGCTATCAGTAAGCATGTCTCTGAGTCCTGGGCCCCAGGTCACCACAGGAGAATCCAATGGATCCTTACAGGTTGCTTAAAAGGGATAGTTTGTTGTAGTCCTGAAATAATAAAGTAATGTCCTATTCTCCACTTACCATGTAGTATTGCTTTTGTTAAATAATCCATTGGGGCTTGGGTAGTTTAGGTGGGTCCTTTAGGCAGGATATGCCCCACTGTTATGGCTTGAATTCTGAGTTGTCAAAGAGTATGTCCCCTTAGGCAATGGTGATTTTTGTGTTACAAGAAGTCGGGGGGTCAATGCCAATAATGCACTCACAAGTGAGAACCATGGTCACTAACATCCAATATGGACCAAAGCCACATCACAGGTAGATAAGCACTACTGGTCAATGCATTCATTCTAAAACCTTCCAGTGTCACCAGTTTTTCTCCCTAAGAGGACCTGGAAATATTATGTGGACTCATGTATCAAAAAAAAAAGTCTGAATTTCTTTCTTTTCTCCTCTTACCTTGACAGAAATATAAGGCCTTTGGCCTCCATTTGGGGACCCTGAGACCTTGGTCCCATTTCTGACTCTGCCATTCAGCCCAAGACATTGGATTTGCAATGTCCTTTCATCAAAGAAATATACCTGGCCTTTCTCTATATCTGTCCTTTAGATAATGAGTCTCCCTTTCTGTGAAGGCCTTTATCACATGTATTGATTCCTTCTCAGATGCCTCAAGGAAGATCTGAGGACCCCTTTCTTCTTTCTCTCTCAGGTGCCTTAGTGTCTGGTTGAGTACACACTTCCCTCACTCTCTGCCCCCATGAATGACAGGGTAATTAAATAAATATCCCCAACCAAGGAACCTATGCTCCTCTATTTCCTCTTTGCCTTTTGTTTGCCTTGATCCATGCAGCCATCTCATTCACATCTGTGGGAAGTGGCAGACCTACATCCCACTTATCACCCTTCCTTCTTCTGAAAATATTCAATCCCCATGCCCCCAGGCTGCCGTCTTTCCCCTGGGCTGGGTACTAGGAAGTATCACCCCTCCTGCTTCTCAAATAAGCTATGATTACATTAGATGGGGCCCTGCTTGCTGGACGCATTTTGTGGATTAGGTTTACTGTGTGCTGCTTACCAGCTTGTCTGAGTGCAGGAGACAGAATACACTCATATGCAACAAGTTACACAAAGCAGATTTGTGACTTACAGGTAGGCAGCTAGGGACAAAAGAATGCTAGGATCTATGATGAGCTGGTTCCTGAAGACTCGAGAAAGCTGTCTAGGGCACATTGAGTCTCAGCTGTGCATTCCCCACTTGCACCACAGCTGAGGGGCTCTTATTATTTTTTTTTTTTTTGAGGTGGAGCTTGGTTCTTGTTGCCCAGGCTGGAGTTCAATGGCATGGTCTCGGCTCACTGCAACCTCTGCCTCCTGGGTTCAAGCGATTCTCGTGCCTCAGCCTCCCAAGTAGCTGGGATTATAGGCGCCTGCCACCACTCTAAGTTTTTTATATTTTTAGTAGAGACGGGGTTTCACTATGTTGGCCAGGCTGATCTTGAATTCCTGACCTCAGGTGATCCACCCACCTTGGCCTCCTAAAGTGCTGGGATTACAAGGCATGAGCCACCACGCCCAGCCAGGACTCTTTAAGACAGCCTGTTCAGGGTTATATACCTCAGAGCCAATGTGAAACATTGATTTAAAGCTTTGAGGGGCATCGTGCTTCCAGAGGAAAGAGCAACAGGCCCAGGCTAGTCCAGTCAGCCCCTCCTTATCTCACCATGATGTATTCCCAGCATAATCTACAGTAATTATTAAGACCTACAAGGAAGAAAGGGAAGAGAACTGGGTCAATCCAAGGCCACATGGAGAACTGTCCTGCACTGGCCAATTGTTTTGGCTGTAGTTTCAATACCAACTTAATGTTTAGAGCTTTTGCATTGTGATTTCAGACTCTTTGATTAATATGGTGCTGCTGGGAATTCCACTGCTCCCTGTTAGTGCTGCCTATGGCAGTGGAAGCAGTTTCTCCAGGTTAGGCTACCAGGTGTCTGAGGTATGTGGTGAGGGGTGTGGTAGAATCCCCCAACCAATGTCCCCTGGCTACTCTGGGGTCATTGGGAAGAGCGTCTTAGGCCTGCAGGGACAAAGCAGCTTCTTAGGCCAGGCCACTTTCTCTACTAGGTCCCTCTTCCTGGTTCTATTTTTCCACCTTTGTGCTTCCTGGTAGCAAAGGAAGCCTCAAGCTGTACTGGGAAGGAGAGCACCTCTCTTAGCGTTTCTCCTAGCTGCTTCTCCTGGATGGTGGTGGGTGTCTCAAGCTAGCGGCTCCTGATTGACCCAAGGGAGGAAGGAGCTTACTTGAGGTATCTTCTGTTGCTAGATTGGGGGATTAGGAAAAATAAGTCTGAAGGCCTTCTTCTGTCCAGTGAGGATACACAAGATGCCTTGCTGTTGTGCTGTTTCACCATTCCTTGCATATCAAACTAACTCTTCTGTTTACCTCCATCTCTTAGAGCTTTTTCATGTTAGTCACATGTGTCATTTTCAAAATATATAGTTGTGCATAACAAAAAGAGGCGGGAAAAACATGGATCTGTGCCATATTTTCTGAATCCGAAGTTCCTTGCATACTTTATACTAAATAAGCTTTATCTGTGAGCTATATTACTAGTATTTTCTTTGCCTATAATTGTTTCAGGTGTCACATTTAAGAGTTTGCTTGATTATGATATTTAAATATTACAGAATGTATTTGCAGAATATATTTGCAGAATAACAATATTCTGCAAATAATGCCCTTGATATTCAAATTGAAAATCACTTTTCGTAATAGATCAAGGAAATTAGAACCTAATGATTTAATGGTGTACACAATTGCAGCATTAGTTTTTTATTCAAAGCAACATAAAATAAATGACAAATTGAAAGAAAAATAGGTCTTTATTTACTCTATTCAAATATTAAAATAAATAATAATATGTCTATTGAAATGTCATAATCAGGATATCATTTATTCCAATTAATTGATTAAATAAGTAATCAGTTAAATGTCATAGATTTTATTTTTATTTTTATTTTTATAGAGAGAAGATGCCATTCTGTCACCAGGCTGGAGTACAGTAGCTGGATCATAACTCACTATAACCTCAAAAAAGCCTCCCAAGTATCTGGGATTACAGGTGTGAGCCACAATGATAGGCTAATTAAATTTTTAAATTTTCTATAGAGATGAGGCTCTCCCTGTTACCCAGGCTTGTCTTGAACTCCTGGGCTCAAGGGATCCTCCCACCTCAGCCTCCCAAAGTGATAGGATTACAGGTATAAGCCATCATGCCTGGCCCTAGAATTTTTAAATTAATGGTGGTTGATACACATATTTACATTGTATTTTAGCCAGATTTACTGAGGTATAATTTACTTATGCAAAATTTACTAATTTATTTATTTATTTATTTATTTTTTGAGACGGAGTCTCGCTCTGTTGCTCAGGCTGGAGTGCAGCAGCGCAATCTCGGCTCACTGCAAGCTCCACCTCCTGGGTTCGCGCCATTCTCCTGCCTCAGCCTCCTGAGTAGCTGGGACTACAGGCGCCTGCCACCACACCCGGCTAATTTTTTTTGTATTTTGAGTAGAGACGGGGTTTCACCATGTTAACCAGGATGGTCTCAACCTCCTGACCTCGTGATCCACCCACCTCGGCCTCCCAAAGTGCTGGGATTACAGGCGTGAGTCCCTGCGCCCGGCCGAATATTTCCATTATAGCATATACTCGAATGCGTCTTAAAGTATTTATAAAGGTAATACTCATTGTATTTACTTATTTGACTTTTTAATTAGATTATAAAATCCAGTTACCTTTTAGTATGCTCAAAATTGTGTCAAATAATATTAATCCTTGAGTTAATTATACATTATAAATTATTGTCTCAATAAAATTTCATGTACACTTTCACTCTGTAAAGCTGGAATGCATGTGGAGTTGCTTCAATTTTTCTTTTTTGTTTGTTTTTTTGAGACAGAGTCTCGCTCTGTCGCCCAGGCTGGAGTGCAGTGGTGGGATCTCGGCTCACTGCAAGCTCCGCCTCCTGGGTTCACGCCATTCTCCTGCCTCAGCCTCCCGAGTAGCTGGGACTACAGGCGCCCGCCATCGTGCCCAGCTAATTTTTTGTATTTTTAGTAGAGACGGGGTTTCACCGTGGTCTCGATCTCCTGACCTCGTGATCCACCCGCCTCGGCCTCCCAAAGTGCTGGGATTACAGGTGTGAGCCACCATGCCCAGCCTCAATTTTTCAATTGTATTTTCACTTTTCTCTTTTTATGCCTACCTAAATTTGTTCCTATAATTGAATTTGTCATTTAGGAGTGAACATTTGTTTAAGAAAATGTAATCTTTTTCATCAGCATACTCAATATTTCAATTTTCCATTATAGATTATAAGAATAAATCTTTAGGTAATATAGGCAAACAAAATTTAATATATAGAATTAGTTTCTTACACGATTGGAGAGTTGGTGGAGCAGGTCTTGGGCTGATCTTCTAAATGATTGCTAGAACTCCTCCAGAAAAACGACAGAGCTGGGACTGTTGTTCCTTTTGCCATGACTGAGAAGCTGGAGAATCAGGATCTCCTGTGCAACCACTGGCACTAAAATTATGCTAACTTTGCTATTTGTTTTTTTCCCAGTTTCAAAGTTTATCTTATTAACTTAAAATTTAAACAAAATTGTTAGTCTAAACATCATTAAATGTACTCATGGGAAACATATTTACATAGAGAATAATAAAATAATTTTTTGTAACTTGAGGCACATTGTCCATTTTACAAATGTACTTTTAGAAAAACTGCTTTGAGAAACAATAATTTTTTCTGTCATCCTTCATAAAAGCTAGACAAACATTTCTCATGCAAATTTCTTTTTTTTTCTACTTTGATGTGGAAGCTGGGAAGCTCGAATGTTTGCATTTTAATTTAACAATACAAAGAAAAATTTCATCTGTTTCTCTCTACATTGTTGGCCTTAGACTTACTGTAGCAGCCTCCATTCATATCTCTTACAGGGGTACCTTATAGTTTCATATCAGGTCATTCCTGTTCCTCTTTCCTTTTGTGATGCACCTCTTCTTGCTAAAGATTTTGGTCACTATCTTTTGTTTTGTGTTTACTTATTTTAGCTTGTATATAAGTTCTGTTCTACACAACATTTCTGATTTACATGGCAGGAAATGTGTGAAACAGTTTGCCACCTTCCTGACTGATCTGGGCCTAAACTGTGCCCCTATACTGTGAATAAACAGTTGCATTCTCTAACACATATTTTATTTGATCCAAACAATACATTAGTCCAACTACCAAACATACATCTTAGATCCTCTGTAGCTATAACATTTTCAACAGTCATATTTATGGAATCCATCTCCCTCTGTTATGTTTTTACTGTTATCCAAATAGAGGAGATAGATATAAATGAACTCACACTGGTCAGCCAGGGACCACACAGTGGCTTAAAATATCTTAATCCAGGTATCTGCAGACTAACCCTAACCTAACAGTGAGTTGCTACCTTTGTTTTTTTTTTTCCTCTAAGCATTAAAATACTTCTGTCATAGCTGCTTGCTTCTTGATCATAGGATCTCAGCCATGGTTCATATTTGAATAACACAGAATGTCGGCCACAGAACTAAGGACTGGACATTTGGTCCTTTGTGACTGTTGTTACAGGAAAGTAAATGGTTTTGTTACATTGCTTGTCAGAAAAAAAGAATAGGAAGGCACCTTCTATCTCAGGCTCTTTTCCTTAAAGAAGGTAGGTTTAATGTAAAACCTGAATTGTGAGTAAGCCTGGGGATATCATTTTTAGCTGTTCCAAATTGAGCAAGTACTTAGTCAAACTACCAGAGTTTTGGAATATGCCTGAGTAAGCCAGTCTGAAATAGCCGATGGTCCAGCTTAAGACTATTCAATATCCATGCACCTGCCTTTTCTAAAGCTTAAACTTCAAAAGAGTAACAGTAACAAGTACATGATCCTGTCAAATATAATTCAAATATATGTTGCACAAATTAAAATGCAGTGGTCCTATCCAAAATAGGTATCCATGATATTCACTCCTCTTCAGCTTCAGTCTCAACTATGTCTTAATATCCTGAAATAAGATAACAAATTATGAAGTTATTCAAACCAGCCTACCCTAAAAATGATGGGAAAAATGGAAGATAATAAGACAAACAATTATATACATGACAATGCAGAAGAGAAGAAAACCCAAGAATGTATTACATACTTAATTTTATAACTGATCATGGAACTGTGGATGGTATTTGTACCATTCTTTTTATATTATTCATTCCACACTTCTCTATAGTATCCTAAATTATCCAAGTTTCCACAGCAAGAGCCCACCCTTCATGAACAGTGACCTTAGTTGTCTTGTCAAATTGGAGTTGTTTTAATCTTCCCTTAATGTTTACCACTTGACAGAAAATCCAAAAGGCATTTGAGGAGTCCAACTCCAGGCAGAAACCCTATGTGTAATCTTTCAGGCCTAACCATAGGCCATGACAATGGCTTTACCTGGCAGGCCTCACTAGAGAAAGATACTCTCCCTATACCAGAATTGGCAAACAGCCAGTGCATTACAATGTCTAATGGGAGCTGCAGTCTAGGACTCATTCCCCGCTAGCCAACCATCCTCCTGTGCATGTCTGCCATTCAAGTCTCAGGCACCCCCATCTGAGCTATCCTTATTAGGGACCCTCAATATAAAACCTTTGCAGAGAACTCCTTATGATAGGGAGAGAGGGATAAGGGAGAGGAGAAAGGGGAAACCTTGAAATCATTATTCTCTATTCTGAATCAGAACTCAGTATTTTCCCATTCTTAGCGCTTCCTCCTCTTTCTGTCCCAAGGACCCAGGTCCATAAGATGAAAGGAGCTTTTTGTTCATGGCTCCTTGGTCAAAAGATCCTTGCTGAGAAAATTCCCACATCTGCATTTGTGCTGATCTACATGACCTTGGCCTGGAGCTGTTTCATGGGACAAAATGGAACATTGGAGGAGCTAGCGATCTTTCCTCTTTAGTTTCTTGCTTAAACTATCTCAGTTAGTAAAGATTTGACTGTTACTGTCATTTTGGCTTATTGTTTTAATTAGCTATTTCAACTCCATGGCAGCTTAGCTCTTTACAGCATTCTGGAAAGTACATAGGATTCTAGACATTTTTACTGCTTTTGTTATATGAATTACATGTCTTCATAATAAGGAATTAAGGCTGGGAGTGGTCACTTGTAATCACAACACTTTGGGAGGCCAAGGCGGGTGGATCAACTGACTTCAGGAGTTTGAGACCAGCCTGGTCAACGTGGTGAGTGAAATCCCATCTCTACTAAAAACGCAAAAATTAGCCAGGCATGGTAAAGTGCGCCTGTAGTCCCAGCTACTCAGGAGGCTGAGGCGGGAGAATCACTTGAACCCGGGAGGCGAAGGTTGCAGTGAGCCGAGATGATAGTGCCATTTCACTCCAGCTTGGACGACAGAGCAAGACTCTGTCTCAATAACAATAATAAGAATAATAAGGATTTAATATCCAAACCATTCTTGTAACATATTTAATATTGCCATTCAGTGGTAAATAAAAATAATATACAATCATGCCCTGCCTAATAACAACATTTCGGTCAATGATGAACTACCTACAGAACAGTGGTCCCATAAGATTATAATGAGCCAAACAATTCATATATATATATATATATATATATATATATATATATATATATATATATGGAGAGAGGAGAGAGAGAAAGAGTTAACCATTAAACAGCCTCAGACAGGTCCTTGAGGAGGTATTCTATAAGGAAGCATTGTTATCTTAGAAGATGAAAGTTCCATGCATGTTATTGCCCTGGAAGACCTTACAGTGGGACAAGATATAAAGGCAGAAGACAGTAATATTGATAATCCTGACCCTGTGTAGGCCTCAGCTACTGTATGTGTTTGTGTCTTATTAAGAAAATGTTTTAAAAGTAAATAATATAAATTTAAAAACTTTATTTTTCTTTTTTTTATTTTATTATTATTATACTTTAAGTTTTAGGGTACATGTGCACAATGTGCAGGTTAGTTACATATGTATACATGTGCCATGCTGGTGTGCTGCACTCATTAACTCGTCATTTAACATTAGTTATATCTCCTAAAGCTATCCCTCCCCCCCTCACCCCACCCCACAACAGTCCCCAGAGTATGATGTTCCCCTTCCTGTGTCCGTGTGTTCTCACTGTTCAATTCCTACTTATGAGTGAGAATATGTGATGTTTGGTTTTTTGTTCTTGCGATAGTTTACTGAGAATGATGATTTCCAATTTCATCCATATCCCTACAAAAGACATGAATTCATCATTTTTTATGGCTGCATAGTATTCCATGGTGTATATGTGCCACATTTTCTTAATCCAGTCTGTCATTGTTGGACATTTGGGTTGGTTCCAAGTCTTTGCTATTGTGAATAGTGCCTCAATAAACATACGTGTGCGTGTGTCTTTATAGCAGCATGATTTATAATCCTTTGGGTATATACCCAGTAATGGGATGGCTGGGTCAAATGGTATTTCCAGTTCTAGATCCCTGAGGAATCGCCACACTGACTTCTACAATGGTTGAACTAGTTTACAGTCCCACCAACAGTGTAAAAGTGTTCCTATTTTTCCATATCCTCTCCAGCACCTGTTGTTTCCTGACTTTTTAATGATCGCCATTCTAACTGGTGTGAGATGGTCTCTCATTGTGGTTTTCATTTGCATTTCTCTGATGGCCAGTGATGATGAGCATTTTTTCATGTGTTTTTTGGCTGCATAAATGTCTTCTTTTGAGAAGTGTCTGTTCATGTCCTTTGCCCACTTTTTGATGCGGTTGTTTGTTTTTTTCTTGTCAATTTGTTTGAGTTCATTGTAGATTCTGGATATTAGCCCTTTGTCAGATGAGTAGGTTGCAAAAATTTTCTCCCATTTTGTAGGTTGCCTGTTCACTCTGATGGTAGTTTCTTTTGCTGGGCAGAAACTCTTGAGTTTAATTAGATCCCATTTGTCAATTTTGTCTTTTGTTGCCATTGCTTTTGGTGTTTTAGACATGAAGTCCTTGCCCATGCCTATGTCCTGAATGGTAATGCCTAGGTTTACTTCTAGGGTTTTTATGGTTTTAGGTCTAAGGTTTAAGTCTTTAATCCATCTTGAATTAATTGTTGTATAAGGTGTAAGGAAGGGATCCAGTTTCAGCTTTCTACATATGTCTAGCCAGTTTTCCCAGCACCATTTATTAAATAGAGAATCCTTTCCCCATTTCTTGTTTTTCTCAGGTTTGTCAAAGATCAGATAGTTGTAAATATGCAGCATTATTTCTGAGGGCTCTGTTCTGTTCCATTGTAGAAAAAAGCTTATATAATAAGGGCATAAAGAAAGAAAATATTTTTTGTACAGATGTTCAATGTGTTTGTGTTTTAAACTAAGCATTATTGCAAGAGTCAAAAAAATTATAAAGTAAAAAAGATACAGTAAGCTAAGGTTATTTTATTATTAGAGAAAAAATAGTTTTTAGAAATGTAATGTAGCCTAAGTGTACAGTGTTTATTAAGTCTACAGTAGTGTTCAGTAATGTCTAAAGACTTTGCTTTTTCTCACCACTCACTCACTGACTCATCCAGAGCAACTTCTAGGCCTGCAAGTGCCATTTATAGTAACCATCCTATACAGGTGTACAACTTTTTATTTTTTATACCATATCTTTTTATTGTATGTTTTCTATGTTTAGATATAAAGATGTTTATCATTGTGTTTCAGTTGGCTACATTATTTAATATAGTAACCTGACGTAAGGGCTTGTAGCCTAAAAGCAATAACTTCTACCTTATTGCCGAAGTGTGTAGTAGGCTACACCATCTAGGTTTGTAAAAGGACACTATGATGTTCACCTAGGGAACACATTTCTCAGAATGAATTCTCATCATTAATCAACTCAAGACTGTACTTATAAGTGAATCCTCTGTCATTACTATAGTTCAGGTCACCTTAAGTTTCTTCTTGGACTTGCCAATGAACTGTGGAATTAAGAAGCTCTCTGCCTACAGTCTTGTTTATCTATTGTAATCTGTTTCTTGTAGTCCCTATTTTAGATCTCATTAATGTCTTGTCACTTCCATTAGAATAAATTATAAACACTTTGGATGGCCTGAAGACATTTGTAATTTATCCTAAACTCATCTCTACTCTCATCGCTTGACATCTCCCTCTTCTACCCACACATATATATTTAAGCCCACGTAATTACTCCAATTACCCCAAATTCTGTACTTCTCACCAGTGTCTTGCAAAACCCACTCCAACTAACTAATAAGACTTTTCATTTAACTCTCCAGTTGTAGTTGATATTCTAGTTTCAAACTCTATTTTCTGTGTGAAGGCTGCACTGATATCACAATTTTGTTTCTTCAGTGTGAGCATTGGCAGCCTGTGGCCTATGGTTTTGGTACAGCCTGCAAGGTAATAATGGTTTTTAGAGATTTAAATGATTGAAACAATTTTTTAAAATAACATTTTGTAGCATATAATGATTGCATAAAGTAAAAACTGCAGTGTTTTCATAAATAACAAGGTTTTTTTTTTGGACACAAGATCATTCACTTACATGTGGTCTATAGATGTTTTCAGGCTATTATGTCAGAGTTGAGTGGTTGCAACAGAAACTGTATGATTGTCAAAGCCTAACATACTTAAAATCTGACGCTTTGTAGAAAAAGTTAACATTTGATCTAAAGTTTTCTGTAAAGATACATCTACATTATGTTTATCGTAATTTATATTTATTTATCTGCCTACTGGTTGCAGTTTTGAAAAACTATAATATTCCAGAAAATAGAAACTATAATATTTTTAATTAGACCTCAAGCAAAATTATTTTAAAATGTGGTCTCAATTTTTAAGAAAGTGGGGAAGAATGCTTTTTTTTCTTTTGTTAAACTTCTTTGCTTCCAGTCCAAGAAGTGACTGTCATTTATTTTTATCTTATTGCTTCCTTTCTCATATTAGCTTGATAAGAAGTAATGAAATAATATTCAGGTTTCTTAGTAGAGTCATGTTGTAAACATAGCTTTTTTTTCTAGCCACTCTCGAAAAATGGAAAGCCTCTGCTTTATGAGTCACCTAATTAATGACATTGAATTATCTAGTAAGTGGACTCTTCAGTTTAATTAAATATCTTCATTAACTTTTCACTGCTTTTAAAAATAACATTTACACATTTATGCAAATAGGTTCATCATGTGTCCTTAATCAGTTATTTAGCTTTGGTGCAGAGTTAATAATTCCAATATTTGTTCAAACTGAAGAAAATACAGGACTCAAAAAAGAAAGGATATTTTTATTCAGGTTTTGAGAAAATCACAAGTAAAACCCCCAACTTATTTATCAATAATTGTATGTTATATACATTTCCATATTTACAATTTTGATAAAATAGTTATAATTATTTATCTTTAATAATTTAAATATTAGTTATGTATTTATTGGCTCATATTATTTAAATTATATATATATTTATATAATTTGCAGTCTGACAATGCAATAGAAAAAAAAACAAAACATTTTCTGAGAAGAAATTCAAGCCAGCTGCAGAAATGTGCATAAGTAACAAGAAGCCAAATCCTAATCATGAAGACAATGGGAAAAATGTCTCTAGGCCATGTCCTAGGTCTTCACAGCAGCCCCTCCCATCACAGACCCAGAGGCCTAGGAGGAAAAAATGTTCTCTGGGGACAGGCCCAGGGCCCCTCTCTGTGTGCAGTCTAGGGACTTGGTGCTCTACATCCCAGCCACTCCAGCTGTGACTAAAAGGGACCAAGGTGCAGCTTGGGCCATGGTGTCAGAGGTTGCAAGCCCCAAGCCTTGGCAGCATCCATGTGGAGTTGAGCCTGCATGTGCACAGAAGTCAAGAAGCAAGGCTTGGGAGCCTCAGCCTAGATTTCAGAGGATGTATGGAAATGCCTGGATGTCCAGGAAGAAGTTTACTGTGGGGGAGAGGGGGTGATCATGGAGAGCCTCTGCTAAGGAAGTGGGGAAGGGAAATGTGGGGTTGGAGCCCCACATAGAGTCCCCACTGAGGCGCTGCCTGTGTGAGAAGAGGACCACCATCTTCCACACCCCAGAATGGTAAATCCACTCACAGCTTGCATATGCACCTAAAAAAAACCTCAGATGCTCAACACCAGCCTGTGAAAGCAGCTAGGTGGGAACCGTACCTTTCAAAGCCACAGGGGCAGAGCTGCCCAAGGCCATGGGAGCCCACGTCTTGCATCAGCATGACCTGGATGTTAGACATGGAGTCAAAGGAGATCATTTTGAAGCGTTAAGATTCAACTGCCTTGCTGGAGTTTGGACTTGCATGGGGCCTGTAACCCCTTTGTTTTGGCCAATTTGTCCTGTTTGGAATGGGTATAGTTACCCAATGCCTGTACCCCCATAGTATCAAGAAAGTAACTAACTTTCTTTTGATTTTACAGGCTTATAGGTGGAAGGGACTTGTCTCAGATGAGACTTTGGACTGTGGACTTCTGAGTTAATGCTGAAATGAATTAAGACTTGAGGAACTGTTGGGAAGGTATGATTGGTTTTGAAACTTGAGGACACAACATTTAGAGGGGACACAGGCAAAATAATATGGTTTGGCTCTGTGTCCCCACCCAAATCTCATCTTGAATTGTAGCTCCCATAATTGCTATGTGTTATGGAAGGACCTAGTGGGACATAATTGAATCATGGAGGTAGTTTCCCCTATACTGTCCTTGTGGTAGTCAGTAAGTCTCACACGACCTGATGGTTTTATAAGGGGTTTCTGCTTTTGCTTGGTTCCCATTCTCTCTCTTGCCTTTTGCCATGTAAGACATGACTTTTGCCTTCCACTATGATTGTGAGGTCTCCCCAGTCATGTGGAACTGTGAGTTCATTAAACCTCTTTTTCTTTATAATTTACCCAATCTCAGGTATGTCTTTATCAGCAGTGTGAAAACAGACTAATACACTGTCTTTAACATTTTTTCTATTGTTTTGACCTTGGAAACTGATGATTATTTGTCTTCAAGATGATCTTTTTGTGGAGTATCTTACTGAAGTTCTCTGTATTTCTTGAATTTGAATGTTGACCTCTCTATCTAGGTTAGGGAAGTTCTCATGGATGATATTTTGATCCATGAGATCAAAAATATCAAAAGTCAACTTTTGCTAAGTTGACTCCATTTTCTCTATCCTTTTTAGGTACACCAGTTGTAGATTCAGTCTCTACATAATCCCATATTTCTCAGAGGTTTTGTTCATTCTTTTTCATTCTTTTTTTCTATTCTTATCTGCCTGTCTTATTTCAGAAAGCCATTCTTTTTTTTTTTTGAGACGGAGTCTCGCTCTGTTGCCCAGGCTGGAGTGCAGTGGCGGGATCTCGGCTCACTGCAAGCTCCGCCTCCTGGGTTCATGCCATTCTCCTGCCTCAGCCTCCCAAGTAGCTGGGACTACAGGCGCCCGCCACTACGCCCGGCTAATTTTTTGTATTTTTAGTAGAGACGGGGTTTCACCATTTTAGCCAGGATGGTCTCAATCTCCTGACCTCGTGATCCACCCACCTCGGCCTCCCAAACTGCTGGGACTACAGGCGTGAGCCACCGCGCCCGGCCGCCATTCTTTAAGCTCTTAGATTGTTTCCTCCACATGGTCTATTCTGCTGTTAATACTTATGATTGCATTGTGAAATTCTTGTAGTGTTTTTCAGCTCTATCAGGTTGGTTATGTTCTCTATACTGGCATTTTGTCTGCCAGGTCATGCAATGTTTTATTGTGATTTTTAGCTCTGTTGTATTGGCTTACAACATACTCCTATAGCTCTATGAATTTCATTACTGTTTATATTCTGAATGCTATTTCTGCCATTGCAGCCTCAGCCCTGTTCTGAACCCTGGCTGGAGAGGTGACGCAGTTATGTGGAGGTAGGAAGTTACTCTGGCTTTTTGAGTTTTCAGTATTCTTGCACTGATTCTTTCTCATCTTTGTGCACTTATCTAACTTCAGTCTTTGAGATTGCTTACCTTTGGACGGTATTTTGTTTTCTTTCATCCTATTTGATGATGTCGAAGATTTGTTTGTGTTATAAGGTAGATTCAGCTGACTGGCTTCATTTCTGGGAGATTTTATGGCACAACACTCAGCTCCCAACTTCTGGACTGTGTGCTCTAACTCTGGGGGACTTGTATTAGGCCCCAGCTTTGTTCTCTTGTGTTGGGTCCATCCTGCACACTCTGGCTGAGCGACACATGAAAAAAGTATTCAGACACAGTTATTTTGCCTGAGAATGCAGCTAGGGGACTGCACTGCTTAGCATCGCCAATGAGAGTACAGTCCCACTAAGCCAGAAAACTTTGTATTAATTTAGTACAGATTTGAAGACAAATGCCTGGAGCAAACATAATTTGTGGGAAATTAACATTGTTGACCCCTGAGTAGAGAGCAGTCTTGCACATGAATGATCAAAGGTTGGTTTCCTGAGACATAAGTAAACCAATTTTTCTAGATATGTTTCTTTACATTCCCTTGTTATCTAACCTTTGCCCTTAAGAGAATTTAGCTGCCTTCAGCTAAATTATTCTCCAAAGTTTTTGGCCTTCCAAAAAGGTTTGCATCTTTCCCTATAATTTTTCTTACATCTTCTCCCATCACCCTTGAGGCTGGAAATTAAAGAAAGAAAAGTAAAATTAAAAAGAGAAAGAAACGATCTTTCTGTATTAGGCTGAATCATCCCAAAGGCAGTAACAGGCAAAGCCCAGACCCAGGCAAAGTCTCAATAGCATTATCTAAGAAGCTAGGGCTCAAAGAATGTGCTCTGGAGAGTCTCCCAGGGCTCCCTCAACATAGGGAGAAGAAAAACAAATTTTCCTTTCTCTTTTGATTCTGTTATTCATCTAAGCAGCACAGTGAAGATCATGAGACACCTGAGCAGGCCTGGATTGCAGTCCCCTAGATGCCATAGCAAAGTTTATGAGATAAGCCCATGCAAAACACTGGAACAAGCCTAGATAACAGCTATCTGGGCTGCATAGCAAGAGTCATATGTAAGCCTGAGTTGTGAACTTGTCGTAGTATGATTGACTGCCTTTGTTCTTCTTCTGTATCCTTGCTTTTGAATCATTATACTTTGCACCACTGTAAGCTTGTTTCAAGTTAGACCACCCCCTTTTAGAAGTGTGCATAAAAGGCAAGTGCTGTCTTTGTTCAGGGTCCAGTCTTTGGATATTAATCTGCTGGTTCTGAGTGCACTCAATAAATATCCTTCTGTTTCACCTACCAATCTCTCCAGTCTCCTGATTCCCACAACAACCTGATCGATCTCTTACACTGTGGCTCCTCGAGATTTGGAGTCCACTGTGCTGGGGATAGCAAACTGCAGTACCTGCAGCAAAGTATTAGTGGATATAGGGGTGTCTGCCTCTCTGCAGGTGTTCACCACAGTATTGGAGGCAAGGCAGCTGTTGGGGGAGCAAGGGCCTTCTGCTGGAGACAGAGTGCACTGCTGCACTGTAGGTGGTGATGGCTTGGGGTGGGGTGCTGGCCAGTGGAGGTCTTGGAGCCTTATCTGTGGTCTGCAAGCAGGAGCAATTGCTCAGGTTGTGGGGGGAACCCCTGCTCTGTGTGCAGCACAGCACAAGGGCAGGGCACTGGTGTAGATGGGGCTTGATGACTCTGTGCCCAACAAGGATCCATCTGCAGTGGTGGTTGGTGGGGCTTATGGGGGGTCACACTGCATTCCCATGTGCTGTTGAAGCAAGTAAAGCCCACCCATGCAGATATATGCCAGCAAAGTGATGTGGGGAGATGTGGGCAGTTGCTGTCTCATATCAATTTTAATAAATCTTCTGATATTGTCTCAAATCTTGGAAACCTGTGTCAGCTCAAAAAGACATCCTTGTATAAAACTGAAATGCTTCTATCTTTAAAATGTATATGTGATAGATTATTTATTCATAGTAGTTGAATTTAATGCAATTAATGTTGTAATGAATACAGGACATATTAATATGCTAAGAGTAGACTACTTAAATGTTTGTATTTTCAGTAACTCAAATATAAGCATGTCTATAAATGAACTAAAACAGAATTTTGCCCAAATCACTCAAAAAATTAGTTAAATTGAATATGTTTAAAATATACTTAAATACTTTGTATATAATAGATTGTCAAGTAATTAAAATAATTTACATGTTTTATTTAGGTGTCCTCAACTTTAAAAATATATATCTACATATAATTTACATTATATTACTGACCACATGGCTAAATATGATAGTTTGGCAGAAATCAATTCATATTAATTATGAAAGACCTACTTTTGGCAAAAATATTTCTCAAGTTTGATATCAATTCTGACTCTATTATTGACATTGATGTTAAATGTAAACCTCTGTCAATATTCTTCCAGGGACAGAATATCATGAATTAGCATTTTTTTTTACTTATATATCACAGTATCACATACTCAGAAAGCTGTTTTGATAAAATACAACTTTATCAGTCATTGCCCAATACTGCAATTATATGTCACAAATGTATCTGTATAACCAAACGTAACATATGCAAATTTTTTTTGCTGATTATAATTAATGAATCAACCAAATGAGAAAAAAACTCTCAATTCGATATTGACTTAAACTTTCCAATTTACTAAAAGTGTTGGTAATATTTGTTTTAAATATTTAAATGTTTGAATCATATGAATATGTTAAATGAATAAATACTAATGGTATCTTTTACAAGCGGACACTTCAACATTTTGGAGAGGTAAGTGCATACATATTTTTTGTGTGTTCATTCACATATAAACAATCTGTGATTAACTTTGATCATACTCCTAAAAAGACTAGGATTTTTTTCTGTTTTGTTTATTTTTATATAAAATTTACATAAAATAGGGTGAACAAATTTAAGTAATATTTATAAGTTTTGACAAATGCATATACATATATAATTAAAATATAGTAATGTTTACTATTATGTTGTAGTAACCATCATACCACAAAGTCCACTCATGTTCTTTCTCATTTAACTGCATCTCCATTCCCAAGACAACAACTATTCTATTTACAATAGAATAGTTTTTGTCTTCCAGAAATCCATATGAATGGAACCATACAACATGTACTTTTGTGTACAGATTAGTTAAAATAATGTTTTTGATATCCATAAATGCTGTTGCATATATAAATAGTTGGTCTCTTTCAATAGGTAGGTGGTATTTTCTTGTGTGAATATACCAGATTTTTTTCTATTTGTTGTTGAACACATCAGCTTTATTATTTTGGGGTAATTAAAAGTTAATTCATTATTACAATTCTTATTCAAGTCTTTCTGTGGAGAAGAGTTTTTACTCCTTTTGAATAAGTGCTTAGGAGTGACTTGATTATAGGGAAGTTGGGTGGATGAATAATTAATTTTATAAAAAACAGCCAAATTGGTTTTCAAATAGTTGAAAATTTATTTAATTTAAATTGTCATTTTGTAAAAGTATTTTTAAACATATTTTTCTTTGGTAGGTTACAAGTGACAGTACATGTATAGTAGTTGAATATCTGCTGACATCTATATTTTTACAAAAATAAATTCTGCTTTCATTCAAGTGCACAAATATGACCCAATAAATTTTCCTAATATCTCTTTCTAGTTAATACCTCTCATTAATGAAGCAATCACTTTTCTCATATCTGCACCGTAGTTATATCTGTTTTTGGAATTAAAACAGTGTGCACTAATTTCTGCCTGGCATCTTTTGGTTCAACATGTGTTTGAGATTAATTGTGTCATTGTGCGTATCAAAAGCTCATTAATTGTTAATTGGTGAAAGGTAATCTCTCTTGTGTGATTATGTCACACAATGTTTATCCGCTTTTCTTTGATAGACATTTAGAATTTTTCAAATTTTTGACTATCTTAAATAAAGTTTCCATATACATGTTTATACAACTTATGTTTTGGTTATGTTTTTTCTGATCGAGGGCCTGTAAACACCTTATAATGGAGTTCTTTGTCATAGTATAGGTGTATGCTTAACATTATGAGAAAATAAGACATTTCCAAAGAGTTTTCAGAAGTTTTTAAAACATTTTACATTTCTACCATCAAGGTATGAGAGTTCCAGTAGCTCTAAATCCTTACAAAACTTTGTGCTGCCAGTCTCTGTGAATCTGTTAAAGAAATTTTAACGTAACTACAGTTTAATATAATGGAAGTTTTTGTTAATGTTATCTTTGTGAGTGCTGGATATTTTGTATTTCTGTACAAAATATGAGCTTTTTCTCTAGGACACAGTTAATTTGTTTAAAACCGCTTGATCCTTTTAGATACTTCTTTTATGATTTTTTGTTGCGTTCAACTCAGTGCTCAGTTTAAATGTAATTAATTTCTACCCCTGAGGCAAGACCTTTTAAATTGCTTTACCAAATGCACTGTGAATTTAGCTTTTTTCTTTCATTTGGCTGGCAAATACAGGTATAATCCAGGTCATATGTGAATGTCAGGCACTGGTTTTTGTTGTTGTTATTGTTTGTTTGTTTTTAATCTTTGAAGATGCTTGTTTCCCTGGCAGTGAGCAGATTACTCACATATATACACTAATCAGTATTCTGCTAAGCACTGAAAGGAGAACATCTGTAGATATCAGAGATTTCTCTCTTTGAATCTCTAGCTTCTCAGACCTAGAAACTCTAGTTACCTTAGTCTCCTGGATTTCTTGGCTTTGTACAACTCTAGGAGCCCACTTTCTCTGCCCCACTGCTGGAAACTCTAGCCACTAAATTAGGGCAGTAGCAGGGTTTAACTCCTTTGTTTTCTGTCTTTCGGGAATTAATTCATTCCCTCATATCCAGAGTATTGTATTTCTGTGGGTGTTTCCTTGATTTTGTTTTTTAAGCAAGAACATAAATCTAGTCTTCGGGTAGTCTTTCTTTAATAATTAGTGAGGGGTACTATTATACCTCATTACATATTTGTGTTTCTTCATTCAAAATATTTCTGTTCAGAGTAAATCCTGACATCAGAAGCAAGATATTCTGAATTATTTTAGGGTATTTTGAATTCAGGAACATTTCAAAACGGAGCAGCAGGCATGTTGATGGTATTTAACAATGTCATGTCTCTTATTCTCTGAATATTGTCGAAGTGTGAAATTCTCTTAAGAGTCACTTGAGAGCATAACAAAGCTAAGAGGTGGGCAATAAATATTAAATGTTCAAACTTGCCCTCTTCACATATTTAAACATAGCCTTTCTTTTCAGCTACTTCTAATACTCTTTTTAGAGTAAGTCATTAACTAGGAGGAATAACATCTTTGAAAAAGTGAAGCAGTGTAGGATAATGTTTCCCTTATGTTAAGTGTATCTGTTAGGTTTTCTGGTGTATTTTCAGTAGACTTCAATTAAAATATGTAAATAAAATGTTGTATAGTATCTTTCAAATATAGAATTCTGTTTTAATAAACATGTTTATCCAAACATATCATGAAGTAATTATTATAATTAGGGTTGATCTATCTTTTCTTTATTTAATAAAATGATTATTAACATTAACTTTCTATTTTCAAAATTTAAAATATTATATGTTAGCAGAGAGAACAATTTATAGTGATATGTACATTTTTTTTCCATTAAGTACACTGGTATAGTTTAATAATAATGCCTAATAAGATCAATGGAATTATTTCTTGTTCATTTATATGTCATTTACCTAATTATTCTCAAACTCAGAATGCAAAGGGAAATCAATTATGTTACTATGCCTTTGTCATAACTATTGTGTCATAAATAGCATGCATTTAGCTACACACTTCATACTATTGCAATTCAAATATTGTGAAATACCAACTCAATTTACCATTGTTTTGTAATTTTTTGGAAATGAAAAATTTCTTGCCCACCTAAATGTAATCTTAACTAGAATGCTTTGGTAAACTTTCTTAACAAATTTTTCTTCATTATACTTACATGTATTTTGTGATATAATACAATGTACATACAGTTTCAGTTAAATCAGTTTTTAAGAAGATTTGTATTTTCCTCCCGATATAATGAAAATTGATTTGGCAGTGACTACTAACATTACAAAGGTGGTTGACATTTTAATAACTTGAATGAGAAAATCTGCAGCTCCATGTCTGTGTGTAGCAACACAAATACATTTTATCAAAAAAGAAAATAATTTGCCTGAACAGTTAACTGAAGTTAACATTATTTTTATTTTTAATCTTCAAGATTAAATCAGGATAAACAATACCACTATACTAAAAACATAATCAACATACTTGATAGTTTTATATGTTAGGTAATAGATTTTTGATGTGAATACCTAAAATGGAAAAAAGTGAGTATTTTTAATTCTTGGATTCTAAAGCCTTTATAAGATAAATGATTTCAAATTACTTCCTTCAAATGTAGCACAAATTTTGAACTTTATCAATTTATTTCCTTTATCTACAGAGGTGATCAAACTCTTGATTTTTTGGTTTAATCTTTACTACAGGCTTATAGATTATATTATTTTTCTCAATTATTAAGTCTCCACTTGCATCAAAAAATGATGCATATCTACTTCTGTCAGGTAAAGGCAAATAATATTAATAGATATATAAATATTTTATAAAATCTTCTTAAAGGAAGAAAATGGTAAGTATGTAAGGAACTACTTGATCAAAAATCACCTTGGGAGGCTGAGATGGGTGTATCACGAGGTCAGAAGTTTGAGACCAGCCTGGCCAACATAGTGAAACCACATGTCTACTAAAAATACAAAAATTTGCTGGGCATGGTGGTGCATGCCTATAGTCCCAGCTACTTGGGAGGCTGAGGCAGGAGAATAGCTTGAACCCAGGAAGTAGAGGTTGTGGCAAGCCAAGCTCATGCCAACACACTCCAGCCTGGGCAACAGAGCAAGACTCTGTCTCAAAAAAAAAAGTGTGAGAATTAATTAGGGCTAAAGTATCTGATATTTTTCGAGAAGGTTGTTTGATCCAGAAGAAACTCAATGGTGAATAAGTGAGAAGGCAGTAGTAGAAATGTCAGGCAAAAATGGGAAGTTTTCTTGGAAATCCACTTCCTAAAACCTGTGCTATTGTTTTAAAGGCCTGAAATATCAGAGTATGTTTAAAGCAAACGATTACTGACCCTTGTCCCTCCACTTCCAGAAAAATGTGTGGATTGCTGTCCTGAAAATGAATAAACCAGGTTAAATAGTAGAAATGGGAAAAGTTGTGATTTTGAAGTATAGTCCACAGGCTGGCTGTCACAGCAGGAAGCTACTAATTTAATTTATATCGTTCTTAAAGTAATCTACAGAGATAACTAGTAAAGATAAAGAAAATGATTCTATATAGGAAGTCATCATTCCAGGATTTGAGGAATCCTTCCAAGTAATTTTGGCAGAAGCAGCAAGCATCATACTTTCAAAGCTAATAAAGAATGCAAGGAAACAGGACACATTTTGCAATAAGTAGCAGGAAAAATAACAGAAAAAAGTCACAAAAATTGCTGTTCTGGTATTATTACAGACACATTGAAAAACATGTATTTGTATTATGTTCTAAGAAGTAAATTTGAAAATATCTGCCAAATGAAAAAAATACAATGTAATCTTTCAGTTTTAACATGAAACTAATAACAAATTTTAAAGATAAATGATATTATGACTAAAATTAAACATTAGGAGCATGAGTATGATAATATTTTGGACACAGCAAAAGAACTAGATCACTGGAAGCTAAATCAGAAAAGCAAATGAGCACATTTCAATACAGTGAGATGAAAAAATGGAAATGTAGAAGAGTGGTTATCACAAATAATGAGTTGTGTGAGGTGATATATTTAAATAGAGAGCTAGAATAAAATAAATGGAGCAGATAAATATGTGAATACTTAATGGTTTAAACTTTCCAAAATGATGAAAGATACATGTGTCCATTCAAGAAACACAGTAAATTTCAAGGAAAAAATAACCACTGAATTAACACTTAACAATAAATCTGATGTGAGAGAAAGAGAGAAAACAAGAGCCGGAAAGACAGAGAGAGACAGAGAAAAAGAAATCCTTAAAACAACCATAGGGGAAAAAAAAAAGACACTTTAAAATGTGGCAGCTGGACTACTTATTAAGAGCAACATAGTAACCTAAATACATTTTATAATTTACTTCCTTTCATCACACTAAAGATATCTTGATTTACAATCTTGATTTTTAAACCCAACATATAAATCCTTAATTTATGAACACCTGATACTCACCAAGGAAACCCTAAAAGACAGAAGAGCCAAAATGGCCAGCAAGACAGAGCCAGGAAGATCCTCCACTGAAAGAGCTGACTCTCAAGAAAACCAGCACACTCTGAGCAGATCTTCAAAAGGAAAGCATTGAGAGTGGAAGGAGAGAGGATGGAGACACTGGGCTAAAGGATCAGAAAGCTGGGAACCCAGCATGGGATTGTGGAGCACAAGGACTCATTCCTGACCCTGAGAGGTGAGGGGAGGGGTGAGTTAAATACGATGGAGTGGCTTACTCTTTCCAAAGAGCTCCAGAATCCTAGCTTTACGAGACTTCACAATCCCCATGGACATTCGAGCTAGCAAGGAGAGTTGCTTGGAGAAGTAGCAAAGACAGGATTCCAGTACGTGTAGAGCCCAGATAGTTTGACATAAGAATGGTTCCGGTGAAGCACAGCCAGGGACACCCATTTCCTAAGGCTTACCACACGCCTCTGAGTGACTTTGGTCATTATTGATTGTCAGACCTGCACAGAGAAGGGCTGTCTTGCCCGTGGGATATGCCAATGTGATTAGATGCTCTCCTGTCGACTGGCCTCTCCTGGGGTCCCCGCCAGGCCATACCCTCTTGGAGGGCAGCTTTGCATGCCCAACGAGGGTGCTTCTCAGTGGCCATCACCATAGCAGCAGACTCGACTCTGCTCTCACTGGAGAGCTTCTGCAAATATACCTCCAACAGTGCACACCTACTTACAGTCCCCCCTCACTGCATTGCCGGCTTGCACTGTGCACAGTCTCCACTCACTGTTTCGCCAGTGTGCACATATGCAGAGTCCTCACTGCAACTGCATGGGCCCCACTGATGTGTGTGTGTAAACCCTGACAACCTGCCACTGCCAGGGTGAGTATGAGTATAACATGCCACACTGCACCCCTGCTGCAGCTGGTGCACATGTGCGTAAGCATGGACCCCTCAGCAAATGCTCCAATGAAGCACTTTTGTTGGTATCCCCCATTGGACTGTTGTTGCCAGTGGACTGAGAATGCTGTGGCCCTGTCAGTGCAGCAGGTACTTCATCTTGAGGGGGCATATAACAAAGCTGTGGGCCAGGTCCGAATCCCCCCAGTGTTAGAGCACACATCCCAGGAGAGCTGAGCTGAGCCTTGGCCACCTGAAATCATCCAGAAATGAAGCCAGTCAATTAAATGCAACTTATAGCATAGTAAACCCTCAACGGCATCAAAGTATACAAGTAAAAAGCCCCATGCAAAACAAACAAACAAACAAACAAACAAACAAACTTCAACGATTAAAGGAAGATTAGCTCACAGAGATGAGAAAGAACCAGAACCAGCATAACTACACTGGCAATTCAATAACACAGAGTGTCTATTTTTAGGTGACCACACTAACTCCCCAGCAACAGCTGTTAACCAGACTGAAAAGACTGAAATAATAGACAGAATTCACAAGCTTGATGGCAATGAAGGTTACTGAGATTCAGGAGACAGTTAAAAGCCCATCCAAAGAATCTAAGGAATCAATTAGAAAGAAACAAGAGCTAAGAGACGAAATAGTCATTTTTTTAAAAGACCCAAACTCTTGCCAGGCACAGTGGTTCACACCTGTAATCCCAGCAATTTGGGAGGCCGAGGCAGCCAGGTTACCTGAGTTCAGGAGTTCGAGACCAGGCTGGCCAACATGGTGAAACCCCATCTCCACTAAAAATACAAAACTTAGCCAGGCATGGTGGCACACACCTGTAGTTCCAGCTACTCGGGTGACTGAGGCAGGAGACTGGCTTGAATTGAGAGGTAGCAGTGAGCCGAGATCACACCACTGCATTCCAGCCTTGGTGCCTTGGTGACAGAGCAAAACTCCATCTCTCACACACACACACACACACACACACACACACACACACACACACACACACACAAAAGGAAAGAAAGACAATGACCCAAACTCGTCTAAGAGCTGAGAAACTCACTATGAGCATTTCATTGTTTAACTGGAAGTATTAACAGCAGAAGGGACTAAACTGAGGAAAAAAACTTAGAGCTGTGAGATGGATTCATTGAATCAACTCAGTTAAACAAATATAAAGGGGTGGGTCACTGTATTAGTCTGTTCTCATGCTGCTATAAAGAACTGACTGAGACTGGGTAATTTAGAATCAAAATAGTTTTAATTGACTCACAGTTCTGCATGGCTGGGGAGGCTCCAGGAAACATACACTTATGGTGGAAGGGGCAGCAAACATGTCCTTGTTGATATGGCTGCAGGAGAGAGAAGTGCAAAGTAAAGTGGGGGAAAGCCCCTATAAAACCTTCAGCTCTCATAAGAACTCACTCATTATCATGAGAACAGTATGATCCCCATGTCTAATCACCTCCCACGATGTCCTTCCCCCAACATGTGGGGATTACAATTTGCATTACAATTCAAGATGAGATTTTGGGTAGGGACACAAAGCCAAACTATATTATTCTGTCCATGGCCCCTCGCAAATCTCATGTCCTCACATTTCAAAACACAATTATGCCTTTCCAAGAATCCCCTAAAGTCTTAACTCATTTCAGCATTAACCCCAAAAGTTCAAGTTCAAAATCTCATCTGAGAAAAGGCAAGTCCCTTCCACCTATGAGCCTGTAACATCAAAAGCAAGTTAGTTATTTCCTAGATACAATGGGAGTGCAGGTACTGGGTAAATACACCCATTGGAGATGGGAGAAATTGACCAAAACAAAGGAGCTATAGGCCCCATGCAAGTCTGAAATCCAACAGAGCAGTCATTAAACCTTAAAGTTTCAAAATGATGTCCTTTGACTCCATGTCTCACATCCAGGTCACACAGATGCAAGAGATGGGATATCATGGCTTTGAGAAGCTCCACTCCTATGGCTTGGCAGGGTACAGCCTCCCTTCTGGCTGCTTTCACAGGTTGGTGTTGAGTGCCTGCAGCTTTTCCTGGTGAGTGGTGTGAGCTTTTGGTGGATCTATCATTCTGGGATCCGGAGAATGACGGCCCTCTTCTCACAGCTCCACTAGTCAGTGCCCCAGTGGAGACCCTGCATGGGTGCTCTGACCCCACATCTTCCTTCTGCCCTAGCAGAGGTCTCCATGAGGGCCCTTCCCCTGCAGCATACTTCTGCCTAGACATTCAGGTGTTTCTATACATCCTTTGAAATTCAGGCTGAGGTTCCTAAAGCTCAACTCTTGTCTTCTGCACACACACAGGCCCAATATCACATAGACTCTACCAAAGCTTGGGGTTTGCAGTATTATTAAAATGCTCATTCTGCCCAACCCAAGTTACAGATTCAATGCTATTCCTATCATACTACCAACAACGTTTTTCACTGAACTAGAAAAAAAATTCTTAGAATTAATTTGGAACCAAAAAAGTGCCTGAATAGCCAAAGTAATTCTAAGCAAAAAGAACAAAGCTGGGGGCATCACACTCCCTGGCTTCAAACTATACTACAAGGCTACAGTAACTAAAACAGACACATAGTGTAATGGAACAGTTTTGAGAGCACAGAAATAAAGACATACATAAACAATCATCTGATTTTTAACAAAGCTGACAAAGACAAACAATGTGGAAAGGACATCTTATTCAACAAATGGTGCCAGGATAACCTGCTGACCATACACAGAAGATTTGAACTGGACCCCTACCTTTCACCATACACAAAAATCAACCCAGGATGGATTAAAGACATAAATGTAAAACCTCAAACTATAAAATCTCTAGAAGAAAACCTTGGAAGTACCATTCTGAAAATATTTTGCAAGAAATAAAACCTACTTGATTGTGGTGGATTAGCTTCTTGATGTACAGCTAGATTTGGTTTGCTAGTATTTTGTTGAATATTTCTGTATCTATGTTCATTAGAAATATTTGTCTGAAGTTTTTTTTTTCATTGCATCTCTGCCAGGATTTGGTATCAGAATGATGTTGTCCTCATAGAATGAGTTAGGTATGAGTCCCTCCTCCTCAATTATTTTAGATAGTGTCAGTAGGTGTGGTATCAGCTCTTCTTTATACAGCTGGTAGAATTTGGCAGTGAATCCTTTGAGGTCAACACTTTTTCTGATTGATAGGCATTGTATTGCCAATTCAGTTTGGAACTTCCTATTAGTCTGTTCAAAGTTTCGTTTTCTTCCTGGTTCAATCTTTGAAGATTGCTTCCCGGAATTTATGCAGCTTCTCTGGGTTTTTCAGTTTGTGTACATAGAGGTGTTCATAATCATCCCTGAGGGTTGTTGTATTTCTGTGGAGTCACTGGTAATGTCCCCTTTGTCTCTTTTGTGATTGTGTTTATTTGAATATTGTCTCTTTTTTTCTTTATAAGTTTAGATAATGGCCTATCAACATTATTTTTTCTTTCAAATACCCAACATTCAGTTTTGTTGATTTTTTTACATTTTTTTCTCATCTCCATTTTGTTAATTTCCGTTATGATTGTGGCCATTTCTTTTCTTCTACTACCTTCGAGGTTGGTTCTTTTTTGTTTTTTAGGTTCCTCTATCTGTGATGTTAGGTTGCAAATTTGAGATCTTTCTAGCTGTTGACATAAGTGTTTAGCACAATAAACTTTCCTTTTAACCATGCTTTATCTGTGTTCTAGAGTTTCTAGTGTGTTGTATTTTTGTTTTCATCAGAGTCTAAGAATTTCTTGATTTCTGCCTTGATTTTATTGTTTACACAAAAGTCATTCAGGTTCAGGTTGTTTAATTTTCACTTAATCCTACAGTTTTGGCAGATCTTCTTGGTATTGATTTGTATTTTTATTGTGCTGTGGTCTGAGAGTGTGGCTGGTAACATTTTTTTTTATTTGTTGAGAATTGACTTACAGCTGAGCATGTGGTTGATTTTAGAATATGTGTCATGTGCAGATGATAAGAATATATATTCTGTTGTTGATGTGTGGAGTGTTCTGTAGATGTCTGTTAGGTGTATTTGGCCAAGTGTCAAGTTTAGGTCCTGAATATCTTTGTTAGTTTTCTGCCTCAGTGATATGTCTTACACTGTCAGTGAGGTGTTGAGGTCTGCCACTGTCATCGTGTAGTTATGTAAGTTTCTTTGTATATCTCTAAGAGCTTGTTTTGTGAATCTGAGTGATCCAGTGTTAGGTGCATATATATTTAGGATAGTTAAGTCTTCTTGTTTAATTGAATCCTTCATCATTACGTAATACCCTTAATTGTCTGTTTTGATCATCGTTAGTTTAATGTCAGTTTTATCTAAAATAAGAACAGCAACACCTGTTCTTCTTTGTTTTTCATTTGTTTGGTAGTTCTTTCTCCATCCCTTTACTTTGAACCTATGGGTGTTCTCACATGTGAGATGGGTCTCTTGAAGACAGCATACAGTTGGGTCTTGATTCTTTATCCACTTTGCCACTCCATGCCTTTTAAGTGGGTGTTTAGCTTGTTTATCTTCAATATTGACATGTGCACATTCGATCCTCCCAGCATGTTGTTAGCTGGTAGTTACGTAAACTTGATTGTGTAATTACTTTATAGTGTTGATGGTCTATATACTTGAGTGTGTTTTTCTGGTGCTAGGTAACAGTCCTTCATTTTCATGTTTAGCACTTTCTTAAGGATCTCTTCTGGTCTCTAAAGGCCTGGTGGTAATAAATTCCCCTAGCTTTTGCTTATCTGAAATGGATTTTATTTCTCCCTTGTTTATGAAGCTTAGTTTGGTGGGACATAAAATTCTTAGTTCATAATTTTATTTTTTCAAAAATGCTGAATATGGATTCTTAATGTCTTCTGACTGTGGGATATTGCTGAGAGTTCCCCTGTGAATTTGATGTAGTTTCCACTTTATGTGACCTGCCCCTTGTCGTTAACTGCCTTTAATATTTTTTTCTTTTGCATTGACCTTCAAGAATCTGATTACTTTGTGTCTCTGCAATGGTTGTCTTACATAGCATCTTACATGGGTTATCTGAATTTTCTAAATTTATATGTCAATCTCTCTAGTGAAATTGGGGAAATTTTTTATAGAATCCCTTATTTCTCCAAGGTTTTTTTCTTTTTCTTTTTTTTTTCTTTTTTTTTTTTTTTTGAGATGGAGTCTTGCTCTGTAGCCCAGGCTGGAGTGCAGTGGCATGATCTCGGCTCAATGCAAGCTCCACCTCCCAGGTTCCTACCAATCTCCTGCCTCAGACTCCTGAATAGCTGGGGCTACAGGCACCTGCCACCATGCCCAGTGAATTTTTTTTTTTTGTATTTTTAGTAGAGACAGGGTTTCACCATGTTAGCCAGGATGGTCTCAGTATCCTCCCAAAGTGCTGGGATTACAGGTACAGGCATGAGCCACCATGCCTGACCTTTCATTTTTTAAAATTCTTCTTTTCTTTATTTATTTTCTGGCTGTGTTAACTTAAATAATCAGTCTTCAATCTCTGAGATTCTTTTCTTGGCTTAGTCCATTCTGCTGTGAATATTTCCAATCATTTTATGAAATTCTTGTAGTGTATTTTGTAACTCTACCTGCTAGGTTTGGTTTTTGTTTGTTTGTCTTGTTTTGTTTTTTCAAATGGCTAATTTTTTTCTCTTTAATCATTTTACTGGATTCCTCAGATTCTTGGAAATAGTGTTCAACTTTCTATTGAATTTCAATGATCTTCATTTTCTTCTACCTCTCAGTTCTATATCTGTCATTTCAGCCATTTCCTTCTATTTAACAACCATTGCTGTAGAACTAGTGCAGTCATTTGGAGGTAAAGTGACAGTCTGACTTTTTGAGTTGCTAGAGTTCTTATGTTGGCTTTTTTCTCACCTGTGTGGGCTGGTGTTTCTTTAACTGTGGTATAATTTGAGCATAGTCAGTTGACTTTGTTTCTGGATGTTTTCAAAGCACCTTTTTGCACGATCTTTATTAGTAGCTGAATTATTGTCCTGGGTTTCACAGAGGCTTATATTAGCAAAGTAATTTTAGTGTTGAAGTTTCTGCTGCAAGCTGGCTGATGACACTTAGGTATAATGGCTGATAGGTAGGCTCTTGTTCAGCCTACCTACCTATAATGGCTGATAGGTAGGCTCTTGTTCATACACAAATGTGTATTTTCTCACATTTGCAGCCATGCTCCGTGTCAGTATTCTGTGTGTGTAGGCTTCCCTCCTACTGAAATGCTGGCTGCATAGCTTGGCTTGTCACTGCAGTGCTGCACATCACAGCCCTGTGGTGAGCTCAAGGTTTTTGTTTCCTCACAAGCTTGGGGACAAAAGAGGTGAGGACCTTGGCAGTGGTAATGTCTGGAGGTCTATCACTTGTCTTTTGCAGCTCCACCATACAGAAATGCAGAGATGCTGCCAAATGGAGTGGTCAACCTTTGATGGGGCCTGTGCATTTTGGAACCAATCTGGGGGACACTACTGGTGATGAGCAGAGGGTGTCAGGGCTTGTGAGAAGATAGATTCATCTCTTCTCTGTAGGGTAGCTGCAGTGTGCTGGAGGTGTGAGTAAAGCACTTGGGGTCTTGCTCCCTCCCCAGTTGGAGGGCAGCAAGGGCAGTACTGCTGAATAGCGGTTGCAGAGAAACTTTCAGTTGCTTCTGGGATCTCCACCCCAGAGAAATGCAGAACCACTGCCACTGGGCATTTTCAGCCAGGAGTGGGGCTGCTGCACTATGAGCCTTTGCTGGGGCCCCTGCCTGGTGAAGAGCAGGGGATCAGGGGCTCACAGAGAATAGAGATTGGGCTCCATGCCATATGGTGATCATATGGTAATCATAGTGTGCTGGAAGCATGAGTAAAGCATTCAGGCTCTTTTATTTCTTTCCCAGTCTAAGACAGCAAGGGCAGGTACCACTGCATTGGCAGTGGCAGTTGGCTGTCATTTGCCTCTGGGAGCTCCATCACAGGATAACACAGAGCCACTGGCAATAGAAATGTTCAGCTTGGGTGAGGTAGCTACTCTGCAGGCCCAAGCAAGGAGTTCTGCTTAGTGAAGGATAGGAGTTGGGAGCTCACAAGGAAGAGAGACTGGGCTCTACGCTATATGGCAGCTGTGTCATGATGAAGGTGCTAGTGAAGCAACCAGCATTTTGTTCTTTCCCCAGCCCAAGGGGAGTTTCTTAGTGCTTTTTTACACTGCTGATAAAGACATACCTGACACTGGACAATTTACAAAAGAAAGAGGTTTAATCAATTTGTAGTTCTACATGGCTGGGGAGGCCTCAAACTCATGGCAGAAGTCAAGAAGAGGAGCAAGTCACATCTTACATGGATGACTGCAGCCAAATAGAGACCTCGTTTGGGGAAACTCCCATTTTTAAAGCCATCAGATTTCATGAGACCCATTCACTATCATGAGAACAGCATGGGGAAGACTCACTCTCATGATTCAATCATTTCCCACTGGGTCCCTCCCACAACATGTAGAAATTATGGGAACTACAAGATGAGACTTGGGTGGGGACACAGAGTCAAACCATATTATTATACCCCTGGCCCCTCCCAAATCTCATATCTTCACATTTCAAAACCAATCATGCCTTCCCAACAGTCCCAAAAAGCCTTAACTAATTTCAGCATTAACTCAAAAGTCCACAGTCCAAAGTCTCATCTGAGACAAGTCCCTTCCACTTATGAGCCTGTAAAATCAAAAGTAAGTTAATTACTTCCTAGATACAATGGGGGTACAGGCATTGGGTAAATACAGCCATTCCAAATGGGAGAAATTGGCCAAAACAACAGGGCTACATGCCCCATGCAAGTGTGAAATCCAGAGGGACAGTCAAATTTTAAAGCTCCAAAATGATCTCCCAGTAACTCTATGTCTCACATCCAGGTCATGCTAATGCAAGAGGTGGGTTCCCAAGGTCTTGGGTAGCTCCACCCCCGTGGCTGTGTAGGGTACAGCCTCCCTCATGGCTGCTTTCACAGGGTGACATTGAGTGTCTTAGTCTTCTCTAGGTGCACGGTGCAAGCTGTCAGTGGATTTACCATTCTGGGGTCTGGAGAACGGTGGCCCTCTTCTCACAGCCGCATTAGGCAGTGCCCCAGTAGGGACTCTCTGTGGGGGCTCCAACCCCACATTTCCCTTCCACTCTGCCCTAAACAGTGGTTCTTTATGAGGGCCTCACCCTTGCAGTGAACTTATTCCTGGACATCCAGGCATTTCCATACATCTGAAATCTAGGCAGAGATCCCCAAACCCCCATTTTTGACTTCTGTGCACTCACAGGCTCAACATCAAGTGGAAGCTGCCAAGGCTTGGGGCTTGTACCCTCTGAAGCCACAGCCTAAAGTCTACATTGGCCCCTTTCAGCCATGGCTGGAGCAGCTGGGACACAGGGTGCCAAGTCCCTAGGCTGCTCACAGCATGATGACCTTGGGCCTGGCCCACAAAACCACTTTTTTTTCTCCTAGGTCACCAGGCCTGTGATGGAAGGGGCTGCCATGAAGACCTCTGGCATGCCTTAGAGACATTTTCCCTATTGTCTTGGGGATTAACATTCATCTCCTCATTTCTTATACAAATTTCTGCAGCTGACTTAAATTTCTCCTCAGAAAATGGGATTTTCTTTTCTATCAGATTGTCAAGCCACAAACTTTTTGAACTTTTATGCTCTACTTCCTTTATAAAACTGAGTGACTTTAACAGTACCCAGGTCACATCTTGAATGCTTTGCTGCTTAGAAATTTCTTCCATGAGATACCCTAAATCATCTTTCTCAAGTTCAAAGTTCCACAAATCTCTAGGCCTGGAGCACAATGCCACCAGTCTCTTTGCTAAAACATAACAAAAGTCACCTTTGTTCTAGTCGCCAAGATCCTCATCTCCATTGGAGACCACCTCATCCTGGATTTCATTGTCCGTATCATTAACATCATTTTAGGCAAAGCCATTCAACAAGTCTCTAGGTGGTTCTAAACGTTGCCACATTTTCCTATCTCCTTCTGAGTGTTCCAAGCTGTTTCAACCTCTGCCTGTTACCCAGTTCTAAAGTTGCTTCCACATTTTCAGGCACTTTTCAGTAGAGCCCACTCTACTGGTACCAATTTACTGTATTATTCCATTTTCATGCTGCTGATAGACAGACCTGAGACTGGGCAATTTACAAAAGAAGGAGGTTTAATCAACTTACAGTTCCACGTGGCTGGGAAGGCCTCACAATCATGGTGAAAGGTAAGTAGGAGCAAGTCACATCTTACATGGATGGCAGCAGGCTAAGAGAGAGCTTGTGTCAGGAAACTCCTGTTTTTAAAATCATTAGATCTCATGAGACCCATCCACTATGATGAGAACAGCATGGGAAATACCCATCCCCATTATTCAGTCATTTCCCACCAGGTACCTCCCACAAAACATAGGAATTGTGGGATCTACAGGATGAGATTTGAATGGGGACACAGAGCCAAACCATATCAGGCAGCAAGGGTGGTACCACTGTATGTAATGGCAGAGGGGCTGTGGGTTGTCGCTGGGAATTCTATCTCAGAGAAATGCACAGGTGCCACTGTCTGAAGTGTTCAAGTGGGAGCAGGGTAGCTGTGCTGGGGCCCAGGTCGGGAGGCCCTACCCAGTGAGAAGTAGCAGGAGCAAAGACAGGCATGGAAAAAAGTCTGACAACACCTCCATAAGGCAGCTGTGCTGAGCTGAAGACCTGCTATAGTCCTTAAGCCTCTTTGCTATCTCTTGATCTGAGGGCATTATGGGCAGGGGCTATAGCAGGCAAAAATGGCAGGCCTGTCTTATACCTATGAGAGCTCTGTCCCAGGGAAATGCAATGCTGCTTCTGGCCCAAGTTGTCAGGCTGAGGTAGGTGGCTGTGCTGGAGGCTCAAGCCAGGAGGCCCTGACCAGTGAGGAGTAGAAGGGGCCATGACTAACATTGAAAACTATATGACTGCTTTTCCAGAAGGCAGCTTGCCCTGTGCTGGAGGCCCACAACAGTCATAACACTCTTCACTCCCTCCTGACCCTGAAGGCAGTTGGGTAGTGGCTGGAGCTGCTATAGCAGCAAAAACAGCAGATATGTATGTCTATTGCATCTGAGAACTTCATCCCAGAGAAATGCAGAGCTGCTGCCAGTCGAAGAGGTCAAGTGGGTGTTTCATGGCTGTTCTGGAGTTCTAGGTCAGTGTGCTTTGCCTGGAGAGGTTTACCAGAGGCAAGGCATGAAGTCCCTCTGCTCCTCAGAACCATGAATGTAGCCACTAACCTCTCGCATTCAGAGAACTTGGCCTTCTTGTTGGTGAAGCTATGGCAACTAGCACTGGGGTGCTTAGGGGTCTAAGACCCCTGGGACTTCTCATGTGCCTGATCTGGAGCTCTGCCCAGATTCTATGCAGCTCTCCTTGTTAGTCTGAAGGCCCCAGGGGGATCACTCAGGGTGGATCACCTGTGCCTATGATTACAAAGGTCCATGACAGAAGTGTGGGGCCATGGGACTCTCTCTCAGTCACTATTTCTTTGTGGTAAGGATCCTCCCCTGACTCCACCCAATCCTGGGTGGGTGGCTGTTGTGTCTTGCTGTTTTTTTCTCCATGGCTTCTGTTGCTTCCTTGCTGAATCCTAACATGTCCTCTTGGAAGATCCAGTTGAAGTGCTAGTGTTTACTGGCCAGTCTATTTCGTTTTCACAAGAGTGGAGCATACTAGCTGCTTCTAGTAAGTCATCTTGGCACTTGATCACAAAAGACATTTATTTTTCACAGTTCTGCAGGCTGGCAAGTCCAAGTTAAAAGTGCCAGGAGATTCAATTCTTGGTAAGGGTTCTTCCTGGCTTGCAGACAGCTGCCTTCTCGTTGTATTTTCACTAGGAAGAAAAAAGAAGGTCTAGTGTCTCTTAATTGGATAAATTTTTAAAACCAAAATTATTGAAGGTGATTCTAATACACCTTTCTCAGTAACTCATATACATATACCGGATGCATTATTAAGATTATTAGTGTATTTAAAAATATACAATTTCTGGCTGGGCGCAGTGGCTCATGCCTATAATCCTAGCAGTTTGGGAGGCCAAGGCAGGCGGATCATGAGGTCAGGAGATGAAGACCATCCTGGCTAACACAGTGAAATCCCGTCTCTGCTAAAAATACAAAAAAAAAAAAAAATAGCTGGATGTGGTGGCAGGCACCTATAGTCCCAGCAACTAGGGAGGCTGAGGCAGGAGAATGGTGTGAACCCAGGAGGTGGAGTTTTCAGTGAGCCAAAATCGTGCCACTGCACTCCAGACAGGGTGACAGAGAGAGATTCCCTCTCAAAAAAATAAAATAAAATAAATAATTATATAAAAATATACAATTTCTGCCCTTATTTATCTATATAATTTAGTATAATTATTTTATGATTGCTTATTATTCATTTTAGTAGCCACTTTGAAAATAATTAATGTTTGTATAAAAATAAACATTAATTTAATAAACTAACAGAATAGCATATAAATTTCCACTAACATCCTATCAAAATTTATATAATTATAGTATTTTATAAGTCATTTTAGTGCTATATAAAGTTAAGAAAAATGGCCAAAAGTCTAAAAAAATTAAAAAAAATAAAATAGGAATAGAAAAAGGAAGAAAATTTATTTTTTAAGTTAAAAAATCTTTTTTTAAATGTAGAGAAATACATGTTTTTAAGAGAAAACATACCTTTAATCACAAGAAAAAAATGCCTTTAAAAATAAAAATATTATATAACATAATAATATAAAAGTTTCTTTTTGAAGTTTGAAGTTGTTATAGTTTTAAAATTGTATGTATTTGGCATTTCTTTTATTTTGCTTTATGTTAACATTCAAATTTCATCTTCGAATTTTAATTATCCTTAAACATTTCTAGGTGCCTGTTAGTTGAATTCTAGACAAAATTTATCTTTACAACTTTTTTTATTATACTCTAAGTTCTAGGGCACATGTGCACAACGTGCAGGTTTGTTACATATGTATACATGTGTTGTGTTGGTTTGCGCACCCATTAACTCGTCATTTACATTAGGTATTTCTCTTAATGCTATCCCTCCCTCATCTTTTTATCTGCTATACAAATATATTTTTATGCAATATCAGTGTCATTAATATAGTTAATGATATAGTTAGCATAGTTAATTACAAAATGCAGTAATTTTATTGTTAAATATTATAACTTTAAATTATTATTGATGGTTTTTACAATATGTATCATATTAGTAATACACCTTAACACACCAAAAGTATGTCAGCCCATAATGATGTTATTTTACTCGTTTATTTTAGTTTCATGTTTGAAATTTTTATGTTCAGCTAATAGAAAAAAAATAACAAGACAGAGAAATACAAATATAGCAAATATCGTCCAAGCAATAATCCCCGACTGAACAATGCCAAGATATACATTGTTTGATTTCTTCTTTCATTTAGATATTTGCATGAATTTTAAAGCTTTTGTATATTTTTTATTTTATTAAAAATAATTTTCTGTCTTGCTTAACATGTTACTTATTTAAAAACATAAAATATTTAATCTACTTCATATCATCCAAATATATGAATTAGCTCATTTTCTCTTCTCTATATATGATCTTGTGTCTTTATTCAGACAAAATAGTTCTGTCATTTAAATGCTTCCTTATCTTTAGCATAGTGTGATTTTTCTTTTTAAAATTATTATAGTTCAATAATATATCAAGCTAGTGGGAGAAAAGCAAAGGTGAATTAAACTATGTTTCAGTAAAATGTAAAAAAAAAATCTGATTTTAAGTAATTACTAACTATGTACAGTCACAAACTCATGAACCAACAGTATAGAAGAAATAATTGGTGCGATTTGGGCAAACTAGAAAAAACCAAGAAAAATGAAAAGATCTTTTTATATGATCATTCTTAATTAGAGCCACTGACAGTGAATGTAAGAATGTTTAATGAATGTGACCTATAAAGCTTTGCTAGATTCTGACTGACTCAGAGGTTATATATTACTTCTCACACTTCTTTATTAAAATTATTTTATTTTTAACTTAAGCATCTTTTTTATAACTAAAGTGACAGTTATACATGAACAAGTATAATAGTTTGTCTAAAATATTTTGTACCAAAACAGGAAGACTGAAGTGTGAATAATCTCAGTAAAAAAGTATAAAATATATTTTAGACATGCAGTCATTCATTGAAATGTACACATGAAGTAAATCAAGTGACCTCATTATTGAATAAATTGACTGAGAAATATATGAGGTTGAATTAATTTCTTCTTCCACAGAATTTTTTTATTTATTTCATTTTTGTTCAATGTTTCTTGATATAAAGTAGATTATTTTCTATTATTTTCAGATGTCTCAGAAATCTTTCCAGTTCTTTCCTATGGTCTTCAATATGTTTTAAAAAATTAATGCAAAATGTGGACCATTTAAAAACTAGATTTTCTCAAAGATTCAGTGTTGAAGGTAGTGTCCCTGGAGATTATTTGTTAAAGAATGTTTAAAACTAACTAGCACATGCCTAGTCTTTGACATGATTTGTTTTGTAAGATCCTTGTCATCATGATATGTATTCAGGAAAAGGAGTATTCTCAGATTACAGATAAAGAAGCTAATTCAGACATGTATTGAGTATGTAACTTGATGTGAGCCATAAATAAAAATGTGCCAAATATATTAGTTAATTGTATAAATCTAAAGCATTCTATAATAGTATATTATCTCTGGCTGGTGAATCTAGCAAACACAACATATAGTTATCTCTCCATATAGGTGGGGATCAATTCCAGGGGCACCTTCATGTACCAAAATCCACATATACTCAAGTTTCCCAGTTGGCCCTGTGGAACCTGTTTATAGGAAAAGGCAACCCTACAGAAAACACCACATTTTTTATTGAGTTTGGTTGAAAAAAAAATGTGCATATAAGTGGACCTGTGTAGTGTACACATGTGTTCAAGGGTCAACTGTAGCTGAAAGCAAACCACATTTAGTTTGTACATATATTTGAGAGAGAATATTTGTGAAGTGTTTTATTTTTAAAAAAAAAAGCTCACTAAAGAACTAAAAGAACCAAAAGCAAACCAAAATATAAAAAATAAACATTTTTCTAGCTCTGCAATTTAAGACATTTACTTTAAATTATTCAAATGTACCTAAATAGGAATCTAATTTAATTTCAAGTTTATGCTATTTTTGAAGTAAGAAACATGCTGTGTCATTTATGAAACTAGAAATATATGATTGAAAAAGAGTCTACATAGTGAGAGAACTTGACCATAATCTTTGAAAGTAAAATCAAATGAAAGCTTATGTAAAAATTGTGATCATTAGGCTTTAATTTTTAAATATGATAATAAAATGAGATATTGAATATTGCTAAAATTTTTAAATATGTTATGGTAACAGCATACATGGAATATTATACATTTATTCAAATTATGTTTTAAAAATAATGACATAAACATACTTCTTATACATTATGATTGAAATGCTGAGGTTTTATTTAATACATAACCAATAAAGCTAAGAAACCCTTAAAAATCAAGATGTACTCCTTAAATAAAATATTGAGTGAGTACTTATAAGGCAATAAGTTTTGTAAAATATGCTAAAAATTTTTAAAAATTCTCTACATATTCGAGACATACTTGAAGATACTGTGGGTTTTGTTCCAGACCATCACAATAAAGCAAAAATCACAATAAAACAAGTCAACAAAAATTTTTGGTTTCTCAATGCATATAAAAGTTATGTTTACATTGTACTGTAAAGTGTGTAATAGTATTATGTTTAAACAAATAATGTACTTACCTTAATTTTAAAAAGATTTATTGCTAAGTAATGTTAATCATCTGAGCCTTCAGTGAGTCATAATGTTTTGGTTGCTGGAGGGTCTTGCCTCAGTACTGGTGGTTGCTGACTGATCAGGGTTGTGATTGCTAAAGGTTGGGGTGGCTGTGGGAATTTCTTTTTCTTTTTTTTTTTTTTTTTGAGTCAGAGTCTCACTCCGTCGCCCAGTCTGGAGTGCAATGGTGCCATCTCGGCTCACTGTAACCTCTACCTCCCAGGTTCAAGCAATTCCCCTCCCTCAGCCTACCAAGTAGCCAGGATTGCAGGTGCCTGCCACCACACCCGGCTAATTTTTGCATTTTTAGTAGATATGGGGTTTCATTTTGGCCAGGCTGGTCTCCAACTCCTGACCTCAGGTGATCTGCTCTCCTTGGCCTTCCAAAGTGCTGGGATTACAGGTGTGAGCCGCCATGCGCAGAGTTTCATAAGACAGCAATGAAGTATGCTGCATTGAATGACTCTTTCATGAAAGACTTCTCTGTAGCATAGGATATCATTTGATAGTACTTATCCACAGTAGAACTTCATTCAAAATTAGAGGCAATCCTTTCAAACCCTGCCATTGCTCTATCAATTACATTTAGGGACTATTCTAAATCCTCATTGTTATTTCAATAATGTTCACAGTATCTTCACCAGGAATAGATTCCATCTCAAGAAACCACTTTCTTTGTTCATCTATAAGAAACAACTCCTCATCTGTTGGTTATATTACAAGATTGCAGCAATTCAGTGACATCTTTAGGCTCCACTTTTAATCCTAGTTCTCTTGCTATTTCCATTACATCTGCAATTACTTTCTCCTCTGAAGTCTTGAACCCCTCAAAGTCATCCATGAAGGTTGGAAGAAACTTGTTCTAAACTCTTACTAATGTTGATACTTTGGCCTTCTTCCATGAATCACAAATGTTCCTAATAGTATCTAGAATGGTGGATCCTTTCCAGAAGATTTTTCAGATCCATCAGAGGAATCACTATCTATGACAGCTACAATCTTACAAAATGTATATATTAAGTTATAAGACCTGAAAGTCAAAATTGCTTCTTGATCCATGAGCTACAGAATTGGTGTTGTGTTAGGTTGCATGAAACAACATTAATGTCCTTGTATATGTTCATCAGAGCTCTTAGGTGACCACGTACATTGTCCACAAGCAGTAATATTTGAAAGAGAATCTTATATTTGGATTAGTACGTCTCAACAGTGGGCTTAAAGTATTCAGTAAACCATGCTATAAACAGGTGTTCTGTCATAAAGGCTTTGTTGCTTCATTTATAGAGACAAGTAGAGTAGATCTGGCATAATTCTTATTAGCCTTAGGATTTTCAAATGGTAAATAAGCATTGGTTTCAACTGACTAGCTGCACTAACCCCTAACAAGAGTGTCAGTCTGTCATTTGAAGCTTTGAAGCCAGACATTGACTTCTCCCCTCTAGCTATGAAAGGCTTAGATGAAATCTTCTTTCAATATAAAACTGTTCTGTCTACATTGAAAATCTGTTGTTTAGGGTAGTCACATTCATCAATTATTTTAGCTAAATTTTCTGAATAATTTTCTGAAGCTTTTTCATCAGCAGTTACTGTTTCACTTTCCACTTTTATGTTGTTAAGATGGCTCCTTTCCTTCCACCTTAAGAACCAACATTTGTCAGCTTCCAACTTTTCTTCTGCAGTTTTCTCTTACCTCTCTCAGCCTTCACAGAATTGAAGAGCATTAGAGCTTTGGTCTAGATTGCGTTTTGGCTGAAGATAATGTTGTGGCTGATTTGACTTTCTGGCCGAACCACTAAAACATTCCAAATCTCAGCAATAAGGCTGTTTCTCTTTCTTACTATTCCTGTGTTCACTGGAGTAGAAGTTTTGATTTCCTTCAAGAATTTTTTCTTTGCATTCACAACTTGGCTAACTGTTAAAAACAAGAGTTCTAGCTTTAGATCTAAGTTGGCTTTTGACATGTCTTCCTTGCTAGGCTTAAGTATTTCCAGCTTTTGATTTAAAGTAACACACATGAAACTCTTTCTTACACTTGAACACTTAGAGCCCATTATAAGGTTATTAACTGGCCTAATTTCACTATTGTTGTGTCTCACAAATTGGAGTCACTAAGAGAGGGAGAGAGACAGGGAAATTCTGCTCAGTGGAGTAGTCAGAGGACACACAATATGTATTGATTAAGTTGCTATCTCTTAAAGGTATGGTTTGTGGTTTCTCCCCATATTACAGTAGCAACATCAAAGATCACTGAATACAGATCACCATAACAGATATAATAATAGTGAAAAAGCTTGCAATATTGTGAGAATCACCAAAATGTGACATGGAGACATGGAGTGAGCACATGCTGTAAACAAAGTGGCTCTAGTAGACTTCCTCAATGCAGGCTTGCCACAAACCTTCAATTTGTGAAAAAGGCAGTATGTGAAGTGCAATATAGCAAAGGTATATGTAAGGTACACCAGTACATCACCATGATAGACCCAAACTTTATACCAGGCACTACCGAAAGAGTAAAATTAGCACAACAGTTAGCATAGACAACATGACAACTTTTGTATGGCCATAGTATAGTTTCAGATATTGTTCACATTCTCTGCAACAAAGGAAGTTAAGATACATTACAGAAAGGAGAATATGAAAGCAGTATTAGTAAAAGGGAATATCCCAACAATAGGAAAGCACCCCATTTGGATATTTACAAAAATTCTAAAAATTATCTTGTGAAAATGTGAAATCCATATTTTAAAGGTCTTTGAAACAGAGAAAAATAGACTAAAATTTTATTAATTAAAGTAAATGTTAACTCCAATAAATGAGGAGAATTAGAATGCATTAATGTGTTTTAAAATTATAAAACTAAAGTAATTTGGAAAAAAATGCGTATCGATAATACTCATTTAAGAAAACATGGTCACGATTTAGTCAAATCTCATCTTTTGTCCCTTGTTTTTGTTTTTAAAAGTTGTAATAATAATTGACATTTACTCAACATTTTCATATATTGAGTAAAACCATATACCAAACGAAAATTGCATCCTTTATATAAGTAGAGAAATTAGGCTTAAATAAATAACAAGTGAGAGGCCATGGTGCCAACCTAGTTTGTCATTTTTCTTTTGAAAATCCTAAGTTATTTGTTGTCAAAATTATCAATATTTTATATTTTGTTGCTCTTGCAAATAAAGCATTTCTAATTAAAGATCTTAGGGCTTCACATATCCTTCAGATAGCTGGTAAAATGCTGCTTTTTGCTAGAAGCCTTCTCCGCCCTTTCTATATAACAGCAACCTCTCTTCTCAGTTTCTTGTCATCTCCAGTACACCTTCTGGCTGCTTTTCTAATTTTATTTTTCCCAAGCACAACTTAGCACTTTACTGGAAGTCATCTGTTTTCTGCTTCACAAAGCAAGGACTTGTCTCCGTTGTGCCCAGCTCTAGCCTCAGGGCCTAGAAAAGTACTCAGCGTGTAATGTGCACCAAATACATATATATTGGATTAATATTTAAATGCGTATATACTTAGCTGTGAATAAATAGCATCAATATTTGTCTTTTAAATGTTAAAAATATAAAGTGTATAGCCTTCAAAAGTACACTGTACATAAACAATTTGAAGGTGATGAAGAGGACCCTGAAACAGGAATGGATTCCTAATTCCTAGCAGGGATTTAATGGCCATCACGGAGCAGCCAGATGTTATAAGATAAGGATATAAGATGTGAGAGGCATGGCAGGTAGGAATAGGGCTAACATATATTTTACTTAAAATTTTTGAATTAGCTATATTGAAAAAAGTTTAACACATGTTACCACAGCAAACACTCTAAAAACTCTACTAAGAATTTTGGCTTAGACCAAGGCCAACGTTGCTCTGGACATAAAATGGCCTTTTACACATGATGATGATCTTTTTAAAACCAAGTAAGTTAAGTACATTATTTAAAAGATTTTCATCCTGTTTTACCTGTTATTTCACTACTAAAGGATTTTTCTACTCTGAGTTTACTTTATCATTCTTTTTTCAGAATTTTATCTGTGCTTATTTTAAATAAACATGAAAATTACTACCATTTAAGATAAATGTCCTTTTATCTTTCAATTATTTTTCCAGAGCAGTGCTTTAAGTATTCATATAATTATGAGAGTTTCTAAAATTTTACATATTTTATAACAGTTCATTCTGTATGAGTTTTCTTTTAATTTTTATAAGAAATACCTTGAGAGCAGTGATACATAATATATTATGCAAAACCTGAAAAAAATAGTGATTTCCAACATCAAAGGTCATTTATTCTTCTGAGAGCCTAGTGACCTTTAAGTTAATTTCCTATTTTATGTATTTTTATAAATTACTTAGTATGTGGGTTATGTGTACAGAAAGCACACCACGTAACTTTAAATTGTTCTCAAATCATTTTGTAAGTCATCAGATAAGTAGCTACTTAAGTAATCTATATATTTGTAATAAATATTTGTGTAGAAATAATAGAATGAGGAAGTCCTTTTTCATAACTTTGAATAAAACACTATTTCTCCAGTTAAACTGGAGGGCAAATAAACCTTTTAAAAATATAACAGAAAGGTTTGATAAGAGCACAAAGTGTGTATTAAGTAAATGTTACAAAGGATAAATGGAAGTGAAGTACCTGGATTATCCTTACTGAGAATTCAACACCTATAAGTGAATTATAAGTGCAATCACAACTATCACAAACTTTGCTCCATCTCATTTTGGAATTGTAACAGCCTCAAGGGCATAATAACTTTCAAAAGACAGTCACTGAGTGCCAACTATATGCCAGCCCATATGCTAGGTATGGACTGCTATGTTTTTTTCTTACTAATTAGAATCACTTAACTGCTTGAAAATGTGCATTGGTGGTAAACCTATTATCAGCCCTTACTCTATCTTTAAAATTTTAAGTTAAATTTTTGATTTAATGTAGAATCATTTTATACACACACACACACACACACACACGCCACACACCAAAACTTATAACTATTTTTCTTGAAATATCAAAATACCACAAAAGCATTATGATTTTGTTTTCCTAAAATGTTTTAGTGTAAATGACAGTTAGATCTGTAGTCTGATTGCCTTAAAAAGTTGTTTCATCTCTCTGAACTTGAATTATTATTATTTTTTTTTGAGATGGAGTCTCGCTCTGTATCCCAGGCTGGAATGCAATAGCACGATCTCGGCTCACTGCCAGCTCCACTTCCCAGGTTCACGCCATCCTCCTGCCTCAGCCTCCTGAGTAGCTGGGACTACAGGCACCCACCACCATGCCCGGCTAATTTTTTGTATTTTTAGTAGAGACAGGATTTCACCATGTTAGTCAGGATGGTCTCGATCTCCTGACCCGGTGATCTAACCCTCTTGGCCTCCCAAAGTGCTGGGATTACAGGTGTAAGCCCGAACCCTGAACTTGTATTTTTTAATCTGTAAAATGACATGATAATATAATATGCTGATCAAAGTTTGTTTGCACTCAGATCAATTTCCTCAGCAGTTTTCTTTTATTTTTTCACTGTAACAGAAATCTGCATTTCCCATGCTTCCTTGTCATCTAGTCTTTGGGTAGATTCAGGCAAGGGAAGGCAAAAACCAAAGATTGAAGGGCAGGAAAAGGCAAGGAGAAGGGCCACTTCTGTTTTTGTTTGTTTGTTTTCTCTGCTTCTAATGACACCTACATCAGAGATCATATTTCTCCCTGGTCCCATTTCTCACCAGCAGTAATTCTACTGTGAAATGGCTCATTACTGGATCTCTGGAACTTTAGTTTCTCCCATTGACCTTACTATCATGAGGAAAGGATTAGTTCTCTGCTAGTGCTAATACTTTCATCACTATTCCTTGCTTTGTTTCTTAGTTATTTTCACCCTGATGTTACCTGCTCCACATAATAAAATCAGATTGTTTGTAAGTCCTAGACTAGTTTCTGCCTTGCTGGCTATATCCTCAATGAAGAGCAAATATTTACCTCATGGGAGAAATAGACGTAATGGATTTAGGAGTTTAGCAGTTTACAGGGCACAAATTAAATCTCAATAAATATTTACTCTGAGTAAAAAAGTACAAAATAGAAGTACAATTCTTTTTTATTGTCATTGATTTCAGAGCAAAATGAATCAACAGTTGACAAATTAAGGATTAACTTATGCAAGATTATTCAACAAATATTTATTATTCATTTGCTCTATGCCAGAAATGTGTCTTCATGCCAGGTTAAGAAAAAGAGAAAACAGAAAAAAAAAAAAATAGCTGTCCCTGACTAAAAGAGCTTATGTTCTTTCTTTTTGGGAGAGAAAGGCAGTGAAAAATTAAAAAATGAAACGCAGTATTAACATGCGGATAAGTTCTAGGGTGAAATTTGAATGCAGATCCAGAGTGACTGTCTGCCTCTCAAAAGAATTCTGCTGAGATGTCCAGAAGTAAGTAGAGTAGCAAGCAAATATCTACAGCGCATGTCTCTTTTAAAGACAGAAAAACAAAGTGGTTTCTAAGGTGGGTGAATCTTGGCATTTCCAAGAAATATCAGGAGGCTCTTAAGGATAGAATGACCAAAACAATGAGGGCTGTGATAAAATAAATTGGGGGAGGTATGGAGAAGGATCCCATATTGTTGCTTTCACAAACAATGACAAGGTTTGGGGTTTTACTTTGAGAAGGGGAACAATTAGAAAGCTATGAGCAAGACAGTGAAATTATTTGATTTATGTTTTATAATTATTCTGACTCCTGGCTGAAAAACAGCCTCTAGGAATGAAAGTGAGAGAAATAGGGTCATCACTTATGAAGCTATTCCAATGATCCAGTGCTTTGGCAGTTGCCTGGACATGTCTAGTAAGAGGTAAAAGTAATCTGATACATCTTAAAGGCAGGTGTTCATGGATTTGATATGGCAAATGAAAGAAAGAAGCCACTATGTGTTATATTCCTTGAGCCAAAATTGAGGTGTAAAATAAACATGCCCACATAAATGGTTGATTATGTTCTTAAATGAAGGAGAAAACAGTTGCAGTGATGTTAAGTCATCAACCATTTAAAATGTTGCTTTTGAAAGAGATGAATCAAGGAAGGGATGGACATGAATTTTCCTTACCTAAAAAGCTAGTGAAAATTAAGAGTGACATGAACAGGATTAAAACTTTATTTTATAGTGGTACTGAGATGAAACATCACACTATCTGACTTCATAGCTTAAAAATATAATCACCCCACCAACTTCTCACTCTTTTCAAGGATTTTGTGAGTAACCAGCTTTAATTTGGAAAACCTAGACTTCTACATACAGATTGTTATGTTTGTGAGTATGATTATTTCTATCATTTTGTTTTACATTGTGCTTTATCATTCAATAATTAATATCTATCATTTTCCATTAACTAATTTATTTTATGACCATTTATTATTATTATTACCCTATGGTAGTCAATAATTACTGATACATATTCCATTGTTTTTTGGGATTTGATATAGAATCAGAGAAGTTTGTTGCCAACTCCTTTTTAGTTGAATATATATTGTTTTTGTCTTATATTTAGTTTTTGTAAAACTTCAGATTTTCCATCTTGCCCCACTATTTATGGCTAAAAATCATATCCAAATATGACAAGGTTTAGGAACACACGCAGTTACTGAACACATGTTAAAGTATAATAACACAGAATACATTTTTGAAAGTAAGTTTATTAAAATTAGCAATATATTTCTAGTTATATGCATAAGGATATACCAACATGGATTTTGCCTGCCCAATATTAATTTTCTCTTAATTTCTTTCTTACAGAACTTCAATTTGGTCATGAGTCTAAGCCCCAAATTATGTTTGCTGTCATGTACTCATGACAGCTCTTTTTCTTGATTTTTCTAGCCTTTATCCATTTGGAAATGTGAACCACCTTTTATAGGTGAGATACAATATAGCTGAACCCTTCTCTAAAGGTTTCTGTAAAAAAGCATAAATGTACAAGCCTATCATCCTGATTCTATTTAGTTTGCCTTGAATATGAATGTGATAAATGAAGTAAGATCTCACATCTTGCAACATGAAGTGGGAGAAGGGTCAACATAGAAGAAATGTCAGAAGAAATGAACCAATAGAAAATTCCTCATTTGCTAAATTTTGTTAAAAGAAAAAATAGATTTTAATATTAATCTGTTCTACACAGGCAAATGTTAACTGCAATGAAAATGTCTTTTAGATAATTCAGAACACTTTCCATCCTTGGTAAAAGTATTCATTTTACTGACTCACTATTATATATTTTGTTAAGTTAGAAACTCATATTCAATCAAAGGAAATAAAAGTTCCCCCTAATTTCTAGGAATATAAAAAATAGGTACACATAGCTTAGATAATATTTTCTATGTTTGTCCAAGTAAATCAGTTTAGTAATTGTTTGAAATACTTCCAATTGATATGAGTCCAATTTTAGAAGGAATTTTAGTTGGAAATGTTATTCTCTTTATGAAGATGTAAATGGCTCTGTTTACTGGCCAATATTTACATACACATACAGTCAATGAATGTTAATTTGCACACAGTGGCATATGTAATTCAAAGTTCATTTTATTAGTTAATTTAGATATGGTTCAATGAGAGTTCAAACTGAGGGCATAGAGTCATATAACATACTCTAGAAGAACAACTTCTCATGAAAACTAAAATAAATTGCTTTACCATGTTTGCCTTTGTATTTCACTTTTTCTGTTCTGAAGAATGAGCATGGTAAAATTTACATATATCTAACGCATATAATGGGCAATGTATGAATTATTTTACAAATTACTCATAACCAGAAGAGTTCTGTTGGATTTTACCATATGGCCAGATTCATCTTGCCTTTCAAACTTATGTAAGTAATTTTTCTGAATCTCTTTTTTTCCCATAACATACATGCTGCTGAGTCCACTCCTCCAAACTAAGTAAAGATAGGAATGCTCATGGCCAAATCATAAGTATAGAAAGTGACTTTTGAACTGATGAAGACTTTCTTCTTGTCTATGCTTTAGTCAGGCTTCTAGGAGCACTCTTTTTGACTCTACTTTGTCCTTGGGCCCTGTCTTTACACTGCCTAGTCCAGCTGTTGCAAGAATGCTGCTAAGTCACTTTAGAGAGAATCTCCCACTCTTGATATCTGATCACTCTGGCTTGCCGTCAGCAAGAATCCTCTTACGTTAGCTAACAAGAAATCCCCTACCCTTGATGTCTCCTCTTAGTAATTTGTATTCATCGACAACCTTTCACTCTGCTCATTAGCTGCACTTCCCAGATATCTTTGCTGTGTTCAGAGTTGAACCTTATCTCTCTTCCTATTAGAATCATCTTGACACCTATCATTTTAATCTTAAATAAAGTGATCCTTAACCATTTTAACAAGTGTTGGAAATTTTTTTATTCAGCAGAACTAACAAATTGTTTGCAAACTATTGAAATAGAACTATTCTATTATGGCCTGCAGATATTTTTCTCAATTATAATTCACTTTCATACTGTAAAAGTATCTTTGCTTTGTGTATATCTTTTTCATACAAAAACTTTTAATTTGGCAGGGAACAGTGGCTCATGCCTGTAATCCCAGAACTTTCGGAGACCCAGACGAGCGGATCACCTAGGTCAGGAGTTGAGACCAGCCTGGCCAACATGGCAAAACCCCATCTCTACTAAAACTACAAAAATTATCCAGGCATGGTTGTGGGCACCTGTATTCTCAGGTACTTGGGAGACTGAGGCAGCAGAATCGCTTGAACCCAGGAAGCAGAGGTTGCAGTGAGCCAAGATCAGGCTGCTGCACTCTGGCCTGAGTGATAGAGTGAGTGAGACTCTGTCTCAAAAAACAAAAAACAAAAAAACCTTTCGATTTATTTTCCAGAGGTCTATTTTTAATTTAGTAACAAGATTTTAAAAAATATTTATAAAATTAAATAACAGTGGAATGTTAGAACTAGGCCCTATAAAATATAAAATTGTCAAAATTGGTTAGCATGATTGTAGCTTCAATCATGCTACAGATTGAATCAATCTGTAGTTAACTTCAATCAGAAGTTAATGTGGCAACTTCTGAAACCAAACATCATCATGCTTGGCATCAAGAGCTAAAGTAGTCATGAGTTAATGGAGAAGAACAACTAAGGAATTGGCTGCCAAAGTAAAGTTTATGCTAAATTTAAATGAAATGAAATAACAAAGTAGTTTGAAATGAACATTCCATTGATTATTTTTAAAATTTTATTTATTAACAAAGTAGCTTATACTAACTGCCCACTGTCTATCCCAATAGTTACAGCAATAACATATAGTTAACATTTGTAATTAAATATTTCATTTCATACAAATAGTATTTTAAAATTCAGGTGTTGATTTTTAAGCCTTTGAATGTTTGGCTGTTTAAAATTTAAGTGCATATAAAAATTGTAGAAAAGGGTCATTATTAATAAAATATTCAAAATATGGTAAATTATGCATGATGATTTACTATATGCAAATTGATAAGTGATGTGAATAGTACATTTGAATAGAGAAAATATGTACATAAATGAATGGTATTTCAGAATCTAAGCAAATTGATGACTATATTATGTACTTGTCCCCAGTGTAAAAGAAATATTAATTAGAAAACTTTTTTTTTCACTAAAGGGCTGAACATAAAGTGTGATGGCAAATTGGTGTGTTCTTGTATTTCTTGTCTTTAAGAATTCTTTTCAGTATATTTTCACTTAATGTCTTAGCAATATTTTTCATCATACTTTTACACTTATAGCTGGACTATGCTTAGTGATAGAAAATAGTTATATAATGGGATTATACTTGGCCATATGAATTTGATGGTATGAATTAATCTGTGTTTCATCTTACTTGTGTCTACTTGTAAGTCATTGATGCTAATGTTATTAGTAATTTTTATAGGGTAGAAATGTTTTCTATATGACATTTTTGAGAAAAGGAAGTCAATAAATCCCATTTGATATGCAACAGAAATAAAGATCTCTTATTTCAATTTTAAAATGCTTTATAACTTACATTGCTTTGTTTTATGCATTATTTGTTTTGATCAGATGCAAAATGAGTCAGTAATGTCATCTAACCACAAGTTTGATACATTTTTTAAAGAAAAATTTCCAAAATACTATAACTGAGCAATAGGTTAATACTTCATAAATTAAAATATTTAAATATTCAATCTTTCTGAGTGGATATTTGCTGCATATCTCATAACTTGGCCTAATTCTGTAATTGGGATGAGAACTACCCAATTTTATTGGTAACCTCTTTTCTGCTCTGCAACTTTGGAAATACTATGGAGGACTCCAAATTCATTTGAGACAAAAATATTAAAAATGTAACCCCCGATTAGGATTTCAGTTCCAAAGCTCTCCTTGGAGGGATATAGAGCTGGAGAAAATCACATTTATTTTTTGTCTCCTTAATATTGATATATAAAATCAGGTTAAAATTAGTATCAAAATGGGAAGCCTGCATTGTAAACCGGCTGGAATAATACACTCTGCAATATGAAGGAAAAAGGAAAAATTTAGTTGATTTATTTACCTAGCTATAATTTTTTAAAGAATTTTAAGTTTCTAATAAATTTAACTATAAATTTTTAATTTTCTATCTTTCATTTAGTACCATCTATATAAACTTTTCCAGGCTACTTCTCTGAATCACCTGGCAAAATCTTATAATTTACCACCTAATTGAATAAAACACACACACACAAAATAATCTATTTTGAATAATAAACATTATTTGTAATTATATTGTTGAGATTGAGAGTAATCATCAGGTGTGGAAAAACAAGGAAATTTTAACAATTTAAAATGTAATAATCTTTTTTGTATTATGTGTGCTTTATACTCAGAAGTGCATATGTTTTATAAAAGTATGTGAATTTATAAATGTGGTCAATATTAATATTAAATTGTATCTTTTAATAGTATCTTCAATTATCTTTTTTTTGCTGCTGGATTCCATTTAGAAAAAAAAATGTTCTATATAGCAGTGTTGCTTTCTTTTTCTTTTCTTTTTGCTTTTCTTTCTTTTTTCTACTGATAAAGTATTTACTTGATCTTGGGGAAGAGGTATATAATCAAGTGACCACATTTTTCTTTGTTACATATTATTCAAAATTTATAATCAATCTTTCCAAATTGTAATCGGTCTGAAACCCATTTGCTTTACTCAAATTATTTAGTGACTGTAAAAGTTTCAGAAACATATGAAAGTTACAAATTAGCTTTAAATGTGTCATGTTTAAAGCAGTTGTTTTAAAAGCTAAGTCATTATCCATTATTATGTAACTAGTATTCTAAATATCACATCTTTGCATTGTTTGACTTTTAAGGCATATGAAATGTTTTGGGTCAGAGAAATCATTTGCTTCACATGCCTAAGAGACAGACTCTATGGGTACTGAGTCATGCTAATAGTGGCAAAACCTGACAAACAATAAGCATCATTTTCAAATATTTTAAACATTTCACATAAAAATTTACTTTTAGCATACATTGCAGCCATCAAGGAAGCCTAAAGTAAGGAAAACCTCAGTGAAATATGATGAAGTTAATAAAAAGAAATAGCCATCATTTTATTTGTTTAAATTGCCACTACCTCTCATATAATTATGTACAATATATAACATAGGATAATTAAGTCAAACTGTGTACCTACAGATATGGAGAGCCTTTTGTTTTAGGAAAAAGTAAAATGTAAATTAACTGGTAAAGATGAGCTTTTCAATCTATAAGGCATAGACACTTTTCCTTAGTGGATTTGAAAAGGTTGTTATAAATCTGAAAATAAGATAGTTTTTCTATAATAAATGGTAAAAAACACTTTCACATCTTAACCTTATCATAGTATCACAATGCTGGAATGTTTATACTAGGAAATAAGTAAGCTAATTCAATTATAAATTTCAGTAGAGGAAAGGATGAAGGTTAAAAAACACTATCTATTCAAATCCTTAGTCATGAGGTTGAATTCATTGAATCAGAGTGTGAATATATATCTATATTTGAGACAGAATGTGTATGTATGTGTGTGAGTGTGATTGTGTGTGTACAGTCATTAGATATTTGCCTCATGGACAGTGGAGGAAAACATTTGCTGAGCTGCTTTCCTACCTTAAAGATTTAGAACTGCACTGTTTTCAAGATATACTTTTTATATCTCAAATAATTTAATATGTTATGTTTAGTTGTTGATATAACAAGATATCTGAATACCCCATAATTGAAATTATACCTGGAAATAAATACTTGAAATACTTGCTTCAGTGACATTTGTGGAAGTATACATATTTAAGTTCAAATTATAGGTATATTGAACAAAATGATATTGGATTCTTCACTGGGTGCATACTTCTGAAACTTGTAAATAATTTGAAATTAGTTTCCAAGAACAGAAAGACAAATATTAGATAGGAAATACCAAATTCTTAAGATTCATACATATAAAAGTGAAATAAAAATCAAACTTAATCTTATCATGAATTTTCAACTGTGGCTTAATTTTAGAACTTGTTATAAAAATAGAAATGCTATTAATTTAATTATATTTATTAAAATCTAAAAATAGGTGATTATAGCTAGGACATTGACAAGTGTAACTATATGTGAGTAAATATAACTGAGGATAGCAAAACATGAAATATATCATAAAAATTGAATTATTCTATAAATAGTATTATGTCTGGATTACTTAGAACTTGATTCCACTTAGAATGTCCCTGCTTTTATTTATTTATTTATTTTTGTAAACAAAATGAGCAAGAGGTTATTACACTTCATTCACTGCGAAAAGGTAACACTACATCAAAGATAACTCACATACTTGCAGAAATATGGAAGGTATTTCTTTCTTTTTTTTGTTAAGAAATAGGGTCTCACTATGTGGCCCAGGTTGTAGTGCAGTGACTATTCAAAGGGGTCATCCCACTACTGATAAGCAGAGGAGTTTTATTCTGCTCAATTTTTGAGTTGACCACTCCTTAGGAAACCTGGTGGTCCTCTGCTCCCTGGAAGCTAACATATTGATGCCAAACTTAGTGCAGACACTTCATCAGCATAGTGCATACAACCCAGAACTCCTGGGCTCAAGTGTTCCTCCCGCCTCAGCATCCTGAGTAGCTGGGACAACAGGTGTGTGTCACCTGGCTGAAAGGTATTTTTAAATACAAATGTTGTCCAGGAGTGACAGAAGCTGGAGAATTGCACTACTTGATGGAGGCTTTGTACAAGCTTTGAACAATAATAACAACAAAATTGAAACGCCAAAAGTGTTGTTTAATTAGCAGTTAACCACCAATAAAAGGAAGCCAGCCATTTCACACAGAGGATTTTGGTAATTGATTGTGTGATTCAAGGAAATAATATTATTAGGTGTGTATTAGTCCATTATTGCATTGCTATAAAGAAATACCTGAGATTGGGTAATTTATAAAGAAAAGAGGTCTAACTGACTCACAGTTCTGCATGCTGTACAGAAAGAATGTTGCATCTGCCGGGCATCTGGGGAGGCCTCATGAAATGTATAACCATGGTGGGAAAATGAAGAGGGAGCTGGTGCTTCATATAGCTGGGAGCAGGAAGAAAAGTGAGAGGTGGGGAGGTGCTACACCCTTTTAACAACCAGATTTCCTAATAACTCACTCACTCACTATCATAAGAATAGCACCAAGGAAATGGTATTAAACCATTAAAAAGAAACCACTCCACAATCCAATAACCTCCCATCAGGCCCCACCTCCAACACTGGGTATTACAATTTGACATGAGATTTGGTTGGGGACATAGATCCAAACCATATTATTTTGCCCTAGTCCCTCCCAAATTTTATGTCTTTCTCAGTTTGCAAAATATAATCATGCCTTCCCATCAGTCCCCCAAAGTCTTAACTCACTTCAGCATTAACTCAAACATCCAAAGTCTAAAGTCTTATCTGAGATGAGGCAAGCCCCTTCTGCCTAAGACCCTGTAAAATTAAAATAAAAAAAAACTCCCAAGATATAATGTATAATGGGGGTACAGGGATTGGGTAAATACTCCCATTTCAAAAGGGAGAAATTGGCCAAAAGTAAGGGGCTACGGGCCCCATGCAAGTCTGAAACCCAGTAGGAAAGTTATTAAGTCTTAAAGCTTAACAATCTCCTTTGATGCCATCCAGGGCATACCACTGCAAGGATTGAGCTCCCAAAGCCTTGTGCTGCTCCACTCCTGTGACTTTGCAGGGTTCAGCTCCTACAGCTGCTCTCAAGGGCTGGTGTTGAGTGCTTGCACCAGTTCCAGGCACACGGTACAAGTGCTGGTGGATCTACCATTCTGGGGTCTGGAAGATAGTGTCCGTCTTCTCATAGCTCCCCTAGATAGTTGTCCAGTAGGGACACTGTGTGGTGGCTCCAACCCCACCTTTCCCCTCTTCAGTGCCCTCATAGAGATTCTCCATCAGGGCTCTGACCCTGCAGCAGATTTCTGATTGTACATCTACGTTTGTTCATACATTCTCTGAAATCTAGTCTCAACTCTTGTACTCTGTGCACCCTCAGGCTTAATGCCACATGGAAGCCATCAAGACTTATGGCTTGAACCCTCTGGAGCAGCATCCTGAACTGTACCTGGGCCACTTGGAGCCATGGCTAGAGCTGCAACAGATGAGATGCATGTAGTAGTGTCCCATTCTTCCTTCGTTGTCCTCTGAGCCTGTGATGGGAGGAGCTGCCACAAAGGTCTCTGAAATGCCCTGGAGGGTATCCCTCATTTTCTTGGCTATCAGCATTTGCCTTCCTTTTAGTTAAGCAAGTTTCTGCAGCTTGCTTGAATTTCTTTCCTGAAAATGGGCTTTTTGTTCTACCACATGGCCAGGCTGCAAATTTTTCAAGTTTCTACACTCTGCTTCCCTTCTAAATATAAGTTTCAGTTTGAGGTCATTTCTTTGCTCACACACATCAAAATAGTTTGTTAGAAGTAGTGAGATTACCTCCTGAATGCTTTGCTGCTTAGAAATTTTTTCCACCAGATACCCACCAGAACTTGAGATACTCTCAAGTTCAAAATTCCACAGATCCCTAGGGCAGGCGCACAGTGCAGCCAACCTTTTTGCTAATGCCTAACTAAAGTGACCTTTGCTCCAGTTCCCATTAAGTTCCTTATCTCCATCTGAGACCTCCTCAGCCTGGACTTCATTGTGTGTCTCTATCAGTAGCTTGGTCACAACAATGTAACAAGACTCTAGTAAGTTCAAAACTTGCCCTCATCTTCCTGTCTTCTTCTGATATCTCCAAACCCTTCCAATCTCTGCCCACTATCCAGTTTCAAAGCCACTTTCACATTTTCCGGTATGTTTACAACAATATCATATTCCTCTACCAATTTTCTATATTAGTCCTTTCTTACATTGCTCTAAAGAAATACCTGAGACTGGGTAATTTATAAAGAAAAGCAGTTTAATTGGCTCATGGTTCTGCACGTTATACAGAAAGCATGATGCATCTGCTGGGCTTCTGCAGGGGCCTCAGTAAGCTAACAATCATGGCAGAAGGTGAAGGGGGAGCCAGCACTTCACATGGCTGGAAGCAGGAAGAAGAGTGAGAGGTGGGGAGGTGCTATACACTTTTAACAACCAGACTCACAATAACTCACTCACTGTCACAAGAACAGCTCCAAGGAGATGGTGCTAAACCATTTAAGAGAAACTGCCCGATGATCCAATTGCCTCCCAACAGGCCCCACCTCCAACAGTGGGACTTACAGTTTGACATGAGATTTGGGTGGGGACACAGATCCAAATGATATCAATGTGTTAAAAGGAAAAGGAGATAGCAGTGGGAAATGGATATTTAACTTCAGTTTATGAGTTTTTATTTTAGAGTTCTAAAATTATGTCTTATACTGCCTATACAAGTGCTAGAATAGTTTCTGTATTAAGTGGTAGATATTAATATCCAAATATCATACTTACCTTCTTTGACCTTGCAGTTTAGAGGGCATTTTAATAAAGTAAACAAACACATTGATTTTTTTTAAAGGAGACATTTTTCAGTAAAGGATGTAACTATGTTAACATGAGAGATATAGAAAAATTACAGATGGACAGACAATCCTACATAGAAACCTAAGGAAGCATTTAACTCAGACACAGAGATTGAGAAGAGTAAAGTGGGTGAAATCTGGGAAAGAGTGCTTCCAGTAGAAGAAACAGAATATTGAAGGAACAGAGATTGATGTCAAGAGTTCAGGGAAACAAACCAGAATAAGAATGTTTAGACAAAAGGCTGATGGTAGAAGGATATTGAGACTGAAAGTTATAGAGAGCACAGGCTTACTCGAAAATTAGCAGACAAAAGAACATCTGTAAGTTCAATCATGAAGGAGTGCCAGAATTAAAGAGAAAATAAGGAAATAATAAAGGGAATCTTTTGATGTGAGGAACCAATTGGGCTACCAACTCAGCCTGCCAGCCTGCCATTCCAGTGACAGTAGAAAATAAATGTTCTGTAAGTTATTTGGAAATTAGAGGACAAAGTAATTGTTTGTTCTATAGGTAGAGAAACATTTTTGTAAATGATAATACAGCTGTTCTACCGATTTCTCTTAATTTTCAAAATTTTTGAAGGGGTACACTATATTTTCATGATTTCTTCATTCTGATTTCCAACTCATATTTGTTCATCATTTTCTCTTTACTTTTTAAAAAGTTGAAAGACATTCATATCACAAAATTTTCACAGGATAATTTTTCTAGTTGCAACTGTAGATTTATGTGGATATATACAAATCTCTCTAGTGACACATCTAAAGATTAATGTTATGTTCTATTCCATAGGGAGCAAATATACCACATGAAACATTGCAACTATGAATCTAACTAGACTGTATGGGAAACATATATTGAAAAATAAATTAAAATTATAAGTTCTATGAGAAAACACAAACATTTGAGTAAAAAAATGAGAAAGTTTTAGTGGTGCCTTCTTCCCATGTCAGAAAAAAGGATTCATAATGAACAACTTTTTTTTCATGTATTTCCTACAATTGAGTAAAATAATAGGACTAGGTAAGTTTACTGGTTTGCATTTTTTCATCTGGGTCTGGTTTTTCATTTCAATTGTTAGCCATTGTATTAACTACTTTCACCATTCAAAGGAATGAATGATCTGCCATAGTATTTTCTGCAGTTCCATCTCTTGTTTTCAGTATCATTCCAATTCTGCATCTATCTAATTTTGATCTCTGTTCTATTTATTTTCCTGATTCATAACATTTTGCTTTGTGCTGAGCTCCTAATTGTCTCTCTGTCATTCTCAACATTTTAGCCCTATGGTCTAAAAGATGCCCAAAAGAATGTAGCATATTCTAGTATATCAGTGGGACAACATAAACAACTTGCTTAATTGTTAATCTATTTAAAAATGAAACAGTGTTTTTCATTTTTTCAATCAATTTAACGCTGACTAGATCCTATAACTACATTCTACTTTTTATAACTAAAGAACTCCAGAAAAATAAATGTAATAGCTTTGCTGGAAAAGATTAACTTTACAATGCCTTCCTAATGACCTTACTTTTTTTTTTTTTTTGAAAAGTGTTTTCTGGTATACAAAAATAATATTCTGAAATATCTCTCTGATATTTGATTGCCAGATTTAACCTACATACCTCTGAACCTTGGTTTTTCAGACATGCAAACTGCTTAACAAGTTCCAGTGCATTAATCAATGCACCATTGCATAACTTAGAGTAAGAAAAGTTGGTAGATATTTCAGCAATGCCATAAAATATGCTTCCATTTAACACTTTGAGACAACCAATACACTATTTATATTATTGAGACAAAACAAACCTAAGATCACAGAAAAATATTTATTTTACTAGAATGGTATTTAAGTAGATAGTTTTTTTGTTGTGTTTTTGTTTGTTTGTTTGTTTTTGAGATGGAGTCTCCCTCTGTCGCCCAGGTTGGAGTTCAGTGGCCCAGTCTTGGCTCACTGTAACCTCCCCTTCCCAAGTTCAAGCAGTTCTCCCTGCCTCAGCCTCCTGAGTAGCTGAAATTACAGGCATGCACCACCATGCCTGTTTAATTTTTGTGTTTTTAGTAAAGATGGGATGTCATTATGTTGGCCAGGCTCGTCTTGAACTCCTGACCTCAGGTGATCTGCCCACCTTGGCCTCCCAAAGTGTAAGTAGATAGTCTAAATGATTATGGGTTTCAATAGGTTTTATTAATTTGTTTTAGTTAACATACAAGAGCACTACAAAACCACATTATTTTATTTTAATTTTTATCAATAAACTTCATTATATTAAAGGCCATATTGCCCACTGAATATGATTTTGATAAGCACAACTTCTATAATTTACAACTTACTGTATATGGTCTAATATAAATTGCATTTAGCTATCCTGAATAAAAGATACGAATCCCCAAAAACTTAATATATAAAATAATTTCTACAATCAATTAAGCCACATGGGACCTGGTGTGCAAGGGCTGCAAACAGCAGCATCCTAGGTAGTGTACAGCAGCCTGTTCCTTGTGTACAACAGCCTTTGCCATTGGACATTTATGTCTTGGATCTAGTGCTTTCCCTAGTCTAGGTTTAAGACTGGATGTAGTATGCCTTTGGAAAGCCTCAGGACCCAGAGGTCAGAGTTCACGTTGGCCATGTTCATCCATACCAAGCTGCAAACCCTGGAGCATGTGATTGAGGCCTTATTTAGGGCCAAATTCAAGTTCAGTGAATGCCCAAAAAGCCACATCTCAAAGAAGTGCGATTTTACTAAGTTTAATGCATATACATTTTAAGACTTGGTGGCTGAGAAACAACTCATCCTGGATGGCTGTGGGGCCAAATATAGCCCTGGAATCATGGGCCCCTGGACAAGCAGCTAGCCCTGCATTAGAAAAGAGCTGCCCCCTCTTTACACATGCCCACCAGTGAATTTTATTTCCTGTACATCTAATAAATCTATCTATCTATCATCTATCTATCTATCTATCTATCTATCTATCTATCTATCTATCATCTATCTAAATAATTCAATAATATGAAGTAGATTAAAAAAACAAACACAACTTGATGTCTAACTACTGTGGATATATTTTGTCAGTTATTAACATTCCCCTTTCAGGTTAATATCAAGTCAACAAAAATTTGGAGTTCTCTTGACCCTTTCCCCAATGTGTAAATTAGTAATATAATGTCAATATTCAGATAGGCAAATAAACTAAGCTCCCTTTGATGAAAACGACATGCAGTAACGATTCCCTGCTGAGAGTCATCTTAGTTTGTGAAATCATAATCTGGAATGGGTATATCTGCAAAATACATTAAAAGAAAGAAAATATGAAAAACATAATCTACAATACTTTTATGTATATCTAATCATTTTATATTTCTTTTTTATTATACTACTTGAAATACATACATAAAGGATAAAGAGTTTCAACAAATCTCAAAAAGGAAACCTAATTATGTATAATAATCTGACTGATTTTGTTTGCTCACCAAATTGAAATTGAAAAGAAAAAATACAGCACTCTATAAAAAAACAAAATGATTTCAAAATATAATTATTGTCTCCCTTTGAAAATATAAATGTTTAAATAATGGTGAAATAGAGAACATAAACATTCACAAATATTACATATCCATTCAACATTTTCAGGTATTATTTTGTTTTGTTCAAACCTCCCCTTCTGTCATTTTTCTCTCCTTTCTTTATCTTTAGCATAACTGAGCTGCTTTCCAAACATCTATAGTTATACCGGACATAGCATTTTCCAACATCAAACATGGTTTTTCTTAAACACCAGCTCCAAATATTAATTCCCAGGGAAAATGACATTTTCCATATATGAGAAATATTGGAACCAATATAACAAAACTCATTAACATTTATAACATTTGAAAATAATTTCACAAAAGTTTTATTTAAAAAAATTATATTGTAAATTTATGTAAGAAATTCTCTATCCATTATATGACTTGTATAACATCCACAGTATACTAAGAAAATATTTTTAAAATATAGGATAAGGTGTCTAAATAATAAATTTTTAAGACTGCTTAGAGCCACTATTAAAAATCTGAGAATAAGGCATGAATATTTTTTGATCTATAGAGATTATATATCAGCATGCCGGCATTGGCTTTTATTATAGAATAAGCATTTTAATCTTCATTAACTTTCATCAATTCACTATAGAAAGCAGCTTAAAAAAAAAGACCATCACTTTTAGAAAACAGTTAATATTTCGATGGTTTACCTGGAAGTTTACTGGGCATAAATTTATAAAATACATTTATGGATGGAAATAAACTGTTTTACTAAACAATATTACAGAATTCTGAATGGATGCTGATTAAGCAGCAAATAAACAAAACTGTTTATTTACCAGTTTGGTGGCTGTTATGCTAATTAGATCATCTGTTTAAAATGTGTCCATATGGACAATTTTTCTGTAAATGTTTTCTTTATCTCCACATTGTGTGGTAGTATTTTCATAGGACCAACTAGAAATTAACTTAAAAATTAGTTATTTAAAGATGACAATAGAAGGTTTTGAACTTTGAGTTCCAAAAGGCAAGCAAATACTTCTGAAATAAAATATATTATATATATTTAATTTCTAATTTAATTTACATATAAAATATTTTTAAAATTCATATGAATTTGAGATATTTTCACATTGATTGGACTGTTTTTGTACCTCATTTTGCTTGGTCACACTAAAGTGAGATTCATCATCTTGTGGCACCAAAGGAAAACTAGTGTGATTATAAGGAAATTATTATAGTTAGACAACTGTGCATTAATTTCATCATTAAGGACCAAACATGTATACAGATATAAATACTTTTCTTAATACATTACTTGCAACATATGCACAATTATGTAACAATGATGGTGAACTAAGTCTCCTAGAAATTTCCAAAATAATTTTTTTGCCTTTTTTTAACCTCTAAATCCATATAAATCAAGGGAAAATATTCTTGCACATATGTATATTTAAACATGAACCTAGCCAAAAGTAAGAGAAATTTAAAAAAGTATAACATATCAAAATGTGGAAATTTCTGTGTTTAGGGAAAAATCTATCCCATTAAGAGCTTGCATTAGAAAAGAAAAATTACCTTGAAATTATGATGAAAGCTTCCCACTTGTTATTATAAAAATGAGAACAAATTAATTCTGAAGCAATCAGAAAGAAGAAAATAATAAAGGTTAATGAAGAAATAAACAACATTAAACAGAGAAAAATTATATAGCTAAGTAAATTAAACTAAATTTAGATCTTTGAAGGATCAATAAAATTGTTAAATCTCTGGCCAGACTAAGGAGAAAATAATAGGAAATAAATAATTGACAAATTTTAAGAATGATAGAAGTGGCTGGGGGTGGTGGCTCATGCCTGTAATGCCAGCACTTTGGGAGGCCGAGGCAGGCGGATCGTTTGAGGTCAGGAGTTCCAGACCAGCCTGGCCAACATAGTGAAACCCTGTCTCTACTAAAAATACAAAAATTAGCAGAGCGTGATGGCGCATGCTTGTATTCCCAGCTACTCGGGAGGCTGAGGCACAAGAATTGCTTGAAGCTGAGAGGTGGAATTTGCAGTGAGTAGAGATCAGGCCACTGCACTCAAGCCCGGGCGACAGAACGGGACTCTGTCTCAAAACAAATAAACAAAAAAAAAAGAATGATAGAAGTAACATTTCCATTGTCCTACAACAGTTTAAGGATAACTAAATGAATACCATGATGAAATTTATAAATGTAAATTAGTTAATTTAGATTAAGTGTATAAATCCCTCAAAAGATACAAACGACTAAGGCAAGCTCAAAAAGAAAGCAATAACATGAACATCCCTATATATATGTTTTAAATTTATTAATACCCACCTAGATAAATGAACTGACAAATTTTACTAATATTTAAGGAGATATAATTTATACTTTACACAAAAGTTTAAGAAATAAAAAAGAGGAAACACTTTTCAACATGTTTTATGAGTCTACCATTATCCCCATACCAAAACCATAAAAAAGACATTACAAGAAAATGTCCTGTAGACAAATATGTATTTAGATGATGAATTTAAATTTCAAAAACTTCAGCAAAATATTATCCAATTAAATCCTCTCATGTCTGTGTGTGTATGTGTGTGCATGCACGTGTGTTTGTAAAATATATCATTACTAATTGGCATTTATCTTGGGAGTTCAAGATGGTTTCCATATTCAATCTACCCATCAATGTGGACTATGGTCACTTGAAAAGACCAGCAAATCCTCTACAAAAAGGCCACTAGAAATTCATTAAAACAGCCTTCCATCACTCTTGAAATTGACCAAAGCATTCAACTACCTGAGAAATATTTATGTTTGGAAAGCTATTGAAATGCAATTAAAAATATCAGGAAACCTGTTTTTACCTTTTGTCCTAATCTTGCTAAATCCTTCTTAATTTTATGAGACACTGCTTCTCCTTCCACTGTTCTTTTACTTTCTCCTTCCCCTTTGTTTTTGCCTCCCCATTCCTCTCCCTTTTCTACATTCCTTCTCTCTCCTAAATGCTGTATAAATTTCTACATATATAATCATATTATTTACAAATAGGAACAGTTTTACTTATTTCTTTCCAGTCTGCATTTATTTTATTCTTCCTTTTTTTCCTTACGCACTGGATAGAACTCTAAGTATTATGTTGAAAAAGAGTGATAAAAGCAAACATCTTTGCTTTATTCCTGAGCATACATGTGGAAAACATTCAGTGTTTCACAGCTAAATATGATGGATTTTTTGTATGCTCTTTATCAAGATGAAGGAATTTTCTGCTATTTCTGGTTTGCTGAATTTTTATCAGAAGTAACTGTTGAATAGTGTCTTTTTCCCCTGCATTTATTGAAATGATCATGCATTTTCCTATTTTAGAATATTAATATGATGAATTATATTATTAGATTTTTTAAAATATTGCAACTGTCTTGCATTTCTGGAATAAACATGGCTTGGTCATGTGTCACTTTTTTACATAGTGTCATATTCAAGTTGTTGAGGATTTTGCATCTAGGGTATATTTGTAGATCTGCATCTAGGTTATGTTGGTCTAAAGTTTTGTTTGTTTGTTTGTTTTCCTTTTCTTTTTTTTATCATCTTTGTCTTCTGTTTAAGTGTCATGCTTGCTTCATAAAATGAATTGAGAAGCATTTCTTCCTCTTCTGTTTCTCGAAAATTTTAGAGAACTCTTGTTTTTTGTTGTTGTTTGTTTGTTGTTTTGTTTTTTCTTATTTTTATCCTCATACTGAGAACCAAACAGTCTGGAGTGTAAAACATGGTTCCTCATTCCAGTTAAATCTAGTACACAATGACAACAACCATCTTGGGTTAAGCATTGGCCTACAAACAGAAAAAAACCTTCAGGGAGATAGATGCTGATCTAGGCATTGTGAGAAAAGCTGAATTCATTTTTAATCATGAATGGCTTTTATGGAAAGAAGATTTATTAACTAAAATAAATAGATTAGAGGGAATTCTCATCTATGAGAGAGGAAGGGATGGGATTCAACCTGGAAAAAATGATGAAGTTTTAGTGAACTTGGTAAGGTAGACTCAACAATTAATGATGGATAATGCTAGGACCCAACACTGGTAATGAGCTTGTATTATGACTGAATAGCATCACTTTATCACTTTAACGCAGATGGAGGCCTAAATAACCATAGGGCAATGGTTCTTCTTAGATGCAGAAGGACACATTTATATAATCTTAGGGACCCCATCTCTGAGGTCACTCATAATTTATATTAATTCATTGTTATTGCCATTGCCCCAAGAATAGATAAGGCTAAGACATCCCGTAGTACAGGTAGCAGAGATATAAACTATTCTTATTCTTGTGTCTTGTCTATAGGAAGGGAGTGTATCCTGGTGTATGACAGCATATAGTAGAGACCACTGTCAATTAGGGCCTGTGAACTGAGACAGGGTGACTGGCTAAGTCCACAACCCATTAGAAACCCAGAAATAATCAAATCATGGTGAGTAGTAATAACACTTATTTATAATACTATACGGTATAAAGACAAGAACCAATTATGTTGAGTAGCTGTAACAAATAGCTCTATCATTCATAATAACTTTTTCTGTAATAAAACTGAATTGTAACATGATCATACTGCAATATGACATTACACTAGCATTGTTGGTAAGATTCAACTATCTTATGTAGAGAAGTTATATAATGCTTATATTGATAATCAAATGTATTAGATATTGAGTTAAAGCCTCTTCAGAATGTAATCTGGGTGAATAATAAATGGCCTGAGAAAACAGAATTTAGCTAACCATTATCTAATTTCAATGCTAAATAGTTCTGCACAGATTTATCAAAAAGTAAAAATAAAAGCAGATTGAGAGGAAGAATGAGTAATTTCATTTGTACAAAATATTAAAGTGTATGTAATGGCCTTGTAGGATGCATTAGTAATTTTTAAAAATCAATCTTTACCCTACACTGTGTCCATAAAATGCTAGGCATATTCATGTTAATATTACTGTTGTTACTGTCATATAAATGCCATATTCAATGTAGATGCTCAGAAAAATATGATTGTTTTGCTACAGGAGAGATTAGACCAGGGACAATAAATATGGATTAGGCAAGAATGTGTTAACTCAGCAGGCCAGGGTTTCTTCAACCCTGCACATTCAAAGGTAAGGTTTGTTTTTAGGACTAGCTAGCCTCTGAGTTCTGGAAATAGTCTTACCGTGAAGAGTGTTTTTGTATATCTGAGGCCTTGGGTTTATGGTGAACGACTGACTTTATATGCCTGAGGCCCTGAGCCATGCTGTATTTATTTGAACCATGTGGTATCAATTTAACCAGATAACGTTTATTCTAAGATATGATTTATGCTGAATGCCTGGTTTTGTTCTAGAGGGATCATGGAAAGGAAGCTGAATTTGCCGAGTTTTGCCACGTGGGCATTGCATGCCTATGTGATTAACCACCAATAAAAACCTGGGACATCAAATAATAAATAAGCTGCTCTAATTGCCAAGAATTCACATGTGGTTGTATGCAGCATTACTGGGAGATTGAAGTGTATCTGCATGTGATTCTACTGTGATGGACACTTGTAAGTTTGTGCCTGGAGTCTCCTGGACTTTGCCCTGAGAATCTTTTTCCTTTGTTGATATGACTCTGCATCCTTTTGTTTTAATAAACTGTAAACATGAGTATAATTGCTTCTCTGAGTTCTGAGAGTTTTTTAAATAAATAATCAAAGCTGAAGAGCAATGGAAACCCCCACCAAAACATCTTTAAACATTTCAATTTTGTATTGAAGTAAATTTTATTTTCTTTTTTATACCTCCCATATATATTCTATTTTTCCATTATTTATTTTATCCAAAATCTTTTATCTGTGATCATTTTCCTTTGAAATTTGTCTTTTGAGATTTCTTTAGAAGGTGCTTTTGGATGATAAATTTTCTGTTATTCTTTGTCTAAAATGTCATTATTTTGACTCATTTATAAAAGGAGTTTTTGTGTTTCATAAACCTCTAATGTATAGAAGTGTGTCTAAACTCATTGAGGATATTTTCCAAATTTTTTCCTACTTTTTATTGCTGTTGATAAGAAGTCAGTGTTGGTATTTTGACATTTAAGTTATGTGTCATTTTGTTGTGGTAGTTCTGAAGATCTTCCCTCTGTTTTATATTCTCCTTCACCTTTCATAAATGTACTTTATATTTATTTGGTAATAAATTTTGAACATATACTATGCTATAAAGATAATCTAGGCCCTTTGGTTACGTCTTGTAAATAAAATCAACAAAATCTGTTTTGAGATTATATTGTAATATAAGATACCCAAAGTAAATAGGATGTGTACCATATGTTTGAAGGTGGTAAATACGATGAGAAAAATAGATCAGGTCAGGAAGAATGAAGATGATTGAAGGTACGGTTATGATAAAAACTTAGGTGTGCCGAGGAATGAATTCATCTTATGTATCTTGAGTGTAATGTCTTATTTCTCCTGAATCTGAGAATTTGATGTCTTTCATTAGGGATGTCAGTAAATCTCACTAATGAATATATTAGACTCCAGTTTAATATATGATAGTCATTTTCATTCTGTCTTTCATATCACTGAATCCTTTCTCTTTATTGTTCATTTTTATACATCTCTTAATAGTCACAGTGAATTTAACTATGTTTTACGTTATGTGGTTATTCTCACTTTAGCTATCTCTAATATATCATGAATGTGTCAGTTGTGTGTTTACTATTGTTTGAATTAAACTTTTAAATCATTCGTTTTAATTCTTACTTAATTCAAACTTGTTTGTTATACATTCTTATAATTCCAGTATCTGGAGTTTTTCTTCATGTGATTCTTTTATCTCCCTGTTTTCCTCCTATATTCTTTTCATGCACCATCTTTCTCTGTGTGTTTTGTTTTGTTTTACTGTCAATTCCTAACTAATGGAAGTATATTTATGCAAATAATTTTAGGATAGAATTTAAATAGGGTTCCCAAAAGGATTATATAAATTTTTTTGTACCAAGGGCCCAGGGTTATAAACAGAATGAGATCACTTTAAATTTCTGTCTTGAGGATTTTCAAGTTACACAGGTCGTATTAGTGAGAACCCCAGAAAAGGGCATTCTTTTTTTTTTTATATTTCACTTTACGTCCTGGAATACATGTGCAGAACGTACAGGTTTGTTAAATAGGTATACATGTGCCGTGGTTGTTTGCTGCACCTATCAACCCGTCATCTAGGTTTTAAGCCCCACTTGCAGGTATTTGTCTTAATGCTCTCCCTCCCCTTGCCCTCCACCCCCAACAGTTCCCAGTGTGTAATGTTCCTCTCCCCATGTCCATGTGCAGAACCTGCAGTTTTGTTACATAGGTATACATGTGCCATGGTGGTTTGCTTCACCCTTCAACTCGTCACCTACATTAGGTATTTCTCCTAATGTTATCCTTCCCCTAGGCCCCCACCCCCTACAGCCCCTCCCTGATGATCCCCTCCCTGTGACCATGTGTTCTCATTGTTCAACTCCCACTTATGAAAACATGTGGTGTTTGGTTTTCTGTTCCTGTGTTAGTCTGCTGAGAGTGATGGCTTCCAGCTTCATCCATGTCCCTGCAAAGGACACAGACTCGTCCTTTTTTATGGCTGCATAGTATTCCATGGTGTATATGTGCCACATTTTCCTTATCCAGTCTATCATTGATGGACATTTGGGTTGGTTCCAAGTCTTTGCTATTGTAAATAGTGCTGCAATAAACATACGTGTGCCTGTGTCTTTAGAGTAGAATAATTTATAATCCTTTGAGTATATACCCAGTAATAAGATTGCTGGCTCAAATGGTATTTCTAGTTCTAGATCCTTGAGGAATCACCATACTGTCTTCCACAATGGTTGAACTAATTTACACTCCCACCAATAGTGTAAGAGTGTTCTCTTACTACACTTCCAATTTGGCTGGACTTTGAGCTTTGTCTCTGGTCCCCTGTTTTTTACAGTCCCAAGAAACATGGCCTCATCCTTATCAGGACCAGAGAATGCTCTCAAGGTAAAACCTTAATTTTCATAAAATTGTTGTCTTCTTGCCTGATCATTGTGACACTAAAGCAAGATTTTTTTAATGTTTCATCCAACTTTTAAGAATTATTTTAGTGGTAGGACTGAGCCAGGTTTCTAATCCACACTACTGCAGATAAAAAAATGACAAAAGGTAACTTTCAAAAATAGAGGCCGGGCGTGGTGGCTCACGCCTGTAATCCCAGCACTTTGGGAGGCCAAGGGGGTTAGATCACCGGGTCAGGAAATTGAGACTCTCCTGGCTAACACGGTGAAACCCCGCCTCTACTAAAAATACAAAAAAAATTAGCCGGACGTGGTGTCGGGTGCCTGTAGTCCCAGCTACTTGGGAGGCTGAGGCAGGAGAATGGTGTGAACCCACAAGGTGGAGCTTGCAGTGAGCCGAGATCGCGCCACAGGACTCCAGCCTGGGCGACAGAGAGAGACTCCATCTCAAAAAAAAAAAAAAAATAGAAATTCGTCTTTTTCCATGAAAGATTTATTATACATTCTAAATAAAATGGAGATAGAAAGTTAGCATTTGAACTTTAAAGTTGTTAGCATAAGGAGCAATGAAAACTAAATTTCCCCTGGGAGTTACTCATTTTTCTGGGTTACAAATGAATGCCATATTATTTTTTGATGTTTAATGTAAAATATTATTGACTGTAATAATCCAATATGATCTAGGATATTCAGTCTTACACAACATAGGGATACAGTATAGGTTGATGTACATCTGAAATTATAACACACTTTGTTCAAACACAATGCATATTACATTTTCCTGTAGCTCAAATCTGTGTTATCTGTATTATTAAGAGATATAAAGAGAGGATTCAAAATAATAGCTGAAGAATTCTCACTAATTTTATGAATCTAGTAGATCAAAATGTTACTCTAACATTAATAATTTCATAATACAGACTGTGAGGCTTATATAAATCTGTTTCAAAAAATGTATAGCATTCTTTAGCTTTCATGTTGTAAGACATTCAGAATATAATCCAAAATAAAGTTGTAATAAATTATCGCATTTTAATGAGTATTTTAACATAAAATGTGAGCTTGGGATTATTATAAATCTAAAGACACATAAACTCAGTTTCTAAAAGATATGATTGAGGGGAAATCATGATTTATTATATCTTCATTTTATCAAGAAAAGACACAGTTATTATTTATAATAAAAATGATTACAATGCACACATACTCTTTTGTGAGTTGCCACAGAATTTTCTATTACCGAAACCTGTCAAGTTCAACCCATGTCTAGAATATGTGTAAATAAAGGTTGATCTGTGATATTAGATATTATCAAATAAAAAATATTCTTATTGAAAAAAATGTGATTCCTTATGACAACTTCAGGGCATCTTCTATTTGCCCCCTGTTATCAACAGGGGAAATTTTCTTTCCTACATTTCTCACTAATCATTTCTGACAAGTAGTTGGCAAGCTTAACTATAAAGGGTTGTCCATAGGGTTCTAGGTCAATCTTACCCTTTGGAAAGAAAGTATACATGATGTCTATGAATAAATGCCCTCCAACAAAGGAAAAGGACAATGCTTTACATAGTGTGTGCATAATCATTTTTCAACATAATTAGCTTACCTATTTGTGACATGATTTTACTGTCATTGCAGGTGTTTGACATGACCCACTTTTTTCTTTGTGCCAAGAAATACAATGGATTTGTATTACATTAATACTTTAGATCATCTATAATATGAGTCAGGTTTGGTTAAAAAATATATAAAAATAAAAATCTCAGTTCTATTCGAAATACTAATGAAAGTATCTTACCAAAGTAAGACATTAGCAATGCATTTTCTGTTACTTGATATTTTGTGTGTTTGCTCATTTCAACAAGGGAAAGGGAATTAGAAAATTGGAAGAAAAATATTTAAGTAAGTCTTGTAAAATTAATATACATATTAAATATCATGAAGTGTAGAAACAGAGTTAACATTTAAAATGTTTATAACTAATATGTAAATTTAATTGAAAGCCAACTGATTGCTCTGAATTTTTATGAGGAATAATCGCAATTGTACAGAAAATAACTGACACCAAAAGTATCTACATTTTCACATTTAAATGCAAGTGACTTTTTGTTCATTCATTCAAAAATTATGGATTATTATACTTTAGCTTAAATGTTTGTCTCCCCTCTAAAAGCCATTTTGAAACTTAATCCTCAATGCAATAGTATTAAGAAGTCAGGCCTTTAGGAGTAATTAGGCCATGAGGACTCTGTACTCATAGATGGGATTAGTGCATTACAAAAGGGCTGAAGGGAACTAGCTAATGTAAGGACACAACATTCAAGTTACCATTTTAGAAGCAGAAACTGGGACCTCACTTGGTGCCAAAACTGCCAGAACCATGGTTTTGAACTTTTCAGCCTCCTGGACTGTGAGAAACAAGTTTCTGTTCTTATCAGTCTCAGCTATTTTGTTACAGAAGCACAAGCGAACTGAGACCTGAGATGGGAATGTTTATGTGCTAGGTATGGAGCTAATTTCTGAATAAATAAAGATGAATACATTCTATGACCTCATCATCTAGTGCCTGTTACAGTGACACAGTGGATATTTTTTCTTGCCTTCTTATTACTCATTTTTGCTCTCCTCACTAAATATTGAGGAAAACATGAATGCATCATCAGTTTTTCCACTGATACAACTGTTTAAGAAGTACATATGACATTATATTTTTTCTTTCTGTATTCTGTAGACTTACCTGTAAAGTCTAAGGCTAACATTGACTTTATGCTAATTAGTACTGTGTTCATTTCAGATGTGTAATATGCCTTGTACAAATATAAATAGATAAAACATTAAAGGTGCTACTACTCAAAACACACAGGGAATAAAATATTCTATTTGAAACATCAACATAGAGTTTACAATGATGGAAATTTTTATTCATTAGTTTAAATGGGGCAAAATACAATAAATATTATTTGGTTAAAATAGAGAAAGTTAAGTGGAAAGATGAAATGATGAAGAGCCCAGAGAAAACTGTTCAGTTTGAATACAAATTGGGAAATTAACACCTAACCTGCCTAGGTAGAATTTCATAGCATTAACTAAAATAATTACTTAAACTTACAAGATTTATTAGAAAAATATGAATAGAAAAATAAAATGCATTGTTGCATTTTATGTAATTTTACTTGAACTTAGTTGATAACATGTACATAGATTAAGTTGATTTAAATATTTTATGTACAAAAAACTATATTGTTGAAGATTCTAAGAGCTTAAAACTAAAATACAAGATAAACATTTACTTTACAAAAAGAGTAAATAAGATGAAGAATTTGAAAGAATTTAAGAATTAATTTCAGTTTCTTTTCCAAAATGTATGTGGTTAGCTTACAATGCTTTTACAATCTGTTATTTTATGAGTATGAATATTGATTTTATTATTACCTAAACATGTATTATTTTTAAAATATGGCAAAAGAATTAAAGTTCTATAGTTTGACAAAGCTGTAAAGCGGATCAATCCTTTGACAGCTTAATGAATAAAGCATGCATGTAGTTGACACTAATTCATTTAATAAACATTTGTAGAACATATATGTGTAAGAAACTGTGCAAAGGAGATGAATGGCACATTAAAACAAGAAGACAAGTTTCCAGATACTAAGGAGTTTATGTAACTGTAAGGTACATAAAACAATACAAATGAAAAGGCTAAAATAAATCAGAAAATGAAGGGAAGAAAACAAATATCCATATTAAGTATACATAATATCTCAAATATTCTTTAAGATGTCTTAAATAGATTTTAATATTTAATCCTAGTGACAGGATAATCTGATTTATTACAGATGATATAATTGAGGCTAATACAAATCTGTTGACTTTAAATTTTCAAAGTCTTCCTGAATTATTTGACTGTATAATATTTTGGTAAACATAAATAAGTGGATACTAATGCATTGAAACAGAAACAGAATACTGTTCAAGAAATAGAAAAAAATGAAACAATAGAAAAGATCGAATTTGTAGTATGACTACAATTTAAGATTTAATAAAGACAAAAATAGAAACCAATATGTAGTTAGGAGGATAGAAAAAAGTACAGTGGACCCTCCATATCCATAGGTTCTGCATGTGTGGATTCAACCACCCATGGATCAAAAATATTTGGAAAAACATTTATGAAAAAGTGAACACATATGGAATTCTGCCTTGTCATTATCCCCTAAAGAACACACTATAACTACCTACATAGCATTTACATTGTACTTGGTATCATAAGAAATCTAGAGATGATTTAAAGTATGTGACAGTGTGGATGTAGGTGTATAAAATACTATTATACATCATTTTATGGAAGGGTCTTGAGCATCTGTAGATTGTTTTGTCTGAGGGTTCCTAGAACCAGTACCCCACAAATACAGAGGAACAACTGTAATGAGTTCCTAGTAAACTAGGCTGAAGTATTATAACTGTACACAAAATAATTTAAGGCAGAATGATTAAATAATATATAGCAGTATGTATAAGAAGTGAAGATAATTGAAAATTAAATTGATAGGAAAGACATGACAAATATAATGAAATCAATGGAAAAGTTAAAACTTTAGCAAGATGTACAAGCAAGGATTGGGTAGATTTCATCCGAAAGACATAATTTCTAATGACAAAGTACTTTAATAGTCTAGCCTAATATTTTATTGTATCTTAAAACTTCCCTCTGGCTCATTCTGGTCTGATCACACCAGCTTTCTTATGGCTTCTTTTATCTGCCAAGAATTATGCTCTGGTCTAATTGACCTCCCCAAATTTGTATATTAAAATTCTCACCACCAAGGTGATAATATTAAAAAATGGGCAATTTGGTAGGTGACTGGATCATGGGAGTGGAGCCCTTATGAAAGGTGCCAGAGAGACCCCTCCCTCTTCCACCATGTGAGGTTAGACTGAGAAATACATCTCTGTGGTTTATAAGCTGCTCAGTCTATGGCATTTTGTTATAGCAGCCCATGCTAATGAATACAGATGACCGTGAGTCTGCAGACCTTCCTAGGAAATTATTGAGTCCTTCATTGAATACTAAACTGTGAATACATGAGAGAAAATAACTGAAGCCTGGGGTAAAATGCCAACACAAAGTGTTTGAAGAACAATTCTCAAAGCTCAGAAAGCTCTGCAAATATTATTGTTGCCACAAACCAAAGTAGAAGACAGGGTAATATATGAGCTATTAGGTAGAATCTTTGGAAGAATCCTGCTTTTGTGATGGAACTCACTCATTCCTAAACCTAAAGCAACTCTACATCTTCTCTAAGAAAATTTTATAGCAATCTCTAAAAGCATCAAACTGATTCCAAATAATTTAACTGTGTTTGAGAACAAAATACAAATATACAAAAGGAATTCAACAAAATCCGTCACATAACAATATAGAATTCACAATATCTGGTTTTGATGAACATAATAATTAGTGTTGAAACATGTTAATTCAGGTGTTAAAAATATGCTTTATTTTTTCAAATAAGATGGGAAAATATGTATATTGTGAGAAAATAAAAATGGAAGAAATAAAAACAAGCAGACTCCTAAAACAGAAAAAATAAGTATATTAGATTAAAAATGTATGAATAAATTTAACAGCACTTTAACCATTGTAGAAAAAATACCAGTGATTTTGATAATATAACAATATAAACTATCCAAAACAGAAAACATAGACACATTTGAAAAAACAACCACACTGTGTTGGACAATATCAAGCAGCATAATACAAGAAGAGATGGAGTCCCAGAAGAACACTGAGTGGATGTATGTGTGTGAGTATGTGGTAGGGAAGAACAAAACCAAAAATTCAAAGAAATGATTGCCAAAATGTTATTAGAATCACAAATAAAGACAAAATGGCAAGGTAAACTATTGTCTAATTTCTGAAAATCAGTGATAAAGTGAAAAATCTTAAAAGGCATCAGAGATGAAAAAATAATCCACATCAAAAGAAATACACACACACACACACACACACACAAATATGGGTAACTTTCTTCAGAAACTATGAAAGCTTGGAGACAATGGAGCAATCATAAATAACTAAATAAGAAAAAACAGCTTTATCTACATTTTTATAACAAGTAGAAAATTTTAAGCACTAAAGTAAAATAGGGTTCGTTTATTTTTAGAAAATTAAAAATAGGTTTGGAACTAGGGTAAAGTAAATGACACAACTAGGTCCGAAAACCTAAAGAGCTACTCACTTTCAGAGTTATATATTTGAGATCGAGAGTGCAAAACTTGTGTCTTGTGTGACCCGAGAGAGTGCCTCATTAAGTTTTTCACCAGAGGTAATTTGCTCATCTCAACGTTGTCTCAGCACTGAACAAAATCTAAAGAATTTCATTGTCAGCCATCCTCCATTGTCATTTATAAGAAAGATTCCTAAGGCAGAAGTAAAATTTTATGAGATGTATATGTGTGTCTGCAGAAAAAAACTGGCAATGTATTATACTGCATATCAAGTGATATACTATTATTTGAAAGTAGGCTGTGAAGAGTTAAGTATTTATATTTTAAAACTTAAAGTAGAAGTTTTATATTTTAAACCTTAAAACAGAAGTATTTATATTTTAAACCTTAAAGCAGAACCTATAAAAGAAGTACATTAGTAAACCAATAGTAGAAATAACATAAAATAATGAAGTACATATTTAACTAATCTACAAAATGTAAAAAAAGGATAAATAATTGAACAAGGAGCATATAAGATAAATAGAAAACATAGCAAGAAGGTATATTTAAACCTAAGCTTATTCATAATCACATTACATTACATGTAAATCATTCATATACATCAATGAAAAATCAGAAATCCAATTCTGTCTACCAAAATTCTACTGTAAATATAAATACATAGATATCTGTGTGTGTAGTGCAAACAAAAATTTATAGAAAACTAGAGTTACTATATTAATGTCAAACTAAATATATTTCAGAACGAAATATATTACCAGTGATAGAAAATATACTCACTGATTATAAAGGGGTCAATTTATTAAGGTAACTAAACAATATTAACACAAAGAAACTATACATGTTAAGGTGATGAATATCAGAATCCTGATTTGATAATTGTACATCGTATGCTTGTATGCATATGTACCCCACACATATGTGCAACTATTATGTATCCATAATAATTAAAAATTTTTTAGAAATAAAGAATTAGATAAATGTAATAGTGCCATGTGTTTATGTTAGAAAAGAAAAAAGAATCTAATCAGTTCCTAAAGCAAATTAAACCCAAACAAAACAGAATGCTATTGTCTGAATGTTTGTGTCTCCTCGAATTTCCTATGTAGAAATCCTAACTCCCAAACTTATGGTATTAGGAGATGGGGTCTTTTGGGAGGTGCTTAGATCATGAAAGTAGAGATCTGGGGCTCTTTTATAAGGGTACTAAATTAGTACTACATTAAGGATAGTAAATGAGTAGTTTTCTTACAAAAGAGACCCCAGAGAGCTACCTTGCTCTTTCCATTATGTGAAGATGCAGAGAGAAGGAACCATCTATGAACCAGGAAATGGGCCCTCACCAGACATCAAATTTTTGAGTGCCTTGATTTCGGACCTCTCAGCCTCCAGAACTATGAGAAGTAAATTTATAAGTTATAAGTTTATATTATTATAAATTATAAAATTATGTTGTTTATAAGCCACAACAAAAAGGTATTTTTCTATTGCAGTCGAAATGTACTAAGGTAAAAAGAAATAATAAAATACATATAAGAACAAAAATCAATAAAAATTGAAAGAACACCAAAATGGAATATCAATAAAATAAAAAGCTAATTTATTAAAAAATGAAAAAATTCTAGCTATACTCAACAAAAAAGAGAAAAAATACTAAATACTAAAGCCAGTAATGAAAGACTGTCACTAATTATACTATAGTTATAAAATGATAGTAAGCACACAATGTTTAAACTTTATGCAAATACATTTTAAAAGTTTGGTAAACGGACACATTACTTGAGAGAAAAGAGGTTACAAAATTCACTTAAAAATAAAGAGACACCATGAATAATCCTGCATCTATTAAATACATTAAATCTATAATTTGAAACTCACACGCAAAATAATTCCAGGTCAGGAAGGTTTCACTCTTGTATTCTCACAATGTTTAAAGAATAAATAGTAACAATTCTATGCAAAGTCTTTCAGAAATAAAAGAAGCAGCAACCCTAACAGTACATTATATGAGGTACAGATTACCCATAAAGGAAAAAAATAGGTAGAGATTAACAGAAAACTACAGACCTACATTTTGATTTGAAAAATTTGTATAGGATTATTTTATTAAAAGTAGAAAAGCATTTGATGACATTTTACACATATTCATAATAAAGACTTACAGAAAAGTAGGCAAGAGAAACAAATTATTTCAAAAGTAATAAACATATATAAAAATAGTTAATATAGTGAAATACCAAATGGTTCCTCCTACTATAAGAAAGAATGTAAAAATATCCACTATGAACCATTCTGTTCGATACTTAGAAAACTGCAATACAGTGCTGAGAGACATTAAGGCAGACCTAAATAAATGGAGAGATAAACCAAGTTCAATAATTTGAATGCTTTGTAGTGTTAAGAAGGTAGTTCTACTAAATTGATTTCTAGATTAATTGCAATATCAGTCCAGATCTCAGTAGGCTTTTTATATAAATAACAAATATTTTTTCAAAATTTCTATGTAATGTTATAAAATATTATAAATTAATATTGAAAATATTTTACATGAAAGTTCAAATTTCTGGAGCCTTTTAAGATAAGAGGACGGCAGTGTTTCTATGGTATAAATACTAAGTATATAAAAACTGAAGACTTCTATTAATATCAGACAAAATGGGCCACAAATCAAGAAATATTTTTAGCAGGATAAAGATCAATATAATTGGTCCAATTCATCAAGAGAACCTGATAATGCAAAATGTTTTTTCACACATTAACAAACAATTCTGCATTTAAAATACTCAAGCCAAAAACTTACGGAATTGAGAAGAAAAATATACAAATCCACAATATATTTAAAGATTTGAAAACTATTTTCTGATATTATTAAACAAGTAAATAAAAAATTTTAAAGAAAATATCTACAAATTTAATGACATTATAACCTAACAAGTTCTAGGATGCATGGAATATTATACTCATCACCAGCAAAAACTTATTTTATTTTCCACATGCACTAACATTCATCACATGTTAGGCAACAAATAATAAAGTTTCAACAAATTTAACAGGATTAGATCTTGGAGAGTATGTTCTCTGATCCAATAGAATTAAATTTAAAATAAAAAACAAAACCAAAACTACAATGAAATCCCCAAATATTTAGATATAATAAACTTCTAATGATGCCTTGAAGCAAATAGTAAATCAAAAGATAAATTAGAAAGTATTTTGGTCTGGATAAAAATAAAAACACTACAACTTCAGGAATCCTTTGGAGAAATACGAAGTTTTTAATGTTTGTATTAGAAAAAGGAGAAATGTCTAAAATTAATGACACAAATGTCTACCTGAAAAAGTGAAAAGAAAACCAAATTAAACAAGAAGTAGAAAGTAAAATATAGAGAAAAACTAAAATTTCATAAAGACATAACAGAAATTCAAAAGGAAAAGATGAAATTTAAAACTGATTCTTTGATAAAAGGAATAAACTGAATTAAATTCTCGATAGTCTGAGAAAGATACAAGACAGAAATCTGTCAGCAACCACTTTCAGGAAATAAAGTGGGCAAGGTTGGGAAGATGGTGGGTGTTGTAAAGATACTACAAATATCAAAATGATAATAACTTAAATTATAAAAACTTTATGCCAATAAATTTGATAATGGTTGAATAAATTGTATGGTTAGCAAAATAATCTTTACAATTACTCTAGAATAAATAAAATTTCTTCATATCTTTAGATTTGTTAAAGATACTGAATTTTAATTTAATACCTTCTTAGGGGAAACAAATTCCAGACTCAGATGCCTTCACTGTTACATTTCATTCTTTTTAAATAGGTAAATGTTACAGTGATTATTACTCAAGTGTATATTCTGAGAATTTTTACAATAATTTGTTACATAGATTAATTTTTTTTCTTCAAAATACAACTAATTTACTGATTATACTTTTTAGGTCTTCTATTAACATTATTAGGAAAATTTAGAAAATTTATTCATTTATATACAAAATTAATAGACACATTAAATACTCTGTGCCACCCAATGCCCAATTCACTGAGAACATTTTACTGAATAAACAAAAAATTTTGACCCTTGATTACCTTATTGTTGGAGGTAACAAACCATAGAAGATAGACAATGTAAAAATAAATAAGTGGTTTTGACAATGGACAATAAGCAAAAATACCTGTTCACTTGTTGTATTGGTACATTCTCACACTGCTATAAAGAGCTGCTAGATGCTGGTTAATATATAAAGGAAAGAGGCTTAATTGACTCAGAATTCTGCAGGTCTGGGGAGGCCTCAGAAAACTTACAATCATGCCAGAAGGGGAAGCAAACCATGTCCTTCTGCACATTGTGGCAGGAAGGAAAAGTGCAGAGTGAAGGGGGTAAAAGCTTTTTATAAAACCACCAAATCTCATGAGAACTCACTCACTATCATGAGAACAACATGGGAGAACCACCCCATGATCTAATCACCTCCCGGAGATCCCTCCCCCAACACATGGGGATTATAAATCTGATTATAATTCAAGATGAGATTTTGTGTGGGAATGGAGCTAAATCATATCACTAGAATAGATAATATATATAATACATAAGTAAATTTTATAGTATACTAGCAGATGGTTAATTCTACTAACAAATACAGAAAGGTAAAGGATGAAAGGGATCTCTTGCTTAAGAAAGGGATACACATTTATATGTGTTGATTTTAAGGAATCAACAAGGAATGATTAGCAAGACTTGAAGAGAAAGGAGAAGCCATGTGAGTCTCTGGGGTGGAATGTTACAGGCAAAGATAAAAGCCAGGAAAAAGCAGACACTTCCTATATTCCTGTATTCATCCATTTTTATGCTACTGATAAAGACATACCCCAGCCTGGGAAATTTACAAAAGAAAGAGGTTTAATGGACTTATGTTTCCACATGGCTGGGGAAACCTCACAATCATGGCAGATGGCCAGGAAGAGCAAGTCACATCTTACATGGATGGTGGCAGGCAAAGAGAGAGCTTGTTCAGAAAAACTCCCTCTTCTTTAACCATAAGATCTTGTGGAACTTATTCACTATCATGAGGATGGGATGGCCTGCCACCATGATTCAATTATCTCCCACCTGGTCCCTCCCACAACACATGGGAATTCAAGATGAGATGTAGGTGGGGATAAAGCCATACCATATCACCATCTCTGTGCAAATGCTCTCTCTCTTCTATTTAGCTCTGCAATTCTAGCTAAATTTTCCTTTCTAAGCCCCAATCTTCAATTTCTCAATATACAGGGAGAGTTATCCTTTCTTTGGATTATCCTTTCACTGTGTCTTCTGGAAACTGAGAGAAAGCTTGGGATAAGTCAGATTTTATTTTTTCTTTTGTCAGGGATCAGCATCCTCAGCTTCTTGTCAATGGTTAAAAAATCACTGTTGATTATATTTTTCTGCAGTTAGTTTTTATTTGTGTATGTGTTTTTGTTTTTTGTTTGTTTGTTTTGTAAAGAATTTAGTTTAGTTCCTCTTATTGTATCATGGCGAAGTACAGCTATCTTCAACCTATTTTTTCTGACCAATCTTTGTCTTTATATTGATTTAACATTACTTTTTAAATTTAGTCTTAAAATTCTTACTTTAAATAGTAGTTTTAGACTACTTATATTTAATATTGTTATCTATATTTTGGCCTTAAATCTACTATCATAAAATTTATTTTCCATAAAATTTAATCTGTTCTTTATTACTATTTTCCACTTTTGATGCTTTATCTTGGATTAAGTGTTTAATTTTGAATTTTATTTTATTTCAACTAATAAGATTATTAGTCATATGTTTTTGCTTATTTTGTCCTGTTAGGTGCTCTAAGGTTTATACTATGTACCTTAACTTTCCAATAACATTAAGGTGACTGAATATTTTTGCCCTGATACCTAGAAAAAGACAAGCATGCTTGCTCTGATACATTCTTTTGAAGCTTATACTACATGTCTTAGCAATGCATTGAGAGAGGTAAGAATACATACAATTTAGAAAGAAAGATGTCTTTCTTCACAGATATTGTATTCTGTGCAGAAAATAAAGAAGATATTTGCAAAAAAGTTAGTAAAATTGTGTGTTTATGTAGATCACAGGATATAATAATAATATACAGAAATCCAGTATATTTTGATAGATTTGCAATGACCATTCATAATCTGAGAAAAAAAAAAACAAGGAAAATAAGGGAGTGCTCAAATGCTAAGAAAGACATGTTAAAAGAGCTGAGAAACTTGAATAGTTCCTACTAGCAAAATTAGCAAAACTGAATCAATAAAATAAGTAAAGGAACAGATCATGGGCCACTGAAAGAAATAGGAATCCATGGGTCCACGTGAGATAAATCCATGAATTAATGAATGAATAAAAGAAGGAAACACTATTTTTTTCCCACAGAGTGCCAACCAATAAAAGGAAAAGGGTTGATATTGTATGTTAAAAAATTATCATTTGAAAATCTTCACATTGTATTTGATTGAGTGTTGAGGCATCAATGGATGCTAAACCTAGTGGGTAAATGTTGGAGAAGAAATAGGATATTTTCACAGTCTCAAAGTATCTCTCCACAAAACACTTAATTTTAGATTAATTACATGTATATATACATGTATACAATAGATAGTCTATATATAAAATATCATTTTATGTCATGTTATATTAATATAAAGAAAATGAGGAGTACCTCTGCAATAGAGAAATCTGGAAGACATTACCTTTCAAATGATCAAAATTAAAATCACCACTGATGGGAAAAATTAATTTCATATATAACCTGAAGAAATATGATAAGAAGAGCATAGCATCATGTTGGTGATTTTATTGCCAATAATGCATGTCTTGACATCTCATTATGAGAAAACACCAGACAAATCGAAATTGGGAGACATTCTAAAAATAGAATCCATTGGAATATTACCTTCAAAAAATGTTTAGGATGCTATGAAGGTTGAAGAAGGACTATGGAATGCTTCTGATTTAAAGAAGTTAAAGAGACATAGGAACCAGGAACAACACATTATCCTGAAGTGGATTGTTTTTTATAAAAAGCATCAGGGCAGTTTGTGAACTAGAATGGGTCCTCTCTTGGTGATTGTTACATGACAGCTGTTTGCATCACTTCAGCAACTTAAAGATAAATTGCTTAAAGATAAATTGGCGTCGTTTCATACAAACATTAAAGAAAATGGTAATGTCCAACAGGCACAGAGTGCCCGCCTAATTACTGTTCCAGGGGTCCTCAGAGGCTGTTTTCCTACTATCTTCTTGATTTTTAAAATATATTTTAGTTGATTGGTTTTATTCATGCCATAATTGGTGGAAATTAATCCTTGATTCTATAAATTTTTACCTAGTCCGTTTCCAATGTTTTTTGTTTGTTTGTTTCTCTTTCCTTACTTATTTATTTATTCTTTTCTTTTACTTTTTTTGTAAAGTGGAATAAGTTAGGAATGAGTATATTATGACCAACTAAACTGAGTAGTTTTATGTCAAGTTGCAAATTATGTTAAGTATCAAATATTTGATTTTTCTTAGATTTCAGAATAGTCACTTTTCAGAAAAAATCATTAGTAGTTTTCTAAAAATAAAATCCTCTTGATTCAACAAAACATACTTGATGTGGTTTTTCCTCCCAAAACAGGCTCCTCCTTGAGTTATTGGGAATAAGTAATGCTTCTCAATAAAGCTTCGTGTCAACAAATCTGAACATATAACATCTCAGCTAGAGCAAGTTACTAAAAATAGGCTCAATTTGTATCTTGCAGTCATGCCTTCATAACCACTTTTCAATTAATCCTGCTTAATTCAGAGAATGTATAAATATGTAATTTTGCATCACTTTTAAGGCAGCCATTTTATTTTGAAATGCAACTAATGTTATATGCATAAATTCAATAAATACAAAGCTGTTTTCAAAAATTGAATGTTTTTACTTGTAAGTTATTCTTTCAATAATAATAAAGAGATGATCACTAGTCATTTTATTTTTCATAGTTGAATTGATTTAGTTGAACTTCATTGGGTGTTCTTATGTTTTAGTCATGAGTCCATGCTCTTTAACAAGCTAAAGGAAACCATAATATATGCTAAAAGATGTCAGTTTGTGAACAATTTAATGAATATATAGAGTTACAACATTTTTCCCGATTGGATGTTGGGGTTTACTATAATTCTTTGTTACTTTATATGTGAATATACTCACTACTCACTATGTTTATGTATGTAGGAAACATGCTAGTGATGAAAATTCAAGCAGTTATTACCCTGGTTTTCTTTCATTAACAAAATACAGAATAGAAATTATCTACTTATTCTTGGAGGTCTTAAAATATCTTTTCAGTTGACTGATAATTCTGCTATCAAGAGCTACAAGTAGGTGCTCTGGCCATCTATATCTGTATTTCCGTATATTCAATTCCTTACTATATATTTCTCATTTGATATTCTATACCCAATTCAAACAAAACCATTTCATGTATACAATGTACTTTTATTTATGCTTTTCTCTATCATTAAGTAGAAAGCCATTTGCACCTTAGTCTAAATCTGAAATGTGCCTCTACCTAACCTTTCTAATACATTTTCACTATTTCTTAGTTATTAGAATAAATTTACATAATTTCTGAAACAACTTTCTCTATGGAGTATTCCCTTTGGTTTCTTTTCCCTTCCAAACAATTTAATGAATTACAAATATGGGGGAGATATTTTTTCAATGGGTAAGACTTGACTTCTACAAATACATGTTTAATTCCTTCTCAAAATTATTTCTACTTCCTCTTATTCAACACTGTGCTAGATTTTAGGGATATATAATAAGACAATATATGAGGTCCTTGCTGTTGTGAAAGGTACATTCTTATCTTTGGCAAATTGTAGAATCTTTAGCTTTGGTATACAAGGGCATTGGTGTTTGGTACATGCTTGGCTCTTTGCCTTAAGAATTGCCTCTTTCCACCATGCATATTTCACCTGTGTGGGAATTCTTGTAGATCTCTATATTATTGATAGCCATTTTGCTCTGACATTTTATACAAAGCTGAATCAGCAACAGTATGACTAAACACAACCAAAAAGGAAAGCTAGAAAGATTATATTAGACACTTACGTGTATGGATCATTATGGTGAGGACTGCTAAAAAAACAAACAAACAAACAAAAAAAAACAAAAAACACCTTCAGCCAAAATAAATTTACAGTTTAATTGAGTGGTGAATGATTCATAAATTGGAAAGCCCCCACAATCACAGCAGATTCAGAGAGACTCCAGGGGTGTCTCATGGTCAGAATGAATTTATAGACAATACAAAGTAAAGTGATGTATAGAAATCAGAAGTGAGGTACAGAAACAGCTGGATTGGTTACAGCTTGGCACTTGCCTTATTTGAACACTCAGCTGTATGTGACTAGTTGAAGTATGGCTGCTGGAATTGGCCAAGACTCAGCGATTATTACAGGTGCATATTCCTAAGTTAGGTTTTAGTCTTGTGTACCTATTGAATTAGGTTGCAGTTCATTCACAAGGACTGAAATATAGAAGTATGGCGTTTTTCTCAGGCCATATTTAATTTGATTTAACAGGACTTTGGGTATGTCATTGTATTTTACTAGTATATTTTACAAACACCCCATGTTATCTTAATCTATTTAAGTTCACACTTTTTAATCAAATTTTACTTTAAATGTATCTAACCTCCTAAATTTCTGCCTTTGTGAACCAATAATACTTTTTCCAAATTCTTATTATAGCACATATCAGACTATATAGCTATAGACACTTTGGCATCATTGTTTTCCCATACAAAACACAATACATTTAATGAATTAATGAATGATGCATCAGCAAAGAAGGTTTTACTGAAAGTAAGAAAAATTATAAGCCAGTTTGGGTTTCCCAAGAATCAGACACCAAGATGGTATTACACATATAAGAGAGTAACCAGAGAAAACACCTTTGAAGAATAAAGAGAAGATAGAGCAAAAGGAGGCTGCAAGAGCCTCCAGATCATGATGCAAGCCTGGCACCTCAAAAGAAGAGAGAGCATGAAAGATAATTGGAAAGGAGGAGCCTCAGAGAAGAGTGCATATCTGAGAAATTGTCAGCCACACTGGAAGAGCACCAAAGTGAACTTTGACCTTTAGATGAGTCCATGTGGGACAAGAATGAAAAGCCCTATAATATCTTCCTTGCTCAGCATTGGCAGGGAGCAACCTAAGGAGAGCATGGCACCTGCATGTAAGCCAAAAATAAAATTCAATGTCCGTTAACCAACTAAATGGGCCCTTTATCTTGGCCAAGGGCATTTTAAACTAAACCTGAAACAGTAATGGAGGCCATGATGGAAATGGGTGGTTGAACATGCTTCGTTATTTACTTTCATCCTTTTGGAATTCATGCATAGCTGAACAGTGTTAACAGTAAAGTAGAGACTTAAGAATGACAAAACAGACCCTTCATAGCAATAAGATGTCAACATGACAGATAGCAGGCCTTGAAAGAAATCAAAGTATTTCACTACAAAAATACATTTCTTTGACATATTTTGAAATGGCCCTACAAGGCTGTTTCTGTGGGGAAAATCTCCATTTTGTAGAGAATCCCCTTCTCTTTCCAAGTCTTTTTCCTGATTTTTCCTGATTCCAAGTCCTTTTTCCTTTTTATGTCTGATAAAAATCATTTACAATCTATTCTCAGTGAAGCCTGCTACCTGCAAGCTTCATCTGCATAAGAACCTCGGTCTCTAAAACACCTTATCTTAACCCATACACTCCTGTCTATTGATTCCAGTCTTTAGATAAATTATTTTAGCCAGTTGTCAAATGCCAATCAGAAAATCTTTGAATTCACCTTTAACCTGGAAGCCTTCACCCACCCCACCCCCACCTGCTTTGAGTTGTCTAGCCTTTCCCGATTTTACCAATGTATATCTTAGGTGTACTGATTGATGTCTTATGTCTCCCTCACATGTATAAATCCAAGCTGTAGCCCAACAACCTTGGCACATGTTCTCAGGATCTCCTGGGCTGTGTGACAGGCCGAGGTCACTCATATTTGCCTCAGAATAAATCTCTTCAAATATTTCACAGAGTTTGACTCTTTTCTTCAACATGCATTACCACTGTAGTAGCTCTGAAGTGGTTGAGTTGGAGGTAACCCACCAACAACCCTCCTCCTGGAAATTTCTCTTGAATGAAAATATGGGAGGAGTAAATTCTTCACTGCCAAATACTATTTCAAATTCTTTCAAGCATAAGGTAAATTCATTATTTAACATAAAAGTCAATCAAGAGGTAAAAAGAGGTCACAGTTTGCTTACGTATTTTCTGGCACTTCTTTGCTATTGGCTGTGTCACTTTTACCCTTAACATTTCTGCAAAAATGTCTGCAGACATTTAGGGTCAACATATTCAGATACAACCTTACCCAGAAGACCAAGAAAGAGACACCAAGAGAAACATTTATCTTAAAAACTCTTAAGGTAATTTGCCCTGATTTGCCTTTGTACTGAATTGGGTCATATGCGTATTTTTGTTCTTACTTTTGGCAAAGAATCAGGCTATACTTAGAGTAATCACATCATACCTGAATCTGAAGACGAGACAGTAAACTTAGAGAAGTACTGAAGCCTTGGAAGCCTTGGATATATTGAATATGTTCTATCTTAGAAAGAAAAGGTGAGATAATGTATGCTGGCAGTCAACCAACAGCATATGCTCCTAATGAACAACTGGAGAGTCATTTAAGTTCAATGTTGGGGATTTTATTAGAAACTGTAAGATGAATACACAATTCATTTTCTCTTTCCTTGTAAATTTGGACAATATTTGCTATATTCGCCTATATTTTGGCATAGAAATTTAGGTTCTAAGTATATAGTAGTGATGTAGCCTTCTTACAGGGTCACATAGACCCACAATTAATAATTTTTAACACTCTTTTTATTCTCTCTGGTTGGCTAACATTAAAACAATCCACAGAAAACCCCCAAGAGCTATGTATTGAGGATGGCAAAACCACAGATGGGAAAATAATAAATCTTTGAATGACCCTGCAGGAAATCACAGATAGCATTCCTATTATTTAAGCAAGCAATAACTTTTATTGTTTTAAGAGTTGGAGGTTTAATTTTTTCAGCATTACTGTTACCACAATTATTACAGGAAATGAAACTAGTAAAAAAAAATAGAGGGAACAAAGTTTATTGACATCTATGAGGCATTTTCTTTCCCCTAATATTACATACTCTAGATTTTATTTCTGTACAAAATATATTCTCTATGTCTAGCCTAAAGAACTATGTCTTATTCATATTTATACTCTTCATAGATCAAAAGTGTGCTTAAAATACTGTACATTTAATGAGTTATTTTTGAATGTAAGCAACTTTGAATTCATCTTTGCATTTTTAATCTTATGTTGCTATTAAATGTATTATTAAATTCTACTAACACTTTCCTCAAAATAATTCTCAATATTTTGGTTTTTAATTTTTTACTGCCTTTGCATTCTCCTGGCAGAGACCCATTTCACCTCTTCTATAGATTATTTCATAAAGATTTTATAATCTGTATCATATATATTTACAATATTAAAAGTTATCTGTAGCACTCTCTCATTGTTGCTTATAGATTAGGTTTGCTTCTCTATGTACTATTCTGGTAGGCAGTGGTTAAATATACTGCTTTAAGCCTTTTCACAGTACCTTCTATAATATCATCATGCACAGTTTTACGCACACAGCAGAAAATCAATGAAACATACTTAATTGACTAAAAATTGAAAAACATTGGTATATATGTAGGACAGATACTGATATTTTTATAAGCCCAACTCTGAAATGGTGATGCATAAAAAGTTGATAATTCCTTTTAGCAGAAACTATTAATAGTCATTTTTCAACATAATGCAAAATATATTTGAGATTGATAAATATTTTAGAACTCAAGTGTAAGAAAGCCATTAAGGGAATCCCACAATTTTCTTTGTTTCTAAAACCTAATATAATTTAAGATTATGAACAGCCTTCTTTCTCAGAAGAAAAACATATCACCAACCCACTACATAAAAAAAATGCATTATTCCAATCAATCTTGTTAATATACCATAGAATATTGAATTTTTTAAAAAAATTCAGAACTTTAAAAATAAATACTAACCATAATAGCTCAATTAAAATTATCTCTATATTCTTGGAGGTTTTCAAATGCCATATCTAAAAATAGGATATAGTAAGGTATATCGAGGGATAAACTAGCTGTTAAAAAATCATTGATTGAGACCTGTTATTATTGGCTAAGTAAACTTCTCTTATCTTCCAAAACATGTTCCATTATTTCATAAGATCTAGAAATGATATCACGTTTGAAATTTGTTGAAATGTTTTCCTATTGACCTACTTATAAATGGGTTATTTACATATTCAGGGTAATTACTTGTGCTTAAAACTGTTTTCAAGATAAATTTGAACTGTGTCATTGTTCATATAAAAGAAAGATGCTTCTTTTCAATTAATTTCTATTAGTTAATTCTACAAATTGTGTTTATTTCAATGGAGATTAAAGAATATAAAAAGAATAATGTTTCTGTTTTAGACTATATTAGTAAACCATTTGTGGGGTGGGGCAATGAGGATAAACTCCATCAAAGGAACATAAGTTAGAAAAGTTGTAACATAAACTTAGGTTATAAGTCTGAATTACCCTAGACAGTTAGTCTATGGAATATGCGACTGTATACAGCCTCAGCTGGAAGCACTGCCCTTAAGCAAAGACCATGAAAGAGATGCTGAAATAATTATTCAGGCAGAAATTTAGTATGATATTTCTTTGGGAATGTTCTCCGATAGTTGGAAGTCAAAATAACAAGTAATTCTCACTTCCATTCTTTGTCTTCTCGATATACATCCCTATATCTTGCAAGGCATTTAGCAAATTAAAGTACATTTACCAGCCTCCTTGCACTTTGATGAGGCAATGTAACTAATTTTTGGACGATAACGTGTGAACAGAAGCAATAATTGCAGCATCTAAAAGAAATGTGTGTGACCTTTTACCCCTGTTACCATGCTTTAGAATTCATAGCTGCTTTCAGCTACTTTATATATAAAATAAGCATATAAAAGCAACAAAATAAATCAACATCATAGAGCTATCGTGACATCACTGGACTTCTCCTAAAAGTTTTACATGAAAAATATGTGAATTATTTCAAGCTGCTCTACTTGTTTTTCATAGACTGTGTCATTAATTAATTTTTTATGTATCACTAAAAAGCATTTTTAAGTGCCTCTAAATTATGGCACACTGCTAAATATTTTCTAGATGCCTCAAAAAAGTTTTTATATGCAGTAATTTTGTTTTACATATACATGCACACTTACTGATTTCAAGTTTTTTCAACTTTCATACGAAATTGAAAGTTGAAAAGGCACATGAAATGTCTTTTTGAAATTCCTAACACAATTTAATTTTTTTTTACATTTAGGTTTACCATATTGTTTTAACAAAATGCTCTGTATTTATTCTAATATTTTAAAAACTTTAGGAATAAATTAATATTTTGGATTGTTCTACAGTATTGTATCCTGAACTGGAACTTTTTTTACTGATTTATTAATTGAAATATGAAATATGATATGCACATGCGAAAGACACAGATCTTGAGCATATAGCATTAAACATTTTTAGAATGTAAAATACTAATGTCATCACAACCTACATGAATATGAATTGAGTATTACTAGAATCCAGGAGTCTCTGTTGTGAACCTCCAATCATTACTATAGGCAACCACTGTTCTTACTTTTATCTTTATAAATTACATTTGCTTGACATTGAACTTCATAGAAATTGAACCATACAATAGATATTAATTTCAATCTGGTTCAAAAAAACACAACCAACAGCATGGGTGTCAGTGTGATATTCTGGGCTGCTTCTCAGCTGAATCAATGGTGCTGACAGCTGCAATAGCAACAGAAGTGTCTTCAGAAGTTTTACTGAGAGTTTGGAGTCCAGAGTTTCTGCCTAACAGCAGCTGCACTCAAATAGGGCCAATGGTCAGTCTGGAATCATGGGACCCAGAATGCACCACCTTCCCCTACTCATTTTCCACAGTTAAGGATGGAAGTGGCTTCCTTCATTTGCTCATCATCTGGAGTAGCAGGCCCCTTTTGCTCCTTCAGTGTTTCTAACATTGTTGTAACCACGCCCCCAACCCCTGTATTGTATTGTCTATGCTTTAAAAACTATTTTGTGGACTTGAATAAAATTTATTTTCCCATTCCTGATATAAAATAATTGGGTCATTCTTTACTCATGTATCAGTTCAAATTTCTAAGACTCTATTTATCTCTTCTCCTCAATAATGTTTCTTTTTTCTTTTGCTTTTTTTTAGACAGGGTCTTGTGCTCTCACCCAGGCTGGAGTGCAGTGGCTGGAACACAGCTCACTACAGCCTTGACCTCTTGAATTCAAGTGATCCTCACACTTCAGCCTCCAGAGTAGCTTTGATGACAGGTGTGTGCCACTAGGCCCAGCTACTTTTCTTTACTTTTTGTAGAGACATGGTCTTGCCATATTACCCAGGCTAGTCTCAGATCCCTGGGCTCAAGTATCCTCCTGCCTCCACCTCCCAAAGTGCTGGGATTATAGGCGTAAACCACCATGCCCAGCTAATGTTTTCTATTTACCATAGCTTTTTGCATATATATGTTATTATATATGTTATATATATATATATAATATAGTATGGATGTGTATATACTATATTATTAACAATTAGATCTAAAATATAGAAAGAATTTTAATACCTTTATTTTCTGTACCTTCATAGTTAATCTCATATTTTCCAAATCTGTTAATGTGGCACTGGTCAGAGTTATAGCTCCAAAGAATGAGCATCTGCTTAGTCTCATAACCAGGACCCAACCTGCAACATTAGTGTTACAAATTAATTCCTAATTCCAGTCTCACTCTTTCATCACCAGTTCTATCTCTGAACACTTACTAATCCCAATTATTTTAAAGCAAGTTGCTTAACCTGCTGTGGCAGTTTTCCCCTCTCCTTCAACTTTCTCTCTCTTTTTTTTCTCCTAATAATACCTGCCAAGTAAGAATCCCTTTCATTACATACATCAAATAGCCACTTATTCCAACAATTTTATTCAACCTAAGTATTCAACCTAAGGGCTTAGATTCATGGTCTGTCCTTACAATGCCGTTCCATCTTTTTAAAGCTAATTGCAATGCACCTAGTCATTTTTATTGCACACTATGTATGATAGCCAAGATACAGAATAAGCCTAAGTGTCTGGCAACAGATGAATGCATAAAGAAAATGCACTATCTGTATACAATGAAGTACTCTGTAGCCATAAAAAATAAAATCTTGCCATTTATGACAATATGGATGAATCTAGAGGACATCGTGGTAAGTGAAATAAGCCAGACACAGAAAGACAAGTACAGCATGATCTCTCTCATAAGTGGAGTCTAAAAAAAAAAGAAAATACAAACATTTAAAAAAGTTAATAGCATAGAAGCAGAGAGTAGAAAAATGTTACCAGAGACTAAAGAAGGATGAGGAAACTTTGATTGATGGTATAAAATTACAACTAGATAAGAGCAATAAATTCTGGTGTTCTGTTGCATGTAGAGCAAGTATGGTTAACAGTGAAATATCGTATATTACAAAATAGCTTGAAGAGTTGTCTTCGAATGTTCTCACCACAAAGAAGTGATAAATATGTAAGATAATAGATTCACTCTGAATGGATCATTATACAACATGGATAGGTATCCAGGTATCAAATTGTACCCCATGAATATGTACAATTATTACATGTCAATTAATAAATAAATAATAAGACCACTAGATTTAATCAAGAGACTCTTATTGACTTGTTCTCATTTTAGAGTTTTAAAACTAGTCTGCCCTATTGCAAACTACCTATTTTTAAAACTACTCTTCTCCTGCACAAAAATCTCTCAAAGTCTCCTTTCTCCTGAAAGAAAAATGACCTATTTAATTTACAAATATTTCAAAAATTAGTACACAACATTTTATATATGAAAATAATGCTGTAGACTGACTTGCAAATAACATTCTAAGATTCCCATTACCTTTAAGAGGAGTCAGCTGTCATTTTGGAAAAATTAAGATTTCAACAATTTTACACATATTATGAAAATATTTTTGATAATGAAAAATGCTCAATCTTAAATAGTGTAAATAAGTAAATAGAGAGGTAAAATAAAGAGCTTAATGTTTATGTGATATTGAGAAAAAATCTTTTTTAAAAATAAAATACAGATTAAAATACAACTTTGTGCTTTAACTGAAGGGTGTCCCTACTCCCTGATGCATTTGAGACTGTCACAAACCTGAACCCATTTGGACAATACATCAAATAATCATTTTGCATCATTTCACTATTGGGGAAATGATAACTTCTTACATTAAATGAAAAAAACTGAAAAAGTAGTATTACTTTGTCTTTTAAGTGGCGAGATAGGGTTGATATGATGCTGAAGTACAAACAGTAAGGACTAAGTGAGGATGGAGGATATATGAATAAATGTATCAAAAGTCAAGAGAAATGATAAAACAGACAATTCTGGGGAACAGTAGTAGAAGCTATGCATGGAATATGGTTAGACAGACAGTGATATTTACTTTTGAGTTTTGCTTATATATTTCTAACATTTCTTGATAGGACTGGCATTCTAACAGTTATTCTTATTGTTATAAATTCTTTTAAAAATACTTTTTCTCCAAACATCTCAGTTCAAATTATAGAGTTAAAGGAAACTACAGTCATAAAATAAAATATTAATTATTTCAAAAGAAAAAGAGAAAAATTTGTACACTTAATTTAAAATTGTTTTCAGTCTTATTTTTGCAAGCAATTTACCAATAGATTTGTAATGAACAGTAATGTTGAATGGGTATTGAAGCTATTGAAATAGAGAAGTAAGTCAGTTTTTCATTATGCTGTGAGTGATGTCCTGAAACACATTAACTTGGTATTTTATCTATTGTTTAATATCATTCCCCATGAATTACATATAATGGTAATAGATTAATATCTTTGGAAGTACTGTAATAATTATATAATTCAGCCAGGAATTACCTTGTTCATTTGCTAACATTGTTATATTCTTTCAAAAGCAAACAGCAAAAATAATTTTCAACTGACATACATATGGAATACTTACTCTTCAACTATCTCAAAATGCCCAGATTTTCTCAATAACTCTCCTATTGATTTAATTATAGGCATTAGAAATGAGTATTCTAGTACAAGAATAAATAGTGTTGTCTCTCCTTCATCCCCCAGTACTCCTAAATATTTACTAAAAATCTCAATGCTAATCAATAGTGGAACTATTTGGTGCCTAATGATGGCATTCCATTCCTTCCTTGAAGTCCAACACACAGAGTAATAGAAATCTCATGAACGTGATTGTGTGAGGTTGCTCATAATACTTGGATCTATAGAGAGAATCACTTAACAGACATCAGTTGAATCAGAAACTACTTCTCATTTCATTGAGTTCTATGTAGTCCTCAACCTTTGTGGCACCAGGGACTGGTTTTGTGGAAGACAATATTTCCACGGACAGGGGAGCAGACGATGGTTTCAGGATTGTAATGGTTAATAATAGGTGTCAACTTAATTGGATTGAAGGATGCCTAGATAATTGGTAAAGAATAGTTTCTGGGTGTGTCAGTGAGGGTGTTGCTGGAGGAGATTAACATTTGAGTCGGACTGGTAGAGGAAGACCCATCCTCAAGGTGGGTGGACACCATCCAATTGACTGTCAGCTTGGCTAGAACAAAGCTGGTGGAAGAAGGTGGGATAAGCTGACTTAACGAGTCTTCTGGCTTTCATCATTGCACTGTGCTGGATGCTTCCTGCCCTTGGACATCAGACTCTAGGTTCTTTAGGCTTTGAACACTGGAACTTACAGCAGTGGTTTTCCAGGGGCTTTCAGGTCCTTGGCCACAGACTAAATGTTGCACTGCCAGCTTTCCTACTTTTGAGGCTTTTGTAGTTGAACTAAGCCTTTGTTGGCTTCCTTGCCCCTCAGCTTGCAGACAGCCTATCATGGGACTTCACCTTGTGATCGTATAGTCAATTCTCATTAATAAACTCCTTTTCATATATACATATATCTTATAAGTTCTGTCCCTCTAGAGAACCCTGACTAATACAGGGATGAAACTGTTCCACCTCAGATCATTTGGCATTAGATTCTCATGAGGTATGCACAACCTAGATCCCTTGCATGCTCAGTTCATAATAGGGTTCACATTCCTATAAGGATCTAATGCTGTAGCTGATTCGACAGGAGGAAGAGCTCAGGTGGTAATGCTCACTCACCTGCCGCTCACCTCCTGCTGTATGATCTGATTCCTAACAAGCCATAGCTCATTACCAAGGGTTGAGGACCACTGTGTTAAAAGATAAACTAAGGCACAATAAAATTTTAAATATGTTATTTAAACAATGATTTATGACTCAGGCAGCTCCAAACCATAAAAGTGGCTTAAGAGCGCCACTGACGGAGCACAGGCGGAGGCTTTTAGAGGACAGGCACAGAAGAAAACTAAAGATAATATTTGACTATTTATAGTTGTACAGTTATTTGTACCTTATTTGGTACCAAAGTTGCACGTTATTAGGTCTATCCCACTGGAAAGTCTTCAGTTATATGATTATGTGTGTTGGCTACTTCTGATTGGTTGAACTTAAGTTCTGTTTTTCTTTAATATAGAAATTGATAAGAATGGCTCAAGTTTCCCTTATATCTGTAGATCAAACAAGGTTTAGATCACTTATGATGCCTAACTGGTTTTGTCTGCTCAGAAATTCTTCAGGCCTGGACTCCATTTTAATTTACTTTAATGATTGTTACTTTAAATTTGGATTAAACAGTGGATTCATATGTACTGAGTGAAAAAAATGGAAATAGATGTTATAAAATTTATTTGAAATCATTCAGCCAGGATGTTTTAAACAGCATAAATTAGCAGAATTACCAAAAACACATTTTGAAAAAACCTTGAAGCAATTTTAATGTATTGCAAAATGTGAAGGAGACTAGTAGGACAAAAACTTAAAGGTTGAGTTTGAGATATGATGCAGGGTTTTTTGCTCCTTAGCCCAGCTAGGCCTAAGTTCTGAAGAAGTAGGCACATGGACACTCAAAGAGTAAGTGTAGTAGAATTTATTTAGTGAAAGGAAAGCTCTCAGCAAAGAGAGGGGTCCTGACATCAAGTTCTTGGTTGCCCCCTTAACGGTTGAATACAAGGGCATTTTTTTTCTTGAGACAGAGCCTCACTCTGTTGCCAAGGCTGGAGTGCAATGGCATGATCTTGGCTCACTATAACCTCTGCCTTCCAGGTTCAAGCGATTCTCCTGCCTCAGCCTCCTGAGTAGCTGGGATTACTGGCACACGTCACCAGGCCCGGATAATTTTTGTATTTTTAGTAGAGATGGGATTTACCATGTTGGTCAGGCTGGTCTCCAACTCCTGCTCTAGTGATCTGCCCGCCTCCACCTCCTGAAGTGTTCGGATTACAGGTGTGAGCTACCGCACCCGGCAACAAGGACATTTTTATACAAGCTGATAGGGCTGTGAATTCCTGGTTGTATGAGAAGTGAATTCCTGGTTGCTCCACTCCATCTTTCCAGTGAGTTATGTGGGCCCTTAGTCTGTGCCACTCCATATTGATTTATTTTCCTTAATGCACATATGTTAAGGAATGAAATTTTCCACTATGGGCATGTTTAGGCAAGCTCCCTTAGCAAGTACCCTTATCCGCACAAAATATTTGGTATAAACACCTGGGGGTGGGTAGGAGGTTCTCCAGGGGACCCTTTCCTGACTGTCTCCCTAAAGCAAGTTGGCTGACTCCTTTCATTCCTCCCTTCAGGAGTGGAGACCCCAAATTCTGTTGGGGAAAGTGTACAACGACTGCTCTTAACTGCTTCCTGCTGACAAGGGTTGCTGTTTTGGGAAAGTGGCAGTTAAGGCTCCTCCTGAGGTCAGTTTAAGGGTCCCCAAAGAGAACAGTGTGTTCATGAGTGGTTCTGTTTGCATCACCATTTGAAGTTGAATGGCCTTTAAGAAAAAATTTGGGTTATTAGAAGACATATTCAGAATGAAACAAAGGGATAAGGACAGCTCAAAACAAAACAAAACAAAAATCTCAAGGCTGCCAATACAGCCAGATAACTCGTGGCTATAGTTATGCCTGCTAAGGTTTGTATTCATGGGGCTTGGCTTTGATTAGCTCCCTTGGTCTTATTTTCCCAAACAAAGAAATCTCTGGGTTATGGGCACCTATTTACTCCGATCACCTGGAAGGATTTGCAGGATAATTGTTCAGAATTAAAATATTGATCCAGATTTTTTATATTACTCATCCCTTTGGTTCTTTTGAGCTGCAGCTGTACATTGCTGGTTGGTCCACAGGAATAAGCAGGGTAGTCTAAAATGTAGACAAAAACTTAAAAACAACTAATGGGATTATAATGTAATGACAAATGTAGAGTAAGTTTTGAAACATAATTTCTCTCTCTCCAGTCCTCATTTTTGCCAAAAACAAATCATGATAGGACTCAGTTGTTTGAAAAACAAACTTTAGCCTTATACTTGTCTTATTTGCATAAAGTGCAAAAAGAATAATTATTTTTCCCATAGGCTTTTAAATTGGCTTTGATGGAACTCTGTTCCATAAGGAATCTCAGTTAAGACCTTTTAAGGCCAAGCCCAGTCATGGGTTTCCACCCTCAAATATCTACGAGTTTGGTAAATCATTCTCTTCTTGATGTCTCAAGAACAAGCTTTTTAACAGGCCCAAGAGCTTTTTAACAGGCTCCTAGGCCTGTTAAAAAGTGACATGCTTTACTTCCCACGGGTTAGGAACCTTGTACAAGGACTGTGTTGACAAGGTATGTAGCCAGTTTTCCCAAGAGACTTTTATTGGCAAGTCCAGCTTAATTACTTAAAGGAACATATACCCTTCCAGTAAAAGCCTTGGTAAAACCACCAGTTTCTTCAATTGTGTCCTGTTGCAAAAGAAAATGTATTCTTATTGCACTGATGAAAATAACTGTATTGCCATAAATTAAATATTCTCACAAATAGTTTCCAAATTCTGGCAAACCCAGGCAGAGAGAAACAAACGTCCTTCAAATTTTGTTCACAGGAGTATAGTTTACTCAATTATTAAAGGCTTTAAATAATTCAAAATAAGTATCCTTGACTCAGAAAAACAAAGCAAGGAAAGTTTTAAGCAAAAAGGTTAAAAATAATACTTGTTTTCTATTAGTTCAATCCATTCTGTTCTCTTGTTCTGCTAGATATTCATGAACATTTCAGTTCTTCATGAGTACTGTATTTTTTTCAATGTCATAATCTCCAGAGTTAATGGAATCTTGCATTTGAGAACACTTGTCAAAATCCTATAGCTGATTATAAATCATCTTTTGAGTAGGATCAAAACAAGACATTTGTCTGTGAATGATGAAATGTCTAAGGTAGTTACTGTCAAGAATACAAATGACAAAGAAATTTAGTCATTTCTAGGGTTTACAATAACTAAACATAATAACCTTAATTATGATTGATAGCATATACTCAGACATTAGAATTTTAGAAATCTCATATAATTTTGAAACATATTAATATTATTCACTAAAATATAACCTAAAGCAGATTAAATATAACTTTGGAAATACCATATAACTAAACATTTCAAAAAAACCAGTTTTCTTCTCTTTTGGATGTTCCAGGGACCAGGAAAGACAATTTTGAAACTGAAGTTTGATTTTGGGAAGCCTGTTAAATATGTTAGAGGTTCAAAGCACTTGATATTATAAAATAGAATTCCAAGTTACCATATGTCATTTATTTTAACCAAAATGATGACTCAAACATTTTAAAACAACACAAAAGCATATTCACAGGTAGAGGGAAAACTTAGCTTTCCAAATGATCTGTCGTTAATTTTACAGGGAAATCCTGTTCAAGTGAAAGCCTAATTTCATCCTTGCATTAGTCTACTGTTGATGTCAACCCCAATTTTTTTAATGAAAACTTATAGATATTATATCTAATCTTATCTAGTTTGACCATGAGGTGAGATTTTTTTAAACTTTTATAACCCTTTACAAATTGTTGTTAAAGAGCAGATCAGTGCCTTTAGAAAAGCTTGTTGTGCTTTTATTTCAATGCTCAATTTACAAAAACAAAATACTTTTTTGAAATTAGTCAATATGTTCACACAATTTCTTTTGCAAGATTAATTTTTACAAACTTTTCACCATTTGTTTAAACCCTCAGCTTTATCTTATCTAATTCAAAACAATCCTTTAACCCAAGGCAAAAATTTACATTTTCATGCTTTCTTATAATCTTTTACTAAAAACATATTTTACTTTCCTTACTTACCTTATATATAAATCTATTTTCATTGTCTCGATTACAGGTTATTATGGTAACTCTTAGCAATTTTTAACTTTAATGTACAACCTGGCAAGTTGCTTTAATTATGTAGTAGTAGGCATAAATAAAATCTGATTCCTTTCTGCATAATTAAGGGTGTGGTTAATTCCATATGTCCCTGGACTTATTAATTGTGAAGCAGGCAAATTGAATAGTGTATTAGTCAATTTTCATGCTGCTGATAAAGACAATCTTGAGACTGGGCAATTTACAAAAGAAAGAGGTTTAATTGGACTTACAGTTCCACATGGCTGAGGAGGCCTCACAATCATGGCAGAAGGTAAGGGGGAGCAAGTGACATCTTATGTGGATGGTGGCAAACCAAAAAAGAGAGCTTGTGCAGAGAAACTCTCATTTTTAAAACCATCAGATCCATGAAACCCATTACTATCATGAGAACACATAAAAAGACCCACCCTCATGATTCAATCATCTCCCACTGGGTCCCTGCCACAACACATGGAAATTACAGGAGCTACAAGATGAGATTTGGGTGGGGACACAGAGCCAAACTTTATCAAATAGTTCTTAAAAGCCAAAGAAGCAGTTAATAACTTTGAAGCATTTAGCTAACCTAGTATCTGACCTACATGATTCAGCCCACATATTTACATTTTAAAGACATTTGTATTTTACCAATTATTTTTAAAACTGCCTTTATTTCTTAAAGATTATAGTCATGTGAACTCAAAAGGTATTACAGCTTTTATTTTTCTTCAAAAAATATTTGATCTAAGTGCTTATTTTCCTAGAGCTTTTTTATATAAACATCACGCCCATAAGAAATATAAAATTACACAGATGAACAAAAGCAAATTCAGTACTTGTAAGATTTTTCATTTGCCAATCTTCTGAATAGATTATTGGCCTCTGGGTGAAGCCCTTCAAGAGCAGGGCCTAGGACAGCATACAGTTTCTAGGGCCTAATAAACAGGCATAGCTGGAAGACAGAGATAGATTTTGAGAAGGATCTATCCACTTTTAATTCCTGGGGTTTCATGAGGAAAACAGAGGGTGTTGTTTTCCCCAAAATGGGGTCTGCAGCACCTTCTTTGTTTTTTCCCAGGAGCCCCGGGCTATCAGAAGTTATCTTAGAGCCTCTCATGTATGCACTGAATGACAAGACAAAATGGGGAAAAAAAAATCATTCAACAGAGAAAGAACCTTTTTCCAGAAAAACAAGATCCATGCAGAGAAAAATTTAAAGGCCTTTAAATATACCTATAACTTGGATATCCACTTTTAATTCAGCTGTGCTCTAAGAAAATCGTTTCAAATCTATTATCCAGCTTTAGCCATGCCGAGCAGCCAATATTTCTGGCTTTAGAACTTTATTAAAAATAACCTCACAGGTGAAACCAACAAGCTTCAACTAAGATTATGACTTAACTGTAAGTGTAAAAGTTATTTTCAAAGAGGTGCTAAGCAGTTTTTACAGAATCTAAGATCTTTAAAGTTGGTTCAGACAAAGGAAGATTTAAGAAAGGAAGCTAGAAGTTGTTTATAGAGGGGAAGAGAATCAGCAAATGGTAAAAGTCACACAGATATTAGCCACAATATACTCATTCCCTAAGCCAGGATTAAACCCAGGCCACCATTGTAAAATGGCAGAGGCCAAAAGAAAGTATTATCAAGTGGTTACAAGGTCAAGCTCCTAAGGACATAAAACAAGATGAAGAACTGCAGCAAGGTTTGTTACTGACCAGTTTGCCAGGCTGGCTTGATCAGCAAACTTTTGGGGTCCTAGGCCTGCATTCTATCCTAAGGTACCCCTCTTTATGACAGAACTATACAGAAAGACACACAAAGCACACTACATTGGCTACAGCTTAAGACTAGCCTCATAAATCCTTTTTTTCTATTCATCAGAACTTCAGAGAGGATATAAACAGTGATTTAAACAGAGATTTTATCATTTATTCAACTGGTTTGCACAGGGAGAGGGAGGCCAGAAGTCTGACTGGTAAGAACTTTTTTTTTTTTTTTGAGACAGAGTCTCCCTCTGTCCCCAGGCTGGAGTGCAGTGGTGTGATCTCGGCTCACTGCAAGCTCCATATCCCAGGTTCACGCCATTCTCCTGCCTCAGCCTCCGGAGTAGCTGGGACTACAGGTGCCTGCTACCATGCCCGGCTAATTTTTTGTTGTTGTTGTCGTTGCTATTTTTAGTAGAGATGGGGTTTCACCGTGTCAGCCAGGATGGTCTCCATCTCCCGACCTCGTGATCCGCCTGCCTTGGCCTCCCAAAGTGCTGGGATTACAGGCGTGAGCCACTGCACCTGGCCCTGGTAAGAACTTTTACCCTTTTGCTGGTGTACCAGACTTCTGAGTTGCCCTTTTTCATGCTCAGTTTTGAGCCAAGCAGTTTAAGGTTTGGGGAAATTAACTTTTCCCAGTTTAAGGGATGCATACAAAGGGAGTGTCCTGTGGTACAGCGACACAAGGACCCACCCACAAAGAGAGGACAGAGGAGGAAAAAGGAGAAAGGAGGTGTTTTTTCAGAAGAGTCCTAGTGATTCAGGAGGCAATCAAGAGAAATATGGGCTGCAGATGATTGGTTACTCACCTAAGAAGAGGGGAGCAAGGCATCCCTAGTTTCTTCTTTTTCCTAGTAAATACCTGAGGTACATGAGGGAGAGGAGAAAAGTGTCCTCTTTCTTTCTTCTGTTCTTATATCCCTGAGTCCTGGTGATCTTGGCAGGTTACCACCCATGGGTGCCAATGCAGCTTTCACCTATGTTAACAGGGGGCTTACAGGGTGCGAGTTATCCACCATTACCCATGCGCTGCTTGTCCCACTGTTGTTGATAACCTTTGAGTTCTTTAGATTTCATGCATGCCATGGATACTAGAATGACCTCTATCCACGAGATGGAAGGGAGCCTAATCGGCAGCAATGAGTCATGCTAACCTAAAGCTTTGGAGCTGGGTCTTCCTTAAACAAGGAAGAGAAAAGGCTATCTTGGGAATGGGGGTCCTGGCCTAATAAGAAAACAAAAACAAAAACAAACAAAAAACCTCTCATAAAAGTTAACTCCTTACAAAGTGGAGAAAAGAAAAATAAAATAAAACAGCTTAAGTGCAGGGTGGGGAAGATGCCCGAGGAGAAACCTTTTATTCTTATACAAATGAGTTCCTCCAATAGGGAGAGAGCATTTTAATTGCTGTCTCCTCCTTTCTGGCTCAGCCAGGGGAGGAAAGACACTGTGGGTGCGTGGGGAGAGGGAAGAGTGAGCAGGAAATGCTGGCCACCTAGCCAAGTGGGGCCCTTGGGCTATGTGCCTCAGCCGGGAGGGGAGGGAGGTTGGGAGTTGCCACTCTCCCATTTGTCTCACATGTGTACCTGTGGCCATTGGAGGTTGGGGTAAGGGACATGTCTCTAAAAACGGAGGGAGAGCACATTGTTCTGAATTGTATAGAATTTATTAAGTTAAAGGAAAGCTCTCAGCAAAGAGAGGAGTCCTGAAAGTAGGTTCCCGGTTGCCCTCTTCACAGGTGAATACAAAGGCATTTTTATATAAGCTGATGGGGCTGAGTTCCCTATTTGTATAAGGCATGAATTCCTGTAGGCTCCACTGCATCCTTCCAGAGTGCATGCAGACCCTTAGTCTGAGACATTCCATATTGATTTATTTTTCTTACTGCCCACGTGTTAAGAAACAAAATTTTCCACTGCAGGCATGTTTAGGCAAGCCCCCGGAGCAAGTACCCTTATCTGCACAAAACATCTGGTATAAACACTTGTGGAGCAGGTAGGAGGTTCTCTGGGGGACCCTTCCCTTACTGTCTGCCTAAAGCAAGCTGGCTAACTTTTCAGAAAGAGACAGAGAAAATGAAGTAGCTACCAAAGTATTCTAGGTCTACAAGTGATATTATTTTCAACAAGTATTCAAATGCCATTCTAGTCTAAACTAATTCATTATAAATCAGCTAATATTAAGTAAATATTTCACAAATTAAAAACTAGTTACAAAAGGTAGAGACCTCAAAGAAAGGCAGAAATGAGGCAAATGGGAAAAAATTATGGTGACTTAAAGCCTATATATTGTGATCTGGAGAATTAGAATTTAATTTGTCTATACAAAGTAGGTCATGATCCTGATAAGTTTAGCAATTAGAGTATTTATAAAAAGTAAGAGCTAAATAATTTGTTTCAGGGATGCACTTTTATTTCAATTATCTAGACCTGAAATTATATTTTTTGAGATCATTCAGGAAGAAGAAATTACATGAGGAGAACTTTCTAATCAGTATGCTTAGTGTAAGTATATCTGATGAGTTCATAAGTCTGTTTCATTTATTATTCTTCAGAATAGGTCTGTAGCATGACACAAACAATTTCTGATGACTTCAGCTACCTTTTTAAGGAAGGTAGACTTGCTCCATCCCCTATCTTCTATTTTGCATCTGAAAGAGGATCATACTCCTGTTTAAGTAAACTTTATTAATGTTTTTCAAAATATTTCTTCTCTTGCCAATATAAAATAATGAAATTGTAGTAAAATGAGGATTGTCTTCCTCAAGACGAGTAATTTTTCATGAACAATTTATTTAATTATTTCAATAATTATTCAAAAATGATTTCAAATTATTTCAACAATTTATCTTATGAACATTTATTTCATTATTTATTCACACCATCAAATAATATTTTACGTTAAGTCCAAATTTTTTGCATTGCTGTTCATGTCAGGTTTATAATGGAATTCATTCTCTATGACCTCCTTTTTAAGCACTGCTAAATAGATAGTAATCTTTCTTTCTATAACAGTTGAGTTTAAATTGCTTTTCTTAATTTTCTCTGACAGAGAACATTATTTTTTATTGTTGTAAACTAGCTATAGTCTACATATTTAATTATTTGGAATTTGATTTGTGTATATTTTTCAGTGGAAGCTAACTTCTTCCTAATGTCTCCATCTACATTTCATATTTATTCATCCATTCACATATTCAACAAAATTTCAGAATCTGTTTTTGGGCTTTTAATACTCATCTTATTCATTTTACTATTTATGTATTTATTTCTTTATTTATTTAGAAACTGGTTCTCACTTAGTTGACCATATTAGAGTGTAGTGATGCCATCATAGCTCATGGCAGCCTCAAACTCCTGGGCTCAAGTTTGTTGATTTTATTTTAAATGTCCACACAGTGTTCTCAGTCAGAAACAGATTTCTTAATAATGTGTGTTGGCTGCTCCTTTTCCCAGTTCTTATCTTTGGACAGTATAAAGAGATCCAGATCATCCTAGTGAGAGGCTAGACTCTCTGAAAGCAAGAAATTAAGAACAATGGTTTTGTTCCTTGTCTTTGTTTTTATACTTATAATAGGATGGAAACGGCTGTTTTTCTGTCCTTCTAAGAGGATATCTTCTTTATTCCAAACTTTTGGAATGTTGTAAAATCTCTCCTGGAGCCAAATAACCCTGTGTCTCCAAGTTTTTATGACCTATAGCTGTCTCCAAATTCTGGAACATCATATCTTTTGACGTATGAATACCAAAACCTAGTCTTCCTCTTACCCTAGGACTTAACCTAGGAACCTAGTAATCTAAGGATTTTAAAAATTTAACCCTCTTAGGGGAGTAAAAGAAGTTTTCCTATTGTTTCAAATCAGAGAAATTAACTGGACAAAGGGCTGCAGATCTAATTCTCTCAGTGTGTGAAGAGTCTCAAGAAGCTAGTGCTTTGAGAGAATCCATGAGAAACCCAGGGACCTTTAACATCTCCTCATTATTATTTGCATAGCATACTACCAGGGGAGATGGAGAATTAAAATAATAATATATTTTTAATAACTTTAAGTTCTCTTAAATCATATGGTTTTTTAAGGATTAAAAAAAATATCCTGGATATCTATGGCTATACTTAGACATATGTAATATACATATATAACACAATAGCTTTTGGGGACAAGTGGTTTTTGGTTACAGAGTGGTAAAGTCTGAGATTTTGGTGCCCATGTCACCCAAGTAGTGTACATTGCACCCAATATGTAGTGTTTTATCCCTCACCCACCTCCTACTATACCCCTTAGTTGTCTCCAATGTCCATTATACCACTCTGTATGCATACCCATGGCGTAGCTACCACTTAAAAGTGAGAATATATGATATTTGGTTTTCCATTCCTGAGTTACTTCACTTAGAATAATGGCCTGCAGCTCCAGTTGGAGTTGCTGCAAATGACATTATTTCATTCTTTTTAGGGCTGAGTATTATGTCATGGTGTATGTTTACCACATTTCTTTATCCACTCATTGGTTGAGGAGCACTTAGGTTGGTTCTGTATCTTTGTAATTGTGAATTGTACTGCAATAAACATATACATGCAGGTGTATTTTTGATACAATGACTTTTTTAATTTGAGTAGATAACCAGTAGTGGGATTGATGGACTGAATGCTAGATCTGCTTTTAGTTATTTCAAAAATCTCCATAATGCTTTACATAAAGGATGTACTAATTTCCATTCCCACCAGCAATGTATAAGCATGCCCTTTTCACCACATTCATGTCAAAATCTGTTTTTTTTCTTTTGACTTTTTAATAATACCTATTATGCTGGGAAAAGATGGTATCTCACTGTGGTTTTAATTTGCATTTCTTTGATGATTGGTGATGTTAATAATTTTTTATATGTTTGTTGGTCATTTGTATATCTTCTTTTGAGAAATGTCTATTCATGTCATTTTTTTTCACTTTCTGATGGGATTATTTTTTCTTGCTGATTTGTTTTCCTTGTTAATTCTAGATATTAATTATTTGCTAGATGCATACTTTGTAAATATTTTCTTCTATTCTCTGAGTTATCTGTTTACTGTGATGATTATTTCTTTTGCTGTGAAGGTTTTTAGTTTAATTATGTCCTTTTTATTTATTTTTGTTTTTGTTGCATTTACTTTTGGAGTCTTAGTCATAAAGTTTTGGCTTAGGTAAATGTCCAGATGTGTTTTTCTTAGTTTTTTTTCTAGAATTTTTATGGTTTTGGGTTTTATATTTAAGTCTGATCCATCTTCTAATTTTTGTGGATGGTGAGAAAGAGTGATCCAGTTTCATTCTTCTACATGTGGCTATCCTGTTTTCCCTGCATCATTTATTGAATAGGGTGTCCTTTCCTATTTATGTTTTTGAATGCTTTGTGGAAGTTCAGTTGGTTGTATACATTTGGCTTTATTTCTGGTTTCTCTATTCCTTTCCTTTGGTTTATTTATCTACCTTTATACCAGTACCATGCATGCTGTTTTGATTACTAAAACCTTGTATTATAACTTGAAGTCTCTTAACACTATGCCTCCAGATTTGTTCTTTTTGCTTAGAGTTGCTTTTGTAATTCAAGCTCATTTCTGGTTTCATAAGAATTTAGAATTGCTTTCTCTAATTCTATGAAAAACGATGTCAGTATTTTGATAGGAATTGCATTGGATCTGTAGATTGCTTTTAGCAGTAAGGTCATTTTCACAAATATGATTCTTCCTATCCATGAGCATGGGATGTATTTCCATTTGTTTATATCATCTCTAATTTATTTCAGCAGTTTTTGTAGCTCTCCTTATGGAGATCTTTCACTTATTTGGTTAAGTGTATTTCAATTTTTTTTCTGCTGCTATTGTAAAAGAAATTGAGTTCTTGATTTGATTCTCAGCTTGATCATTGTTGGTGCTATGCAGTAGTACTAATTTGTGTACATTCATTTTGTAACCTAAGATTTTATGAATTCATTCATCAAATAGAAGAGTCTTTTGGTGGAATTCTTAGGCTTATCTAAGTATATGCTTAAATCATCAGCAAACAGAGATAATTTGACTTCCTCTTTTCCAGTTCGGATGCCCTTTATTTCTTCCTCTTGCTTGATTGCTCTGGGTAGGACTTCCAGTACTATGTTAAGTAGAAGTGGTGAAAATGGGCATCCTTAACTTGTTCTAGCCCTCAGTGGGAATACTTTCAACTTTTCCCCATTCAATATGATGTTGGCCATGGGTTTGTCATATATAGCTTTTATTATTTTGAGATATGTTTATTCTATGTCTAGTTTGTTTAGGGTTTTTATCATAAAGCAATGCTGGATTTTACTGAATGTTTTTATGCATCTATTGAGATGATCATATGTATTTGGTTTTTAATTCTGTTTATGAAATACATCACATTTATTACCTTGTGTATGTTGAGTCATCCTTGCATCCCTGGGATGAGACTCACTTGATTATAGTGAATTGTCTTTTTGATATGCTTTTGGATTTGATTTGCCAGTATCTGTTAAGAATTTTTGCATATGTCTTTATCAGAGATGTTCATTTGTAGTTTTCTTTTTTTATGATATGCCTTTTTCTGGTTTTGGTATCAGGGTGATACTGGCTTCATAGAATGAGTTAAGGAGGATTCCCTTTTTCTCAGTCTTTTAGAGTAGTTTCAGTAGGCTTGGTACCAATTCTTCTTTGAATGTCTGGTAGAATTTGGCTGTGATCTGTCTGGGTTTTTTAGTCAGCATTTTTTTTTCTTACTTATACAATCTCACTGCTTGTTATTGGTCTGTAAGGATACCTATTTCTTCCTGGTTTAAGCTAGTAGGGTTGTATGTTTCCCGGAATCTATCTATTTTCTTTACTTTTATTTTTATGTGCATAGAGGTTACATAGTAGTCTCAAATGATCTTTTATATTTCTGTGATATTGGTTAAAATGTTTCCATTTTCATTTCTAATTGAGCTAATTTAAACTTCTATCTTCTTAATTGTTCTAATGTTCTAACTAATTGTTAGAACAGTTGTTAATTGTTCTAACAATCTTAATTGTTCTAACTAATGATCTATTTTATTTCTATTTTCAAATAACCAAATTTTGTTTCATTAAACTTTTGTATTTTTATTTCAATTTCATTTAGTTCTGCTTTAATCTTTCTTTTCTTCTCCTGGCTTTAAGTATGATTTGTTGTTTCTATAGTTTCTTGAGGTATGACATTATGTTGTGAATTTGTAATTTTTCAGACTTTTTTATGTAGGTGTTCAGTGCTAGAAACTTTCCTTTTAGCATTGTTTTTGCTATGTCCCAGAGGTTTTGATAACTTGTGTCACTATAATCATCCATTTAAAGAATTTTTTAATTTATTTCTTCATTTCATTGTTAACCCAATAATCATTAAGAAGCAGATTGTTCAATTTCCAGGTAATTATATAGTTTTAAGGGTTCCTTTTGGAGCTCATTTCTAGTTTTATTTCACTGTGACCTGAGAAGATACTTTATATAATTTTGACTTTTTAAAATTTATTGAGATTTGTTTTTGTGGCCTATCCTATGGTCTGTCTTGGAGGCTGTTCTATGTGTTGATGAGAAGAATGTGAATTCTGCAGTTTTTGGGTACAATGTTCTGTAAACATCTGTTAGGTCCATTTCTTCTGGACTGCAACTTAAGTCCAGTGCTTTTTGTTGTTGTTGACTTCCTGCTTCAGTGATCTGTCTAGTGCTGTCAGTGGAGTGTTAGAGTTCCTCACTATTATTGTGTTGCTGTCTATTCCTTTTCTTAGGTCTAGTAGTAATTGTTTTATAAATGTAGGAGCTCCAGTGTCATGTGCATACTTATGTAGAATTATTATATTTTGTTGAATTAATTATTTAATTATTATGTAATGACTTTCTTTGTTTTTTTTTTACTATTGTTGCTTTAAAGTCTACTTTATCTGATATAACTACACCTGCTTGCTTTTGGTTTCCATTTGCATTGAATATCTTTCTCCACCCCCTTACCTTGAATCTATGAGAATCTTTGTATGTTAGGTGAGTTTCTTGAAGACAGCAGATATTTGATTTGTGATTTTTTTTAAATCAACTCTGCCATTCTGTATCTTTTAAGTGGAGTATATAGACCATTTACAGCCAATGTCAATTATGAGACATGAAGTGGAGTTCCAGTCAGTATGTTGTTACCTAGAAATTTTAGGTTTTTTTTTTTTTCACTTTGTTATTGCTTTATAGGCTCTATAAGTTTTATACTTTCAAGACGTCTATTCTGATGCAGCTCAACCTTTTGTTTCAAGATTTAGCATTTATTGTAGGACTGGTCTGATAGGGACAGATTCCCTCAGCATTTGCTTGTCTGTGGAAGACATTATTTCTCTTTCATTTATGAGACTCAGTTTTGCTGGATACAAAATTTTTGACTAATAGTTATTTTGTCTAAGGATATTAAAGATAAGCCTAAAGATAGAGTGAACTTCTGGGCTGTAAGATTTCTGCTGAGAAGTCTGCTGTTAGTCTAATAGGTTTTCCTTTATAGGTTACTTGATACTTTTGTCTCACTGTTCTTAGAATTCATTTCTTCATGTTGACTTTAGATAGCCTGATTACTATATGGCTTTGTAATGTCAGTTTTGCAGTGAACCTCCCCAGAGCTCATGGAGTTTCTTGTATTTGGACATCTAAATATCTAGCAAGGCTAGCAAAGTTTTCTTCAATTATGTCCTCAAATAAGTATTCTAAAGGTTTTGCTGTTTCTTCTCCCTCAAGAACAGCAATTGCTATATTTGGCCATTTTACATAATCAGCTATTTCTAAGAGACTTTGCTTATTTCTTTGAATTCTTTTTCTGGCATTTCAAAGATTTCATCTTGGTTGGGATCCATTGCTGGGGACTTAGTGTGTTCTTTTTGAGGTGTTATAGAACCCTATTTTGTCCTATTGCCAGAATTATTTTTCTGGTTTCTTCTCATTTGGGTAGAGTATATCTTCTAATTACTTTTGAGACTATGTCTTCTAATTATTTTTGAATTTATTTTTTGACTTGACTGTGATTTTTCACTTTTTTTTTCACTTTGAGGATTTGACTTTAATGTTTATAGTTTATTGTAACCTAATTCAGCTCTGCGTGCTTTCAGGGGTGAAGACTGTATAAGTTCCCTGGTTATTTAAAATCTTTGTATGGTGGCTTTCTCAGATGCTAGTTGTGGTAACATTATGCTCAGTGTGTGTGTGTGGAGGTTCACTGTTTCCTGTGGGGTAGCAATGGCAGAGGTCTCATGAAGCTTATCTAGTTCCCAAGTTGTGTGCACTTTTTTGCCTTTTTTTTTCTCCCAGTGTTTTCTTTACCTGGTTGAATAATTCAGATTTCAGGCCAGTAGGGGTGGTGTCCCTGAGTGAAAACCAGCAGATTGGTAAATGCAATACCCAATGGTGGGAAGAAGTCCAAGCCTTGACCGAGGCATCTCTGGGAGCTCTTAGTGAAATGCACCGAGGTCTTTTCACGGGGAAGGGAGGGAGCCACTTCAGCTCCCTTGCCAGGCCCCCAGGAAAGCAGGTCACACTCCTAAATACAGTTCTAGCTATTCAGATTAGCAGGCCCTTTTTATTTGCAGGAATTCTGACGTTCCAAGTAGAGAGAGATTGTGATTCTATGCCTTATGCAAATCTGAATCTGGAGGGGACTCCTCCTCTGGGGATGCAGTTAACTTGAGGTGTTCCAGAAAGGCTATCTACAGGTCCACTCATGCTAAATTCCCATAAGAGAAGTACCAGCTGTGTCTGCAGCAGTGAATGAGGGGGGAAAGTCTTTTTCTTCAAGACCGTTCTGCAGATTTTCCCAAGTACAGCACTGTACCTGTGCCTCTACTGAAAGAAACTTTCCACAGGTCGGATGTTCTGGACTCAAGGCCTGCCATCTAGATTCTTTTTTCCATGGGGTGTGCCACTGATGTGCACTCCCCCTTATCCTAAGAGTAGGAGTCCCTGAGGGCCAGACTAGTATGAATGCTGCTACTTCTCTGGCTCTAGCCACCTAGTGGGACTGCCACACTCCAGGTTGGTGCTGGGGAATGTCTACAAGGGGTCCAGTAATGTGACCTGTTCTCAAGGCTCCGTAGTGAGTAGCAACAACAGCTCTCATGGGGGTGACAGGAGAATGACACAGACTCTGTGAGATTTCTTGATTATAAGTAGTCTTGGTGCATTGGTTTTTCTGTAATGCTACCTGTAGTAGTAATGAACTGGTCACATGGACAGACTCAGGACCTCCTAGTTAGCCAAGGTTATATAGGCAAAGGTGATAGCTTAGGTCACACACAAGTTTTCTCTTTCCTGTGCACTGTTAGTGTGCCTGCAGATGCTGTAATGGATTGTGTCAGTAGGCTTCCAGCCACAAGGTGGCACTTGAAAAAGAGCACCAGCTGGTAGCAGTGGGATTTGTGCTTGCCTTATGTTACCCAGGGGAGGTAATCTGATGACTCAGGCAATGGGCAGGGCCATTGAGCTCTCAAAATTTTCTATTCTTTGTGTTAAGCTACCAGGGCAGATGGAGGGGCAAAGCCAGCTGGGGGCTGAATCAGGCAAGTTCACATTCTGGCTCTCTTTTGTCTGCCATGTGTGGGCAAAAGCAGTGTCCCAAGTGGGGATCAGATAGTGGTCCTCTGGCTGTAGGAGTAATGTTGCAGGGAGTACCACAGCTGCCTCTGCTGCAGAGAAGCATCTGTATGAGGAATAGGGAGCAGCAGGCAGCAGTTAGCCCCACTCAGCTCCCATACACTTGGCAAAGCAAGTCTTGCACCTGCAGCCTCCCACTCACAGCAGCTTGGTTCCAAGCAGTCAACACTCAGAACTCAACACTGCCCAAGTCCATAAGACTTCCCAGAAGAGACTGCAACCATGGCTTCCAGGTCACACCTCTCCTAGTCGGCCCATGAAGCAGGGGCACCCAGCTCTTGCACCTATGGCTGCAGCACATTTCCCATCTGCCCCATGGTTCTGACCAAGGGGGTTTGTCTCCACTCGAGATTATATCACGAATCTCAGTTGAGAGCTTCTCTCAACCTGTGACCACTGCCTGAGTTACCTGGCTGACTTCTGTGAGGTCCCCTGTGAGGTAGGATCAGGGATGGCTTTCCTCTGTCCTGCTGGGCATGCACACTAAGCCCGTCCCCATGCTGCTACTTCTCATATATGCCCCACTGCTCACTAAATCAGCTCCAGTGCTGGGTGGGATTAAGGCCTTTCCCTGTGGCCTGGATTGCTTGGTTCCCCAGTAGGAGTATATGTCCTAGAGGCAGTTTACCCCTATCTGACATTCTAGGGACTTATAGTTTTCCTCCTGGCTCATGATGTGGACAGCAACCTGACACTTCTTTCAAAAGGTCTGTGCTTTCTTTCAGTTTTTTCCTGTTAATTTTCTGTGTTGCTTCTTGGAAAAAATTTACAATGTGAATCTCCACACACAATTCTGTCTTTCCAAATAGGAGAGGCATGCTAACAATGACTCTAATCTGCCATTTTGAGAAAAAAAAATACTGGAGGTCTTTATTATTTTTTTAATACTATAGCCCATTCTGAGTTTTCATTACAACCTCCACTCTAGTATTGTAACTACTTTTCACAAACCCTTATCTTTGGTAGCTGGATTTAATTCATTAATTTTAAAATTTTGATAAAAATTATGACTTAATTATATTATTATGTATTTTCATTTGATTATCTAGGTTTATGAAACTGACTAAACTAGTAATTATTTGATAATATGATTATATTCTGCCAATTCACTCTACATGTTCCTTGGATATGTTAATAAACAATAGAAACAAGTCCAACTAAAATACATCACTTATTCTGACTCTTGTTTTGAAAAATAAAACCTGACAAATCAAATAAAAGTAAATGAATTATTATTCAGACATCCACTTATGGTTTGGGTATATATTTTGACAGTCCATGAGAAAAATTCCTCCAAGGGTCTTCACTTCCAGACATAAAATCACTTTGTTGTTTTTCTAAAAGCTATTTTTAAAAAAATCAGCATCTTTTTAAATTCTCCCATCTATAAGTTGGCAAAAATATCTGTTGAGGTTTGTAAGCAACTTTAACATTTTAAATAATAAATGTAATATTTAGGGACAATTTAATTTAGTGACTCAAGGCATCTAATATTTGGTATCAGTATATGAATATTAACAAACATTTAGCCCTTTTATTTATAGTATTTTTTATAGTAAAACAATTTCTACTTTCTATTATGCTTCTTGTTCTGTGATAGTTTACTATTTCTGAAACTTTATTTTTTACAAAATTTCAAGTTGAGTCTAAAAAAATTATATTTTGTTGTTTTGAAAAATACATAGCCTAAAACTTTACATGCTAACAGTTGAGTTTTATCAGTGTTATTTTTACTAAACCTAATCACTATAAAATAGCTATATCTTGTGTATGTTAAAAATGTGAAATAAGATGAGAATGTATTTGCTATACAATTAATTAAATTATATGAATTAGTAGCAACTATTAAGATGCTTTGAATATTCCCTTAGGTGGACGAGAACATGTGAGCAAGTACTAGCACAGTGGTAGATGCTTTGTAAATTGCTCTTACTTTCCTAATGATTGACAGGCTAATAGCTAAATAACTAAGATATTATAAGCACTTTCTTAGAATTTAGAGATCCACTTAAAAGACAGGTTTTCATTAGGAATTTCTGTACTTTATTTCACATTTCCATAAAAAAAATCCTCATTGCAAGAACCACTGCACCTATTATATGAAAAAACTTAAGAGAAAACAATCAGGTGACCATTACCTCTAAAACATCTGATTTGATTTAGTTATCCTATAGGAATCAAGTATCAGGCTTTACAAGATCCTCTTTTTTCAATGTTGTTTTACTGACTAAAACAATGTTTAACATGACTAATTCACGTTTCTTTTTGTGATTTATTTTTACTTGATCTAATTTCTAAAGTGATCTTTATGAGGTGTCTTGCCTAAAAATTTGCCTATACTTATAAATGCATTTTCACTTACTACAACCTCATTTTTTACTGTACTATAGATGTACAGTTAGTTGAATGCATACATAATAATTTTGAGAATATATGAGGTTTTACATAAGAAGAATCATATTGAAGTGGTTATCTAGCATATCTAAAGAGGAAACAACAGAGAAGCAAGCTGGAAACAATATGTAGACATCAGTAATTATTTTAATTTCACAAGACAAACATTTATCAATCCTGTATTCAAAACCTACATATATGCTACTTAGGATGCAGAAATAGCTATGTATATTCATTGCCACCAAGTCATTTATGATCCAATTGAAGGGCAAATACAAACACAATGAAGTTTCTTTGTGTAGCAATTACACAAATAAAACTTTATAAGCTTGCCAAGAAAAGCAAGAACGAAGAAAGGAAAGAAGGAAGAAAAACAAATAGCAAAACAGAGCAATATTTAAATGTGGTTATGATTCAGCCAACCATTACATTTAATGATAATGTGCCTGTTTGGGAAAGAAAATAGAAGAATTAACTGAATGCCAAGGGGAGGGGGAAGGAACACAAGAAAAAATCAAAACAAAATAAAACTGTGAAAGATAATTAATGGGAATAGAAAAATTATGTACAAAAATCATTTTATTTGGAGAGTAATTTAGGAGATCTTTAGGAATATATTGGCTATATTCAAGTTCCTATACTTAAGTGCTACACAATAATAATTAAAGGTACCAGATTTAGTAAAGGGATTTTGCACCATGAATTTTTTTTCCTGTAAAGATACAAATATATCTCCTTAGTAGAACAGATAACCTCACAGATTTATGACACTGTTATATATCAATCTATATTTATTTATTTAACCAAGCAATCTTAATGTTATTTTGCTAAATTGCTTCTAAATGTCCCAGTTTCTCAGATTCCCTTTGTGTCATTTAAAACATCTATTTGTTATTTATTAATTCAAGTTAATATCTTTAAAACCTATTCATTTTATATTTGTCTGAGAGCTATGATTTTAAGCTTCTAAAAATTATATTTTAATAGAAATCAGGGACTAGTTACCTTTAATCTGGGGGAGATACTACGTATTTTAAAGCCTGAAGTCAATGTCTAGACAAAAGTTTCTGCTTAACATCAAAGGGTATGCAACATTTGCTGTGGCTCTCAAATATTAAGAAAGGAAAACATAACTGGGAATTTGTCACTAGCACTTTATTCTTTACTCAGGATTGAAGTAGAATTTTATAACACCAATATTTTTTAGAAACTTTAAACATTAGAAATAAAATAAAAACTAGCCCAATTCCAATATTCCCCATGGATTTCCTAGCAGAAGAAATGTGAAACTGTTATGGAGAAATAATCCAATACTGCAAACACAAGGATTTGCCACTACAGAAACTAACAAGTTAAATTGAAAACTATATTAAAAATAAATTCACAAACAAAAATTACAAAATACACAATGAAAAATAATATACATGCCAGGCGCGGTGGCTCACGCCCGTAATCCCAACAATTTCGGAGGCTGAGGCGGGTGGATCACCTGAGGTCAGGAGTTCAAGACCAGCTAGGCCAACATGGCAAAACCCCGTCTCTACTAAAAATACAAAAAATTGGCCAGGCATGGTGGCAGGTGCCTATAATCCCAGATATTTGGGAGGCTGAAATAGGAGAATTGCTTGAACCTGGGAGGTGGAAGTTGCAGCGAGCTGATATTGCACCATTGCAACCCAGCTTGGGCAACAAAGTGAGACTCTGTCTCAAAAAAAAAAAAAATACCAACAATAAGAGTCAGCAGATGTAAAACAGCAGAATTAAAAGTATGTGTAAAAATAGATGAATAATTTGAAAAAAATTATAAAATTAATAATATGTAATGAACATATATAAACACTAAAGACATTTAAAAAGAAATGAAGAGCAGATTTGGCAAAGGATATCCAAAAATAAAAATATAGTAATTGAATTTAAAAACCTATGAGATATGGATGATTAAAATTAGTATAATAAATATATATCACAGAGAAATAAAGTTATCAACATAGAGCAAGACGGACAAAAAATATTATTATATTAGATAATTTGAGTGCATTTAAGATGGTATTGAGGCAATATCTAGAGGTAATAACTGGAAATTTTCTGTAAGTCATTAAAGAAAAAAAATTTTCACATTCAGGAATTGGACAATTTCTGAACAGAATTGATAAAAATAAATCCAAACTAGAAAGAACACTGATTTGGTGAATATTTTAAAAAGAAGCTAGTTCACTGAAAAACTAATACAATACTGCAATGGCATACCAAGTTCCAAATGCAAAATATACAGTGCAAGATAGAATACTATACACAGCGCTGAGACTTTTTGGGTCTACAAAATTTTAAGAAAGCACACTCATGGATTCATTGAACAACTGTTTTTAAAGTAACAAAGAAAGAAAAAAGAAAACACTAAAAAAGACAAGTGTGAGAAGCAAGTGGCAACTGTAAACCTGTTAAATGTAAGGGTAAATCTAAATAAGCATTAATTATTTAAAAATGTGAGGTCAGGAGTCCAGTCCCACCTGGGTAACAAAGTGAGGCATGAGTTACAATTAAAATACTAGAAAAGTATTGACCATTTCAATTAAATGTTTCTTTCAAATCACTAATTATTTTCATGTTCCAAAATATAAAGGTTAATTTTTTATTCTCATTTTATTGATCTATCAGTAGTCTCTTTTTCTTTAATTAAAAAACAAACAAACAAAAACACATAAACAAACAAACAAACAAAACCAGTTTTTTTCTTTGGCTTCCAGAACACGTCCTCTTGGCTTTCTTCTTATGTCTTTGTATGCTATTTCTTAGTCTTTGGAACACTTCTGTGTCCACCCCCACTCCCTTGATGAGTTGTCACAGAGCCATGGTTTACAATATTGTTTATGCTAAGAACTTGCAAATTTGTACCTCTACCTCTTACTTCTCTTCTAAATGCCAGGCTCTTACATCCAACTTCTTATGCTGTCTTCTTTTGAGAAGCTAATAAATATCTCAACTTTGAAATGCACATTCTCACCAACGACCATTTGTCTCAGAGCAAAAATCTTAGAGTCAATCCTGCTTATTTTCTTTGTCAAGAATTGCACATCCAACCTTTCAGCGAGTCTTGCTGCTTGCTCTACCTTCAGAATCTATCCAAAGTTAGTCACTCTCTTAGTCTCTCCCAGAAACAGATCCCAGTAAAAACATTCAATCAGAAGTAATTTGGGATGTAGAGAAAAACTGTATTCTTTTTCTTCCCTCAGCCTTTTGATGTGTTTATTTCAATGCTATTTTTACAATGTTACTTACTGAATACATTAATTAAAATTGTAATCTGCCACTATTACTGTGTATCCTGCCTTACTTTATTTTCTTCACAAAATATATAACTTTTCAACACCTGTCTATATTTTATTTCTTTTGTGTCATCCTATATCTGACTGTAATCTTTACAAAGGCAAGGATTTTTTTCTTTAATATCCTAAATGTAGATGTTTGTCTCTAGTAGATTCAATGGTGCCTCCCAAAATATGATAAATATGCACATATCTTTCCATATGCTAGCCCACAGAAACTGTAGATGTGACCTAATTTTTTTGTATATATTAATAAGGATCTTGAGATGACATCATACTGGATGATCCTAGTGCACCCTAAATCCAATAAGTGTTCTTATGAAAGACAGAAGAGGAGAAGATACAGAAAATAGAAGGCTATTTGAGGATGGAAGCAGAGCTTGGAGTTATGCAGCTACAAACCAAAGAATGCCTTGAACCACCAGCAGCTGAAAGAGGTAAAGTAGGATCCACCCATAAACACTTGAGAAGGAAAGTGGGCCTACCTATACCTTGATTTCAGATTTCTGCCCTACAGAACTGTAAGAGAATATATTTCTGTTGCTTTAAACATTTACGTTTGTGGTAATTTGTTATAACAGATCCAGCAAACTCATATACTGGCACTGAGCAGATATTCAATAAGAATTGATTATGAATTATAGTCATTATGATAGTGTGGCATTGACTCAGAGATGAACAATTTGTTCACTGGACTATAGCAGGAAATTCAAAAATTCATGGACGACTTTTGATATTTTACATATGAATTGTCATGTCACCCAGAAAAATGAATAACTATTCATAACATAGCAGTGATGCATTTGATTAACATATAGAAAAATTGTAAATTGTATTCTAACATCACATTAACTTCAAATGTGAAAGATATCTTGTATCACTTTTAAAGAAAATATAAAATATATTTTATTTAGTAAAATTGAATTTGTAGAATGATGACTTTTTTTTTTACTTTACTGCTTAATACTTGAGAAATTTTCCTCTTTGATGAGGCTGTTAGAAAACAGGAACTCTAACAATTATATAGTGGGAAGATAAATTCATACAACGACTTTGGAAAGCTACTTGACAATGTAAGGATGAAAGTGCCCAAAGTTGTAAAATTTCCCTGCTCTATGTCTATCCTATGAAAATTCTAATATATATAAACAACAAAACCATAAATATTTATTGTAGCTTTGTTTTTAACATTTACAATGGTAAATATAAAAATGCCAACATTTCCTGATATGAAAATTGATAGCTTTATATTATATATATAATGAAATCCCATATAGAAATTAAACAAAAACGGATACCCAAGTATCAGCTGCAATGGTTCTCAAAAATATCATAGTGAGATTATAAAGCATGTGTTGAAATAATACAGATAAAACAATAACATCTTATTTAAATTTGAAGATACAAACACTACCGTATGCGTTATAAAATATTCTATACACAGACCTGTACTTAAAAATAGAGAAATATACAAGGGGATGCTAAACAATTTTAGCCTGTAGTTATCCCTTGTAGAATTTCTTATAATCTTGTTTCTGGTTATGTTGCTGTATCAATTATTTTTCATGTTTGGGTATGTGTGAAATATTTCATAAAAGGAAGTTGGACGTTTTAATAATACATTGACTTTAACAGGAGGAAGAACAGGTGATTGGGGTATTTTGTTGTATACCAACACATGACTGAAATAATCATCTATTCTAATTCTGTTCAGTTCAGTGGAAAGTCTTTGAAGGTTTTTTAACAGAGTTGCAGTTTGTCATATCTTTGAGAACATTGTGTTAGATTAAGTGGAACAGAAATGCTTAGAGGGAAGGAGATTAAAATAATGTGTTGTATGGATATTTGAGGTGACATACAATAGAACTGGAAAATAGAGAAACTTCATGAAAAATAGTATAAAAAGAGACATAAATGACTTACCAATTGACTCTGCTGTGTTTGATAGATGGGAATTGTAGTCGTAACATTGGATGAAATAGGAAAGACAGACTAGTAGAGCTCTTTGGAGGCAAGTTCTATAAGTTCTTTTTACATTTTGAGTGGAAGTTTTCACTTTTAAATGAAATGCATATGGATAAAAAATAAAGGTAAATATAGTTATTATGAAATTGTCAACATAAAATGAGAGTTGATGCATAAAAATGAACAGACTGGAAAAAGGGAACTTTTTAAATATAAAAAAAATTGCTTCTTTTCTGATAGTATTCTTTCTTCTTAAACTTCATGATTATTCCTGGAAATTAAAGTGAAAAAAACTATCATAAAACTATGACTCTATCATACTGTAACATTTCAGGGCCCACATTATTATACCTCCTCTCTCCATCTTGCATGACTGTTTAAAATGGTTCTGTTTGATACACTGACACTCAATTTCTTTTTATATGGAATGTAATTTGGGAGATTCTCTAAACAATCTGTATAATGGCAGACATGGAGTACAACTGAAATTAGAAATATTCTGTTGTAGTTTCCATTCTTTCTTAAAGGTTTTAACATTTTGTTATGAACATGACAAGCCTTATTTTTTTTTCCACACATAGAAGGAACACGAATTATAAATAGAACAAAACACTGTGAAATACTGCAAATGTAGAATAATTATTTGATCTCATGCACACACCTCGGTAATTTAAATTAAATTCTATAAGTTAATGACTAAATATTTTAAAATTAACTACTTTAAATTAAGATGTATTTAGAAATAATTTTAATGTTATTGAAATTTTTTTAAAAAACCTATTGTAACATAAGAAATCATGATATAATGCAAATACTACATATTTTCAGAAAATTTGGTAATGAATATCAACTCCCAAAAAACCATCTTAGTCATTGCATAAAATTCTACAAATGATATCTGATTTTAATTTAGAGGAAAGTACATGAACTGAAAGTCCCAACTGAATAAATGCTTAAAAAAGGATGATTTAAAAAAAATTAAAGGTAACATTTATTAATTAAAATAATTCTGATAGAAAATCCTAACAATGTACATTATTGTCTAGATTTATAATTCCGTAAATTAAATATACATCCCCCTGCAAGTGGCAATACTTCAAAAATTAATTCTAGTTTACAATTTAGTATAAAATAATGTATTAAAAGTGTCCCTGAAAGATGGAGTTTAATGGAGAAAAATGAGGAATATTATGAGTATCAGGACATGGAGAAGAGTAAAAAGTCAATATTGTGGGACAAATTAAATGACATAAAAAATCACCTTTTTTCATTTGATATAATGTAATGGTTATAAAATATCTTCTCAAGAGTTCTTCAACTGTCATTTCATTGAGATGTGGGGACTGGGGTCTCTGACCTTGAATCTGGGGGGACTTTTAACTTCTTTGACTAAGAGAATACAAAAAAAAGCAATGCTGTGTAACTTTTGAGACCTGGCCTAAATCGACAATCTGACTTCTGCTCACTTTTTTTCAGAATCCTCCATCTCAGGAGGGCCCCAGTATTGCCAGGCTGGGAGAAACCCAAACCATGAGGATAGACCATGAATAGGAGTTCTGGTTGACAATCCCAGTTCATTCCTAGCTTCAAATACACAAGGCCAAGTGCCAGATATGGGCATAAAAAGCAATTTGGAAGTGGACACTCCAGTCCCAGCTGTCCTAGCCCTCAGCTATTTGAGTTGCATTCAGACATGTAAATCTTCCCAGCTGAGGCCTCATCATTGAGGTGCAGAAAAGGGGCATGCCCACTGTGCCTGTTTCTAAATTCCTGACCCACAGAACCTGTGAGCATAATACAAGTTTACTATTTTATACCAGTAAGTTTGGGGTATAGTATTATGCAACAATACAAGCTGATGCACAAAAAATATCTTCTTTGTTGCATAAACTCTATATAAACTGGCATATGCTTAGTTCTTAAACCTCTCTCCAATCTCCTTCTCTTTCCCCATACTCAAACTAATCTTTTTTTTCTGCTCCTTCAACAAACCAGCACTTGTATTTACACATTAGATAAATTGCACCATTAACTTAAAAAACACAATTTCCAAGATTTTTACAATACTGTGTCTTATAGTTTAAAGTATCTCAGCCTTTAAGTATCACTTGTTAGATAACATTTAGTTGCCAATCTTTTTATAATTGCTTTCTCTTACTCTACTCCTTAGCTTACAGTCCTTTCTGCCATATTTATCGTATTTGTATAACAGATCAAAATCTGTGGTTATCTATTTATTTACCTAATTTTCAGCTCTCTCCACTTATTATCATATAAGTTACAAACATTTCAGGTCATATCTTCAGTTTACCACACTATACCAGTAGCTTAAATATCACATTACCCATACTAGCCACTCAAAAATATTTATTATGGAATTAATGGAACTCTAAATTTAATCTGGTCTCCAAACTAAATATATGGCATAAGTATCAATATAGGTTTCAGGTAGATAGGGTTTAGCTATAAGGAATACAGGGTGCAACTAAAAGCAGTTTTCACAGGCAAGATGTTTACTTACTTCTACAAAAGAAAGAGTACAAGCCAGGACAGGATAAGAAGAGCAGCCACACAGGGACGCTGAAGATTTGTTATACACATGTAGGGACATTAATAGCATTTCCTTAGAAAGAGGTATGATATAAGATAGCATGATGCCTGTAGCACCCTGAGTCATGATTGCTCATATTGCAGCCAAGAAAAATAGGAAAGGCTGAAGCAGCAAAGGGCAAAGGGGCAAAAGGCCAAAGCCATGCAGGCCAAGTTTGTGCTTTTTTAAAGGCTTTCCTAGGAACCTATCTTATGATATCCATTTCAATGTCACAAAATTCACATGGCCACACCAAGAAACATGGATATTTTACTTTCCAAATAAAAAACTAGGCAAGAGAAGTTTACATTTGCATAGCCTATCAATAGTGTCTGCCAAGATATTTCCATTTTTTAGTGTATCAGAAAATTGGGCACACATGACTAACGTACTTTATTCATTTTAAATAGAAACAAATGTGTGTGCATATATATATAAAAGATACATATTTATATGTGTGTAAATATGTGTGCGTGTATGTGTGTGTGTGTGTAAAACCAATCAACTTCTGCTTAAAAACTTCTGTAAAACTCATTTTTTTTTCCAGTATGTTTCCTCTGAAGGCAATCTTCACATCTAGGGAATATTAATGGTAATAATAACAGCATTGATTTATTGAGAGTTTTCCTATGTAACAATTACTATACAAGTATGCCATTTAATCTATTTCTCTAGTTTCAATATTAATATTGGTACTTAATAAATGAGTAAACTGAAAATAATAAGTTTAAAATCTTTTTTCACAGCTAGTCAGCAATACAACTAGGATTTGATATCAGATTCATACAATTCCGAAGACCCTGACCACTAAATGCAAAAGGTACATGGCAACAGCTGATTGCAATGAGAGAAAAACAACTAATAAGGCAACAAGCAGGATACTAAGATATTTTCCAAAATGAATAGCACTGATTCTGTGAGGAATGAACATTGCCAAACAAGTGTTTTGTTTTGTTTTTCAACTCCTCTAAAAAATTCACATATATGCATGCCACTTTCCTGAAAAATATCTGCTTCATAATTGCCATAAGAAACTGTATGGACAACTCTTAAACATTCTGAAAGTAGTCAGGGATGGGGGAAAGCATTTGCTGTTTTAGTCTGTTCCTGGTCTTATAATAAATATCACAGACTGGGTAATTTATGATTATAGAAATGTATTTCTGAAAGTTCAGGAGTTGGGAAGTTCAAGATTATGGCACCAACATATTCATTGTCTGATGAGGGCCTGTTTCATAGATGTCATTTTGCATGACTTAATCATATGGTAGGAAAAGCAAAGGGACAAAATGGACAAATGCCATGTTGTCACATGGCAGAAGAAATGGAAGAGCCAGGAAGCTCTCAGAAGCTTCCTTTATTAGGATATTAATCTCATTCATGAGTGCACAGCCATTATGACTTAATTGCCTCCAAAGGCCCCACTTCCTCATCACTTTGAGGATTAAACTTAAACATGAATTTGGAGGAAATATATTCAAACTCTAGGACTAGTTTAAATGTAGCTAAAAAGGTTTCTTCATTCTGTAATCGTTAATATGCTAATATTTTTGTAAATATCCAAGAGGAAGCTAAAGCATATAATATTCCAAAATTTATTTGTTTGTGGATATTATGTTTTCCTCTCATTCAATCTCAAGAAATTAGTGTCCTCAAGAAACACTATATAGGATAATTGTCTTTCAAGTTCATCAACTACCGGTTCTTGATTCTTCAGTAGCTAATCCTAGATAGTAATACTTAACAGATTATAAAAACTTGGGTGCTGCTATATAAATGCGCTGAAACTCCCAGGGAACCAAACATAAGGACTTAAAGAGAGATGTAACTAGGGATCATAATCATGAATTTCAGCTGCTTCTCTATCTTTGTCAGTGAGCAAATGACCATACAAAATAAGGTATTCAATTATTAATTCTGTGCCCATATCCCGGAATTTTGCCCAATATATTTGTAAGTTTAGATAAATAAGGCACTAATGCCAGGGATATGTAGCATTAGTTCTGGGTTTATAAAGGGATATTCACAACCTCTTGCCATCCACAGAATTTATCAGCCCAAAGTAAACTATACTCGTTTGTTAAGGGCAACCTGAAACATGTTTAAAACTGAGGTAGACTGAAGAGTCAACTAATTGCAGGAATCTTTTGTTATTTGGTTGAAATGTTCAAACAAGTCCCACTCTGAATTCTATTAGAAGTCCATCATTGGCTTCTCTCTCTTTCTCACTGTCTTAAATCATGTATTTTATAACACTATGAAGAATGAAGTTCAAAAGAATAAGCTAAATTTAATTAATTAAATTATTTATTTATTTATTTTGGGACAGAGTCTCACTCTGTCACCCAGGCCAGAGTTCAGTTGCACGATCCTGGCTCACCGCATCCTTCACCTCCTGGGCTCGAGATCCTCCTGAAGCAGGGCATTTCCCTGACCCCTTCATGGGACTCGTGACAGGGGTGCCCCATTTACTCAGCCCACTGCTCTCAACTCCTCAAGGGAGGGAGTGTGTAATTGAATAAGGCAGGAACTGGAGTACATGAGTGCTGGAACCAGTGGCCTCTTTGGTGCCAGAAGGAGTGAACTCACCCACTCTGACCTGCTGTGTTCCACCTCTTGCAGGAGAGAGCATGCAGGTGAGCAGGTATAGGAGCCAGGAAGAGAGCTCTGGGGTGTTGGCAGGAGCAAACTCCATGTGGGCCTCATAGCAGCCCCTGGTGTTAGGGGGGGTGCCTGTGATTCCTGAAGCCCCAGTGGGCATATTACAGTGCTCCTTTAGCTCTGCCATCTTCAGACAGCTGAAGTGTTAGCAGCTCAGCATGCCTTTTTGTATCCACACTCACTCCTGAGCTCTTGTTTGGCATCCAGGAAAAATCAGCTCACAGAAACGAATTGAAGGATGGTAAATGCAGAGGATTTTATTGCCAAGGAAAGTGGCTCTCAGCAGGAAGGGCAGCTGGGAAGGACATGTAGCAGGAAGGTTTCTGGCTGGACTCTTCTCCAAAGTTGCACTGTCAAACTGTCTCTCTGAAATCAAGCTGCTTCTCTCCAACGTCCAACCATAGTCTCTGATGCCTAGCTGCTGCTTCTCTTTTGATGTTCAGCTGCTTCTCTTTTTTGCTAGCTGAGTCTGGGGTTTTTATGGGCACAGGATGGGGAACAGGGGAGGTCATGGGTAATTTTGTAAAAGGCAACATTTGAGTGGGAAAACAGGAACGTATGTTCTCACTTTGGGCTTTGGTTCCAGGCTTGAGGGTGGAGCCCTTGCCAGGGACCTGCCCTCTTTTGCCCAGAATTTCCCTGCCTCCCTTCCCTATCACTCCCACCCCATCACTCCCACCTCAACATCCTGAGTAGCTGGGATTATAGGCGCACACCACCACATCTGATTAATATTTAAATTTTTTGTAGAGACAGGGTTTTGTCATGTTGCCCAGGCTGGTCTCAAACCCTGGGCTCAAGTGATTTGCCCACCTCAGCCTCCCAAAGTTCTGGGATTACAGATGTGAGCCAGTGTGCCTGGCCCTAAATAATATTTATATGGGCATTTTGTAATTATTATTTTTTAATAATATAAATGTTTCCTTTTTAATATGAATTTTTCAAGAGTTTTAAAATTGACTGATTATTCATTAAAATTTAATGAAGGACAGGAATTGGCTATTTTTCTGAATGACAAAAATTAGGAAATTTTTAGAGAGATGATGAATTTATCCTAGAATATATGGAAAGAGTAAATCTTGTTATATAGAAAAAGCTACTTTCCAATCCGAAGGATCTTAGAATAATAAATTTTTTTTTTCTAGTTTCCTTATAATTGTTTCAAAGTAATACTTTAGACCAAAAATTGTATATCTCAGTAGGTGGCCTATATGATAATTAAAAAATTAAAAGCTAAGTTAATTAAATTTTTAATTATTTTAATTTTTATTAATTTTAATTATCAATCTTCATTGAAGAATTTTGTCCAAAAAATGTGGACAATATGTGTCATAAGGATTAATCAGCATAAAATAGTCCCCAAAGGAAATTAAAGGACCGATTAGATAGTACTAAAATAACAATCATACAAAGTAGAAAGTGGTGTTATAAGAGAAATGTAGATAAAATATTGTAAGAAACTAAAGCAGGAAGATAATGGTTTGAGTTGTGGGAGATCAGGGAAGATTTTTTGGAAAAAGTAACGTTTAAGCTAGATCTTAGAGAGACATGACTTAATAGAAAAGTAGGCAAAAAAATATGAATAACCCTTTCAGATTACAGGCAATACAAATTATGATAAATATAAAAAAATTCTTACTTTACTAGTAATCAAGTAATTGAATTAAACAATTGGATACCAATTTTTCTTCAGCAGACTGGCAAAACATAAGATGTTAACAAGGGTTTTGAGGGTACAGGGAAGAGGGTAGGCTCAAACTATGCTGGTATCAATGTATAACCAAGATCTCCTTTGGAATACAATTGTTATATAGTCTACATTCTGTAAAAACTAAACACATATGTTTGCCTTTCCACTTTTGGAAATACATGGTAGATAATCATGCAAGAATGTCAATTGCAGTATTGTGTTGTAATTTTTAAAAATACTCAAAATATTTATCAATATATAACTACAAATAAAAATAGTTGGACTATCATGCAGACTACAATGCCTCTATTGTGGCATAATAGTTAATAATACAATCTCTGAGAGCAGAATATCTGGATTTGAATAATTTGCTCTCCCTCTAAATGACCTTGAGCAAAGTACTTACAATCTTTTTCTCTCTTCTGTAAAATGGAGATAACAGCATTGCCAATTTATTAGCTTGTCATGATGATTAAATGAGATAATCCATATATCACACCAAGTACCCACTACATAATAAGCAACTAATTAAATTTGACTAATATTAATAATTTCATTATTATTCATCTTAATATCATGGCATGACTTCTAAGGTATATTATTAAATAGAAAAAGAGAAGTTTTAAACTGAGCCATAGTTTAGAACTTGACTTAAAGCAGACTCACAAAGCAAATGCTCATATCTAGGACAGGTAAATCTACACGTGTTTATACACACATTCACTGTGTTTGGGGAAAATACACACCAAACTGGAAACACTGGTTGTCTCTGAAGAAGAGACAGGGCTTTGGCAATATTCAAATTAGGCTTTAACTGTTTCTGAAAGTTTCAGTTCTCTATAAGGAGAAGGTATTACTTATGTAATTTTTAAAAATTACATATTAAGTACTAAATGACTGAAGCTTCTTAGAATTGATGGGGGCAGGCATCACATGGGCAGCAAGGCATTCACATAATGGAGAATCATGGTCTCCTGTAGATGTCTAGGAGTGATAAAATTAACTACCTTTTAGGTGGTGTAGTTTCCTGGTTGAGCTGATAATTATTAAGTTAATGATTAGTAGGTTATTTCTCAACACTGAAGAGATTATTAGTGTTTCAAAGTTTTCACTGTAATTCATCTGTAAAACCATTCAACCTACCTCCAGTACACCTCAGTAATCTGGTGACAAGAGAGTATTCTTGCACACTTTATTTCCTCTTCAGTGATCTAATGCCAATAATGCCAGCCTATAGAAACAACAGCCAATTATAACAAAAAGCACATTAAAAAGTCAAATATAGCTGAGTAATAGACATAAAAATACCTTATTAACATTTTTGTAACACTCTCAACTGAAATAAACAGACCACTCTCGATTTTAGCATCTGGTTCCAAACAATTCTTGTTTGGGTGATAACTTTTTAAAAACAAATGCTGGGCATCTTTCATCGACTTTTCATCAAGTAACAGCTGTTCCTTTAGAACAAAATGTATGCATGTTGGAAGGGTGACTGATGCTCACTTCTGTTTTGTTCTGTGTGAGAAAGCTTTATGTTGGGTGCAATTCAGAAAACAAATGGTTTCAAATCTTTTGAATAGATGCCATAGCACAGTTTAAATGCAGCTTCTTGTGATTTTTAGAATAATTTCAGCCACAATTTTTACATTCAATTTATAACTATACTAAGACATTCTCCTTCAGAACAAAGGCATTTCTGTTTTCATGTGCTCTTGGGCATCTTCGGGTCATTCATTATATCAATCATTTATCTTCGTAAAGTGTTTGGCTATGAACAATTACTTACTACACCAAAACATGAAAGAAATAGATATAGCTCATCTGCTCTTGAATGCATTTCTACAGATTCCCTTAGGATAATTCCTGTTTCAACTTAAGCTATTAAATTTTTTGCTGAATTCAAATCACCTAATCTGCTGAAACATGTGGAGACAAATAACCACAGACGTTTGCATGAAGGTTCAGGTGTATTTAAGGGCAGCTTAATTATAAGACACTATGAAATTCTCCTAATTAATTTGGAGCTAAATATTCTACATCAAATATTTTACAAAACTTAAAGAAATATTTACTTTTCACATGATTACGATTTTGATACTAGGTTAAAAATGACTTATATTGGCATTTTTTAAACAGTTTAAGACAAATAATGTTTTTGATACTGTTTATTATAACATATGAAAAGTCTTTATATTTATGCAAATATACTCTATTTTATTGTCTGTTCATTTCATGTTGCATTTGCATGCACTCCTGAATTACTTGTTACTAAAACATACAGAACAGACAGAAAGTTAAAATTGGTTAATTTCTATCTAATCTGGATAAGATAAACACAATGAGTGAAATAAATCATTATGTCAAATAACAAAAACCTCATGCATAGAAACTTCAACATTTCTGAATAACAAAAAGTATAACATTATGTAGGGCAAGGTGCCACTTTTGTATCAACTAGAAATAAGCCCTGAATCTGAATGATGAAATTTTAATAGTAACTGTTGACCGCAGGGCAGAGTTTACTCTCTTGGTCAGATGCTTTTGTGAATGACACAGTGTGTCCAGATCACTTTTCCCTATAATCACTTCAAATTACTTGACTTTTTGATCTGTTCCTTTTTTCTGTCTCTTTTTTGTCCACAACAGATATTCCAAATATCCACCGAGTTTTCAAATACTCCAGTCCATAATTGGTCTTCCCATTCCTAGCAGAAGTACTTTGTCTTCTACTTCCCAGAATAATGTTAATTCTCTTATTTTAGACTTGCTTGCTTTAATTTGTATTTGTTCTTGGCTTTTTTTCTTTCCATCTCACAGGATAAGAGGGCATCTCTTCTTCCATATTCATAAATACGTTGCCAACAGGAATTTGTTGTTATTTACACTTTCTTCTCCTAGACATTTTAATTTTACTTACCTTCCCTGAGCACATGGCAAAGTCAAAACACAAGCAGAATCTTACTTATGAATAGAGGCAGATTTATTAAGCCAGGGGTAGGCAAACTATAGCCAATAAGCCAAAGCCAGGCTGCCACGGGTTTTTATAAATAAAATTTTATAGGAACTCAGCCACAGACATTCCTTTACATATTGCCTACAGCTGCTTAAGCACTACAAAGGCAAAGTTGCATATTTACAACACAAATCATATGGCCTGCAAGCCTAAAGTATCTACTATCGTGCCCTTTATAGAAAATGTTTATCAGCTTTTGTTCTCTTATCCTAAGTTATGAGGCTTACATTTCTGGCCACCTCATTTGCATTTGAGTTTCCAGTTTTGAGTTTGTTGTTTTGTATTCTTGCTTAAAGAGCCCCAAACCCTGACCTCCAAATTGAATGTGCTGTAGATCCCACAAAATATGGATCCAATCAAGCTGATGCCATGTCATTATCTGTAGCTTTTATTCTTTGCCATCACACACCTTCCTTGAACAGTTAGGCTTCTGCAAAAAATCTTAAATAATCACTGATATGGGTTGGTTCTGTGTCTTCACCCAAATCTCATCTTGTAGCTCCCATAATTTCCACGTGTTATGGGAAGGATCCAGTGGGAGATGACTGAATCATGAGGGCACGTATGTCCCATGCTGTTCCTGTGATAGTGAATGGATCTCAGGAGATCTGATGGTGTTAAAAATGGGAGTTTCTCCACACAATCTCTTTTTTGCCTGCTGCCATCCATGTAAGATGTAGCTTACTCCTTCTTGCCTTCCACCATGATTATGATGCCTCTCCAGCCATGTGGAACTGTAAGTCCAACAAACCACTTTCTTTCGTAAATTGCCCAGTTGCAGGTATGTTTTTATCAGCAGCATGAAAATGAACTAATACAGTAAATTGTTACCAGTAGAGTGGGGTGCTGGTGGAAACATATCCAAAAATATGGAAGCGACATTGGAACTGGGTAACAAGCAGAGGTTGGAACAGTTTGGAGGACTCAGAAGAAGACAGGAAAATGTGGCCAAGTTTGGAACTTCCTAGAGACTTGCTGAATGGCTTTGAACAAAATGCTGACAGTGATATGGACAATGAAATCCAGGCTGAAGTGGTCTCAGCTGGTGATAAGGAACTTGTTGGGAACCGGAGTAAAGGTGAATCTTGCTATGTTTTACCAAAGACACTGGTGGCATTTTGCCCAGCCCTATAGATTTGTAGAACTTTGAACTTGAGAGAGATGATTTAGGGTATCTGGCAGAAGAAATTTCTAAGCAGGAAAGCACTTAAAATGTGAATTCGGTGCTGTTGAAGGCATTCAGTTTTATAAGGGAAGCAGAGCATAAAAACTTGGAAAATTTGCAGCCTGACAATGCAATAGAAAAGAAAATCCCATTTTCTGAGGAGAAATCCAAGCCAGCTACGGACATTTGCATAACATAACGGGGAAAATGTCTCCAGGACATGTCAAAGGTCTTTACCTCAGCCTCTCCCATCACAGGCACAGAGACCTAGGAGGAAGAAGTGGTTTTGTGGGCTGGGCCCAGGGTTCCTTTGCTGTGTGCAGCCTAGGGACTTCATCCCCTGCATCACAGCAACTCTAGCTATGGCTGAAAGGGGACAACATAGAGCTCAGGCTATGGCTTCAGAGGGTGCAAGCCCCAAGCTTTGGCATCTTCCATTTGGTGTTGATCCTACGAGTGCACAGAAGTCAAAAATTGAGGTTTGGGAACCTCTGCCTAGATTTCAGAAGATGTATGGAAACGCCTGAATGCCGAGGCAGGAGTTTGCCATATGGGTGGGGTCCTCATGGAGAACCTCTGCTAGGGCAGTGCAGAAGGAAAATGTGGGGAGGGAGCCCCCACACAGAATCCCTACTGGGGCACCACCTAGTGGAGCTGTGAGAAGAGGGCCACCGTCTTCCAGACCCCAGAAGTGTAGATCCTCTGACAGCTTGCACCGTGTGCATGGAAAAGCTGCAGACACTTAACACCAGCCCATGAAGACAGCCAGGAGGGAGACTGTACCCTGCAGAGCCAGAGGGGTGGAACTGCCCAAGACCATGGGTATCCACCTCTTGCATCAGCGTGACCTAGATGTGAGACATGGAGTCAAAGGAGCTTTAGATTTGACTGCCCTTCTGGATTTCAGAATTGCATGGGGCTTGTAGCCTCTTTGTTTTGGCCAATTTCTCCCATTTGCAATGGGTGCATTTACCCAATCCCCTTACCCCTGTAACCCCATTGTATCTAGGAAGTAACTAACTTGGTTTTGATTTTACAGGGTCATAGGTGGAAGGGACTTGCCTTGTCTCAGATGAAACTTTGGACTGTGGACTTTTGAGTTAATGCTAAAAAGAGTTGACATTTTGGGGGACTGTTGGGAAGGCATGACTGGTTTTGAAACATGCAGATATGAGATTTGGGAGGGGCTGGAGTGAAATGATATGGTTTGGCTCTGTGTCCCCATCCAAATCTCATCTTGTAGCTCCCATAATTTCTATATGTAGTGGGAGGGACCTGATGGGAGAAGACTGAATCATGGGGGCAGGTCTTTCCCATGCTGTTCTCATAATAGTGAATGGGTCTCACAAGATCTAGTGGTGTTAAAAACAGGATTTTCTCTGCACAAGCTCTTTTTTTGCCTGCTGCCACCCACATAAGATGTGTCTTGCTCCTTTTTGCCATGATTGTGAGTCCTCCCCAGCCATGTGGAACTGTATGTCCAATAAACCTTTTTCTTTTGTAAGTTGTCCAGTCGTGGGTATGTCTTTATCAGCAGTGTTAAAATGGACTAATACAATCACTCTATCAAATGAGATAATATTTATTCCTTTACCACTGACAACTCTCTCTCTTGGCTCTTCTATTCAATCATGTTACTGATAGACGCTTTGCTTTTTGTTTTTGTTGTTTAACCTGATTGTTATAGGTTATTTTATGAATTTCTGTTCTTCTTTTAATTTTACAACAATTTTACTATTTCTCCTTACATGTTTATAAGTCATATGGAGACTACTTCTCATCTACCCTTACCCCAGAATATTAAAACTTTTCAGAGTTTCAGGATTAATTCCATTATATGGACATGATTCCTTGAGATAGGAAAAACTGATTGGATTGTGACATTAGACTTATCAGAATCTAAGATCTTACAAAATATAAAGCTTTACTAGTAATCTCATGAACTCAGTTAATCATTAGGCATGGGCAAATCAGAGAATTATTTAGATCTCTTAATCTGATTCTTTAGATCCTTGGTTCTGTCATTAGATACTCCCTTGCCCAGGCAGATAGATGAGACTTCTAGAGAGGTATGCCGACAATTTATTTACATGGAGATACCTGTCTCAATTATCAAATATCTTCATTTTTATGCAGATAGTTACATATGTGGTATATGTGACATTTTCCAGGGAGCCCCATAAATCCACAACCTTCTACTTTGTTAACCATAAGCAATTCTAAACGACCAAGTACATTCTGCTAAAAGCGTTTCTGTGATAGATAATCACTCTCCTGCTAGCAAAAAAACAAATTGTTTGTCAGGAGCTGTCATTAGTATGTTTATATAAGCAAAATGGGCTTCCTTCCTTCTGTGGATCCTGGCAGGGCATCTCAGTAATCAGAAAGAATCAAAGACCCTTTCCTTCCCAATCTGCTCTGGCCTTGGTCAACATCTTAGTGCCAAATATTGCTGGTGTATTATCATTATTGGCTTACACCATTTTCTGCAGTGTTTCACTTAAGCCAACTAATACTCTGACCTTGATTTGAACCATCCAACAGAGAGTAGGAATTCCCTCCACAAAGCAATGTTACTCATTAACATCTTCCTTTACAAGTCTCTTGATGTTCATTCACAGACTCAATTACCTTTTTCCTCCATCAACCTCAATTATTTGCATCATTTTCCACTGGCCTATGGGAGTATTTAATTGAATACATATTTTTTCTCAAATCAAATTTTCTGAAAAAAATTTGTTTCTATGAACTGTATTTTAGGTATATTCCAGGTTGGTACAAACACTAATTTTCAGGGGTCATTATGTCAAAGAGCCCATCCACACCCCATGGCCTACATATGTCAAAGGATTGTTCTTTATTCATCCACTTTCTATGAATTCCACACACGGGAGATAAACTTCTTTTTCATCCATATTACCAGGGTTGTCAGGGAGCAACATTAAAGGTCACAGTGTTCGGTGAAACCTTGCCATAACTTAGACTAAACACGTTTCTCCCATAATTTTACTTCTTCAAATTCTTTCTTTTTCTTTCTTTCTTTCTTTCTTTCTTTTTCTTTCTTTCTTTCTTTCTTTCTTTCTTTCTTTCTTTCTTTTTCTTTCTTTCTTTCTTTCTTTCTTTCTTTCTTTCTTTCTTTCCTTCCTTCCTTCGTTCTTTCTTTCTTTCTTTCTTTCTTTCTTTCTTTCTTTCTTTCTCTTTCTTTCTTTCTCCTTTTCTTTCTCTCTCTCTCTTTCTCTTTCTTTCTTTTTCTTTCTTTTTTTTTTTTTGACAGGGTTTCACTCTTGTCACCTGCCTGGAGTGCAGTGGCACAATCTTGGCTCACTGCAACCTTCACCTCCCAGGTTCAAGCAATTCTCCTGCCTTAGCTTCCTGAGTAGCTGGGATTAAAAGCACCTGCCACCATGCCTGGCTAATTTTTGTATTTTTAGTAGAGACGGGGTTTCGCCATGTTGACCAGGCTTGTCTTGAACTCCTGACCTCAGGTGATCCACACTCCTCAGCCTCCCTAAATGCTGGGATTTTACAAGTGTGAGCCACTGAGCCCGACGTTGAGCTTGTTTCTTTATGAATTCCTGCAACTCAACATTAAAGACATAATATCCCATAGTGATTAATATATCCAATAGTCCTTCCTGACTAAAGGTACAAAGTTAATCCTAGTGTTGTTAATAAGCATGGAAGTCATTATTTATTCAGTGTCTTCGGTTCAAGCATTGTCTTAAACCAAACTGATTTCCTACTGCAACTGAGTCCTCTAAAAACAGCTTCCTCTAGTGTCCCTATTTGAAGTAGCAAGTCATTTTTATCTTAATGATGGGCCTCCTAGAACACTACTTCAATTAGATTTAATATCACATGACCAAATCCTGTAATTCTTTCAAAATGCCTGGCAAAGGGGCCAGTGCTGCTTAACTTGCCACTCATGTAGTTCATATTATGTGCTAATTAAATGTGTCTAGTTTGAAAGCATTGTCTACACCTACAAATAATGTGCTTCATGAAATTCTCTGTTAGGTATATCCTAGCACCAGATACCGTTTTATCTGGCTGTGCCATAGGCTTCCCTTAAATGTCCTCTACGTACCTCTTGAGGGAGTTATTTATAATTTTAAAGCATTAAAGCAAACATAAAATCACATTCTCTGAGGCTTTCTAGGTTCTAGTTTTATATTATTTAAATTAATTCCATTTACATTCACACTGATATGTTCAAAGCAACAGACCAGATCAAGCTGTGACATACCAGACAGGCAGCCACTATCTGCTTTCTATCATGACCAGGGAGCTGTCTTAGCAATGTATCATTTTGATTTATGGCCATATAGGGTGCAGAAATTCTATTCTACAGCATCCTCTGCTCTGTACAATTCATTGGTAGTTTCTCTGGAAAAAAATAATCTAGAATGGTAAACAAAGCCTAGAAACTGAGTGATAACTGTAGTCAACTACACACAAGCTGAGTTGTCAGGGGGCACTTTGTCATTTGTTTTATTCAGATTATACAGTTAGAACATCCAAATCAGTAGGAGTCCAATTTTCCTTTTCTGCAGTAAGCAGGCCAAGAGATTTTCACCAACAAAGCCCATTTGTTTGGATGACAATAGCAAAAGATAGTTAAGTATGATATCCTCACTCTGAGCTGTTTGCGTGAAAATATTGTAGTGGCTTCCCTCCACGGTAATGTAATCTACTTATAAACACCTTTCCCATCTTCTATGATTTTACCCTATTTCCAAACGCTTCCTCCCAATATCAGGCTGTATAACTCATCATGCATAATGTTTGCCCACACAATCAATAACAAGAACCTTACTAGCACACCCAAACAAATGTTTGGGTTTTATTTGTTTGTTTGTTTAACTTTTATTTTAAGTTCATGGTTACATGTGCAGATTTGTTACACAGGTAAACTTGTGTCATGAGGTTTGTTGTCAAACAAATGTTATAAGTGATAGACAAAGGACCTCAGAAGTCTCTCCTCTGTTGATAATGGAGCTACCTTCACCTTTAGCCCTAATTGGTTACATAGGAAGGAACTTTTGATCCACCACAAATTACCTTTCAGAAAAGGCACAGTCAAATTAAATGACACAAATATCATGTCTTGGGTATTGTATAATCTTCCTCTGGTGCAAGTAAATTTAAAACTGGGTTTGACACCACCATTAGAGGCCAAATAAAAGTATTAGAGGTGGGAAAGATATAAAGTTATATATTATTGCATTCTCCTTCACTCCCTCATTACTACCTCTTGATATTAGTAAGGCACAGTGGATTTTGTGATTTATTTCTCATATTAGTCTCAGGACGCAATGGTTTCACTAAAGGAACCCTTAATAATTTTTGAGCAAGGGGCCTTGCTTTTCATTTTTCACTGGGTTACAGAAGTTATGTAGCTGGTCCTTCCTGTTGACATTGGCTGTGTCATTCAGTACAACAGCATGTGTCTTTCAAATGGATTATAGCAAACAGCTGCCACAGGCATATTTTGAGTCAAAATCCTGAGGAGTCTAAATTGGTGGTCCCATTTAACTCTTCCTAAAGGGCTCTAGTTTGGATATGCCCCAATATCATCTGACCAGTTGGATGGGATCATAAGGGCCTAATGTTATTGCCTGTGCTACCACCTACCACAATACTTTTCATGCTTATTTCTATTCAGTACCTGCAGTGAGTTAAATGGTGCTCTTCTGAAATTATTATTCATTCAGAATCTCAGAAGGTGACCTTCTTTAGAAATTTGCACATATAATTTGTTAAGATGAGCTCCTACTAGATTAAGGAGGGTCCTAATTCCAATGACTGGAGGTGTTTTTATAAGAAGAGAGGACACATGGAGAAGAAATTGAAAACGAAAGCAGAAATTGGAGTAATAAATCTATAAGTAATAAAGCTCCAAAAATGTGTAGGAGAGAGTAGAACCTAGGCAGGGGCAAGAAAAGATTTTTTTCTGTGGCTTTTCAAGGAAGCTTGACCCTATTGACTCCTTGGCTTCAGACTTCTAGCCTCCAGAACTGTGAAATAATAAATTTCAGTTGTTTTAAGCTACCCAGTTTGTGGTAATTTGTTCCAGCAGCCCTAGGAAAGTACTACAATGCTGTATTCACGTTCTGAACTCTTTCCAGTTATTTTGTGAGTATGGGTAGACAAGATTCTTAGAACAGTCTTGACAGTCTCTGAGTTTATTGCTTATTGGTGGGTCCTATGAAAGATAAATTACTTCTCACAGTTTAAGGAATGTCCTAAGTTGATCTGCACTAATTTACAGGATTTAGTTGCAGTTTAAGGAACATCCTAAGTTGATTTGTACTAATTTCCAGGAATTAATTTGCACCTTGGGCTGTGCCTTAAATTCTAGCTGGATTTATCACCCAGCTTCTATTTGTAATATGGGTGACTATGGTCCTTAAATCCTCTCCTAATTTTTGCTCTGAGAAGAAAATTATCATCATACCATGAAAGTAGTAGATGAACTCTATCTTTTAGGTTATTCTTTACCAGATTATGGAAATGTGATAATGAATTTTTTTTAATCCATGATAAGACAGTAAACATGTACTTGTTTCTATTCTGCAAAGCTTAAAATTTTCCTACTTGAAATTAAAAAAAAAAAATCTTAGGAGGCCCCTGAGATTGGTTTAATGCTCTGTTGTAGCTATCTCGAAATTCTTAATAATTTTTGAGTAAGTATCCATGCATTTTCATTTTATACTCAGCTCTATGAATTATGTAGTTAATCTTGATAGCATATCAGAGCCTCTTGTCTACTTTATTTTCTGTACATTCTTCATCATATCAGGTAGAGATGAAGCATGCAAATGAACCACCTTGATACTCTACTGTAAATGTCCAGGGGCTACCTACTTATTGACCAGTTAGAACTACAAAAGGGAAGTTAATGTGGGGAGGGGAACTTCCTTCTAAACCATTTTCTTAATTACAACAGTAGTCTCTTATTGTGCCCTTGGAATTCTGCATTGCTTAATATTTACTACTGTGGAGAGCTTGAGCAATTCCAAAGGATTCCATTTGGCATGGCTAATTAAAATTTGGTGAAGAGTGAGCTCAGTCTTCATCCTCTGTGGAAACACAAAGACGACAATGTCCCATTCATATTGAATGACAATTGCAATTTTGTATTTATGTGAAGGTAGCACAAGCAGGTAATATTCTCTCCAACCACACATTTCAACCTGTAACGTCATCTTTACCTTGGTTTCCTCCCTGATGTTCTCTTCATGCACTCCAGATTTCACTTAGAGCATGTATGAGACTCTTTCCTACCTTCCATAAGGCCTACTGTAAATTCTGCTCTGCATCCTACCAATGATAAGAAACTTTGAATACCACCCCAGGTAACTTTGTTCAAATTATTACATATATGGCCTCAGATCCATGACTGGGGCTGGAATGAACAGACCTCAGTTCTTTATTTAATTGTTTTCAGATTCTATGGCTTTAATTAAGGCAGTAAACTCAGCCCCCTGTTCAAGTATATTCTGTTCTATATCATATCCTCATAATTGGATTTGAACTCTTTCAGCCACAATAAATAAAGCAAATTTTCTATGATTCTTTAAGGGATTGGTGGGGGCTACAGTACTCCTCTGATTCAAAAGTTGATAATGTGCTTTTACTTTCTTATTAAAAATTCTATCAAGGCTTACTTTTTAAATGCTATTTATATTTTCTTCAAAAGTAAATTAATTCATGTGAGCTGCCTTTCTATTTTCTCTTCTGATTTTTAATTTCTCCCTGTTGTGCACATGATATAAATGCTTTTTCTCCATATAATCCCATGTATAGTAACTAAACCTGTATGTTTGTTACTGTTCTCTGAATATATATATTTGGCCCTCAAGGTTATATAAGTCTTGTAAGACAGAGAATCATTAGCTTATCCCATTCACTCTATCTCTTATTATTTGTATCAATAGCATTAACTAAGGTGTTTTCTCTCTGGAAAATATAAAGCCTGTCAACCTTTACACTTGTATCATTCCTATCATGTGAAAAGGAGAATCCAATTGGCAATTTGGAGAGGAGTAGTAGCAGTTACCCTTCTCAGTATAGGACTGACAAATCTCACCTTAACAACTGCAGCCGATATGCTGTCACAGTATTTGGAAGTGTTTTCTCAAAAGTTTACAGCCATTTAATGATTAGTCATGACCATGAATAGTCCTTTGCATCAGATAATAATAGAATTGCAACATGTCCTCCATCATTAATTTGAAGAATCCATGCCAATGTTAATTCACCAGTCTTCTGTTAGTGAATATTCTGTTCTTTAATAAAATATAGTTTTCACTCATCACCTGTCCTTGGACTCTGGTTACATAAATAGTTTGTCCTATAATCAATATTTTGAGTCATTTCAAAAGATACAAGAAATTTCTCCAAGAAACCAGGGAGGGATAAGAAGGTTTTCCAGTGAATAAAATGTAATCTCGCAGCTTTTTCTCCCACTATCATCTCCTCCTATTAAAAACTAACCTATTAAAAGGTTAGCTTTTACAGGTATGCTAGCAGGAGTCAGTCAATGGGATTTGCACCCAATTTCCCTTTGTCCATGTACTCCCTAGACCCGTACTCCCAGACTGTAGTCTATGGCCCCCAGATTTCAATGGTAAGACTTATTTCCCTTAACCTGCCTCAAAGATTCCACTACCTCATACCAAAAATGTACAGCCAACTATCCTGAGAACAAATTCTCATATTTTTCCATTATTTCCTTTTGAAAAGGAGCCCAGGTAGAAAAAGAAAACATTCACTATTTTGGTGTGTGGGTCTAAAAGACAATCCTGCTCTCAGTGCCAATCTGAACCCACAAAAAGCATTGAATTGTCAAATCAGACTCAGATTGAAGATTTTGCTCAGTATCATGCTTTTTGAATAATTTCAAAGATAAAATAATCATGTATGGGTTAAGTGGGGAGAGACCTGGGTCCTTTCATCTTCATTGAATGTGGTCTCATCCAAGTTTCTAGATTTGGTTTCTAAGTAAAATGTACAGTTGCTTTACTTACTCAAGTGTATTCTCAGTTACAAACCATCTCCTTTTATACTTAGACAGCAACACAGCTAACGTGACATTTTCTTGGGAATCATCACCCTACATTTATTGATTCCTGGCTTATTTTTCATAAGCAATTTTAGACAACTCCGCATGGTCTGCTAGAAACATTTTATGAAGAATGATTCTTTGGCCACCAAAAACTATTTAGTTTATTTTCTAAGAGACTTGCATTAATATGTTTGCAGAAAAATTAAACCAGAACACCTGACTTCTTTATTTCCCAGGAGTTTTCCTCCACACCTGCCCCCATCAGGGGAGAAAATTGATCAGGAGGTACCACCCCTTTCCACACCATTCTTGAATCTATTCTACAGAACTCTCTCACATGGTCTAGCAATATGTTTAAGGTAGAATGCTTTTTCTATCAATATTTCTTATGTGTTAAATTTGCATTATTATATATTGACTAGAAATTATATATTCATTCTTAAACATTAATCATAATGAATCTAAAAACCTAATTTATTTCAACAAATAAATTTCTCTTTAATTCCTGTCCTCAACATTCTTTTCCTTAATATTCCTATTGTTACTGTTACAGTTATGAAATCATCTTAATGAAATCACAGCTAGACCAGTGCATTAATTTAAAACAATAGCATCCTTTTTCTATAACTTCTTCAAACTTTTCTTCACTGTCGTATAATGATAATTACTCTAAAATGACAATCTGATCATTAAAACTTTAATCATTTACTCTCTGCCAATTTCATAAATATTTGATTCACAGTTGTTATTTCTTCTTCAAAATACATCAAATAATCCACCTTTACGAAAAGCAATTTACTGTTTCATAAATGTGCTTTATTATGTCACATATTCAGTCTTTTAAACATTTTGTGCCATCCTTGGTCATCAAATAAATTTCTATCTACTAAACATGACTGACTTAGCAAAACTATAGCCTTAGTTTCATGCATGTCTCCATCAATTTTGGAATTGCTTTTATACCCAAACTGCAGTGGGAGAAAAACACATAACCAAATTGTGCTGATTGTTATCTCTTTAAAACCACAACCTTGAAAAGCAAATGTGCCTTTAATGCGGCCAAACAAGCCCATTTTTCTTTTGTTAGCCATTGCCTTCTTCCTCTTATGTAAGATTAACTTATGGATTCTTTCCTCATTTCACACCCCTCACATACTTTTCTTCAATCTCAATGCCAGCTGATGACCTTGTTTCCTGTGTCAATAAATAAATAAATAGATAGATAAATAACAATCAAGAGTAAATGTATGCAGACTCCCACTACTACATATACTTAACGCCAGTATCTAAAATTACACACTACTCATCCTGCATATTAATAGAGCAGGGTCTTTTCTCTGGTACTATGGACAAACTGAGCCAGATAATTCTATGTTTGGGATGGGGTGTTGGAAAGGTTACCTTGTATGTTGCAGGATGTTTAGCAACATCCCTGGCCTCTCCAATTCGATGCTAGTAGTAACTCCATTCACAAGTTGTGACAACAGAAAACATCTCCAAACACTGCCAATTGGCTCCTTGCAGAGTGAAATCTCTCCTTAAAGAAAACCACTGCCAGAAATGAAATGTTTATACACCTACCTCAAGCTTACGCCTTTACTTGTTCATCAGCTCTTTCTGACTACACAGGCTATAGACAGATACTTTTCAATACTTACCCCTCTTATACGTAATCAAATTTTCCTCATTATTGGGTCATTTCATGATCATACAAATAAGCTATTACTTCTGTCATACTAGAAAATAAAAGCAAATAAGCAACCAGTATTCTTCATTTTCCCCATTTTCATTGTCAGATACTGCCAGGGAATTTGATCCCTTTTTCACCAAAACTCTTTAAAAGGATAATTTATAGTCACCATGTCATTTGCTTCTTGCATTTTCTCTTTAATCATTTCACTTCCATACAGATTTTTGCCCCCCAGTACTCTAATTAAACCTGTCCTCCACTTTGTTAATCTTATAGTTATTTTTCTCACCTTACTTGATTTATCAGCAGCATTTGAAGTAGATTATTCTCATAATACTATCTTCATTTGACTCCCTGGTTTTATATTATTTGTATACTTCTCTCTCTCTCTCTCTCTCTCTCTTTCTCTCTCTCTCTGTCTCCCTCTCTCTCTCTTTTAGTGTTTTCTTCTATTCATCAGACTCAATGTTGGAATGCTCCAGGCCTCAGTATTTTATTTCCCCCCACCATCATCTTTCTCTGCACTTCTTTCCTTGGTTATCTCATCCAATCTCATGGTTTTACATGCAGTGTAAATGCTAATGACTCCCAAATTTATATTTCCATGCCATATCTCTATCCCAAATTCCACACTCATAAATCCAATTGCATTTTTTACACTTCCACCTAAATGTTGTGATGATAATGGGTCTATTTTTCCTGAGACCCATTCCTCACTCTGCCCAGTTCAGTTCTTAAGACAGAGGGGATGAAAACTGTGGATTATGTAGCTCAGATTTTCTGAAAGCTGGCTTCCAGGTAGGCTCAAACAATAGGAGACACATGCAGAAAGATGAAAGGCAGGAACAAGGAGAAATCTAGATATTGTCTCAATTTCTCCCTGTCATCCCTAATAACAGTTGCATTTTTTACAGGCTCCTGCTCCTTTACATAGGCCCACTGTGGTTCCAGCTTCCCCCAAACATCCCTCCCTGCAGCTCCAGTAGTACAGCCTCCTATCCCTGTTCTCCAAGGGAAGGTGATAGTAGCCTCCCATTGTTGCTAAATTGTAGGTTGCCTCACTGTCCCCTGGTTGGCTTTAATTTTTTTAAAGTTATTTCTACTATCAATTCCCTTTGTTTTAAATTCTCAATGATTTCAATTTTCCTGGCTAGTTTCTGATTACTTCAGATACCTAATGGAAATCTCAAAGAAAGTATGACTCAAGAGAAATTGCTGATTTCCATCTCCCAGCTACTACCAAACCTGTTTATGCTTATCCATTTCATTTGATGGCATCCTTCCTCTGGTTGCTTAAACTCAAAGACTTTATAATATCTAGAATCTGCTACTTCTCACCATGTCTACTGAGGTGTGAATTACTACTGTTTTCCTCTTGGATAAAGTCAATATCTAAAGAGGGGACTTTTCCTAAAAGTGTCCCCTTACAGTCAGTTACCAACACAATATCCACAGTCATCCTTTTTACATAAAAGAGCGTATCACTTCTCTTCTTAGGACCTGTAGTGACCCTCTCTTTCATTGATGGTAAAATTCTAAGGCAATGTGAGTTTTAAAATACCCTGTAAATTTGTACAATTATTATGTCATTTAAATATAATATATATTTTTAAAAATTAAAAACATATATCAAGGCCCAAATTACTTCTGTGTGCTCATCGTTAACTCCCCTTCCTCACTCATCTCCAGTCACACTGGTTTCCTTGAACCCCTTCAAACAAGCCAGATATGGGGCTGTCTTGGGCTTTTGCACTGTCTTTTCCCTCTGCCTGAGTTCCCTTCTTTCAGATATCTACATGTTTAATACCTCACCACCTTTAAATTTTTGCATAAATGCTATCTTTTCAATGATGTTTTCTACGGCCTCCCTACTTAGCATCTCAACCTGTTTCTTGGACCAGCATTAGAAAATGAATATAGAGAGATGAACACAATATATATGGCCCTGCCCTCATAGTCCTAGCAATCTACAGGGACACAAAATAATATGCAAAAAAGTATTTGAATTATCTTCAGCACCTTTCTAAAGAAAAAAAGCTACTTAAAACTCACACTTAGAAGTGCTCAATATGAGTCAATACATTATGTCACCACCTAAAGTAACAAGATGTTAGGCTGCAACTGCTGTATGTTTTGAAAGTGACTCATTACACTACGAAGTCACATACTTGTTTAATATTATAATAAGACAGAACTAAATTTAAATCATAGTTATACCAAACACTAGCTACTCTGAATCTCTACATCTCAATGTTCTCACCAGCAAAATCAAGCTAATAATAATACTAGCTTCTTAAAGTTATTTAAAAGATAAATGAGCTAAGATATGTAATGCTCATAGCCCATTTAGAAAGGCAAAATATAAGGTATAGTACATAGAAACCACTGACCATTGGTAATTCTGAAACACTACAGGTCAGACAGTTTGAATGAACCATATACTAAAGGTTGGAAAAGTTATTTGATTAAACTCTGCCTTTTTTTTTCTGGGAAGAACACATAGATTAATCACTTTGTATAACCCCAACCTCTCCCTTCTTGGGAGTGGGGATAGGGGAAACAGTTTTCATCATCTATGATCTTAAGTTTCCTCATGCTCTTTCTCATTGTTAAGACAATACCACTTATTTTAGCTTATTGTTACAATAGTATTTCATTTTTTTCTAACAACTTGGTATTAGTCAAGATGGGATATAATAACAAATGACTCTTGAAATCTTCATGGGTGCCATGGGAAGTTTCAAGAACACAACTTGAAAGTGAATTGCATGACTTTGTTCTGTATTTCATTGACCACTACTCATTCAGTGAGCCTGAAAGTAACTGTGTATATCACTGTTAGTATACTATGCATGCCAGATACCCAAGACTCAAACTTTTCCTTTCCTTTAGATACCACCTACTTAGTCATCAATTTTGGTTCAACCTACTCCACTAAATAGCTTTGACTTCCATTCACTTACCACTTTAGATTAGTGCTATAGACTCCTATTTTACCTCCTTCATATCAATCCCCTTAAAACTCCCAATAGCTTCCATTATTTCAACCAAAAGCTCAAATTCCTTTAATATAAAGTGTTATATGAACTGGCACCCTATATACTTTATATCCTAATCTCTCATCTTTCATTTATTTCTTTAACTCCTGACTCATGTAACAAAAATTCATTTATCTCAGCACGTATTTACTCCCTTACTTTACTTGTTATGCTCTCCCAAATGTCCCTGTATTTTTCATTGAATAGTAATTGCCACATTTTATTTTATATGCTTGTGTTACCATTTATATATATATTTACTACAGACTCTGCTTTTAGAAGGCATACACTGGCCAGGCGCAGTGGCTCACACCTGTAATCCCAGCACTTTGGGAGGCTGAGGCGGGCAGATCATGAGGTCAGGAGATCGAGACCATCCTGGCTAACACGGTGAAACGCCATCTCCACTAAAAATACAAAAAATAAGCCAGGCATGGTGGCGGGCGCCTGTAGTCCCAGCTACTCGGGAGACTGAAGCAGGAGAATGGTGTGAACCCAGGAGGCGGAGCTTGCAGTGAGCCGAGATCGTGCCACTGCACTCTAGCCTGGGCGACAGAGTGAGAATCTGTCTCAAAAAAAAAAAAAAAGAAGACATACACTGTGATATTTGCAACATCAAACAAACAAACAAAAAAACTAAAATTGGAAGAATACCCAAAAATAACTCAAAGGAATAATTTTAATTTCAATTAATTGATTATGGCCTTTATCATTTCAAGATTTTTATATGTCTACTTTTATGAACTCTAGGCTAGTTTTTTCCACTTTTATTTCTACAATCATAGGGCCTATTTTATATTTTCTCTTGCACTTGATTATAGAAGAGATTGAAATGAGTTAGGAAACATGTACTTGAAACCAATAATGGGCACACTTTACAGGATTTCAAAATCTAAAAATATCATAACATAACTTCAGGGAAGAGTAAGAAGTATTGGTGTCATTTTTTTCCTTTTAGTAGATCAGTTGAAGAGGTAAATTGAACATGGACTATGTGTCAGACTCTTTTTTCCAAATTATATTCTTAAATATATAGTAAAACATATGTTAGAGGCAGTTTTTTAATAACAAACAATATTTGAATTGAGATACTGAAGTAAAATAAACTGTGCAAAAATGTATTACTAAATATCTGCATTTTCTAGAGATGTATCCTTAAGTATGTAGGTATAAAATTACATTCTGAGATATATTTTTAAAATAATTTGGCAAGAAGAGAACAGGGATACCTTAAGCAGAAACAACAAAATTATGATAATTGTTGAATATGTGTGATGGTTGTATGTTAATGTATTGATTATTTTGTGTGGGTATGAAAACATGATAATAAAATCAAATTACAAAAAAATAAAAAATACCTCTTGCTTTTTTAGCAGCTTTTTACATTGTTTATAACAGTGTCTATAGCGCTATGATTGGTCAGAGCCAGAGACTATAACATTTAATAAAACGAGTCTCTCTAGAAGCTCATGGGAGTTCATTTACGGCAGCAAAGACCTATATTAAATGGACTGAATATTTAAGGAGTAATTATGTTGAGTAATGTGTTTATTTATAGTTTTAATTATACATTATCTTTCTTGGTTATCTTTAAAATATATTAAGCTTATGCAAATAGGATATGCATCATAACCCAGGATCTATTATCTGAATTGCTTATATACTTATAATAACATAACTTTAAAAGAAAGAATCAAACCATATTGCTAGCTTACAGGTTGGATCTTTCTAGAAAATAGTTATTTACCTGAATGTTTATTTTTGTTTTGCATCTTCATCAGTTAAAACCAACAGTTACAATACAAATGAAAGTTAAAAAATAATAATATTATTAATCTGAAATTTCAATGTGCTTAGCAATAAATAATGGGAATAAGAATTATCCAGGATGTACTAAACGCTACAAGAATTATATAATTCTAATGAACATGATGCTTTTGAACTTAAGTAAATTCTATGTGCTTAACTATTTTTATTGTTTATAGATTTAGGACTTCTGAATGCATTCTTTTTTGCTGTTATGGGATATTATGAATTCACCTTAGTAGACTTTTGCTTACAGGACATAAAATTAATTTATTCTATGAATTTTTTCTTCTTTTCCCAAAAATGTGTAAGTTCTGTGATTTCTTGGACTAAAAGATATCTATTTACATAGTGAAAGGCCAGGCCTTGTAAAGATCGTGACAGTATTCAATCCTATTCTTGTTTTTTTTTTGTTTCAATGTGTTGCTAGTTATCTTATCTCAGTGTATTGTATTTATATAACTGCATATTTGATTAAGATACCTAACCTATGAGACATATTAACATAATGAACACATGTAAGCACACAACCCAATTTAAGCATAAGAACAGTATCAATAATTTTGCAGTTATCTTTCACTCTTTTTCAGTCACACAGAGACAACTATACTCTTAATTTTGTGTTTAGAGTCCTCTATTTTCTTAATAGACAGATTGCACATGGTTAAAGGTCTATCTTTACATCAAGAGAGCCTGTGTTTGGATCTTGTTCACCCCGCTTATGTCTCTTTTGAAGTTATGCTTAAGCTTTATTCCTTGTTCCTTTATGGAAATTTGAGTATTTTAGGAAAAGTAAAAAAAAAAAAAAAAAAAAAAAAGAAACTTTAAAGTAGAATGATAAAATCTAGTGTTTTTAGATACAGAAGTGAGAAGCTGAATACGGGTAAAGCATGATGGACTACGGGAAGAACGGAATTTCTTGTGTGTGACTGCTCATTCAATAAGCTATATTTTTTAAAAACCTGAACAGGTTATAGCTATTGGTTATCTACAAGTGGAATTCTCAAACACGAAAATGAAAGCCTGACAAATAAGATGCTAATGCCATTTTCACTTAAAAAATAGAACAAGCGAAAGAGAGAAATAAAAGCACTAGCCCAGTAAGAACATCCTCTATTTGCCTTACTCATAAGCCATTTCAGGGCCATATCTGCAAAACTAGGAAGAAAGTGCTAAGTGCTAAAACATTTTAACCAATCACTTTAAGAAAGGCAGAGGAAGCAAACCACTCTAGTAGATAAAACAGGAGAGACTGAAGTTGCTATAGTTGTAATCTTTTTAAAAATAATCTATTTGTTTTGAAGAAAACCCCAATAGGAAGGTGTTTTCATTTTTAAAGGTATCTCTTTTCAGATACTATTTAATACTCAGTGTGCTAATAATGTCAAAAATTGTTAAATGCGTATATATCTGTATTTCAAATAGGATAGTTTATCAAGTCAGGTTTTCCAAGAAGCTGATACTATGCAATTATAAGTCACTCAAAAGGTTATGAGAGGAACGTTAGTTAAAGATTAAGAAGAAAAAGCAGATCTAAGTGCAGGGAGTCTTCAGTGATGCAAGCCTGGCTTCTGTCAAAGGAGGGGGAGAAGGAAGAAGGATGAGAATGAAAGAGTCACAGCCTGAAACACAGTTTAGGAAATTTTGGCCCAGACAATAGAAGTCTCCAGTCCAAAGTCTTCTGTTGGAAGGTTATCACAAATCTTAAAAATGGCCTTCATCAATACTCCGAGCATGCTCAGTCATTGGCCAGGAACAACCAGAGAAAATATGGCCTGAGTGCAAAGATAGTCATACAACCAGAAAAACAGTAGCTGGGGCTGCCTGTCATCCATGGTCACTGAAGCAAGAGTTGTGAGTGGTGACCACATATATCAAATATTTCTATGAAAAAAAACAAAACAAAACAAAGCCCAATCAAGTGAAACTCCAAAATGATAACCTTTAATGCTTATTAGATGACACAAGTGTTAGGTTGGGTATTTTACTAAATATTTAATCATTATATATGCACATATTTATGGGCATGTGAGCTTAATTTCTGTTTTTAAATTCAGAATGCTTCAATAATAACATTGCATTTTATATAATCCTGATTTTCTTTTTTAAAATCAGCTCAAAAGGAGAAGTTAAATATTCAGCTTTAATTTCACCAGTAGATTTTTAATGTTTTGTAATCATAATGTTTAATTTGTGCTGTTCTTAGAACTTTAATTATGAAGCTAAATTGTACTAATACCCATTAGGTACTTCTTAATTGAAGGCACATCATATGTCTGATGTGGCAGTACTAATTGGTGTAATTAAATTCTAATATGCTTCAGTAGCCTGATTTTTTAAGTGAATAAAAAGCTGATAGAAATAAGTCAGCTCTTGAAGCTGCATAGTTGTATAATACATACACGTGTTTGCACTTGTAACATGCACATTTATTCAGAACAAACAACTCATTAATTTATTCCAAAACCATTTCACCTGATAACTTAAAATACAGAGTAAAACAAATTGGTCAGGTAAATATACATGTAACTTAAAAAGAAACAGTCATGTACTTTAGGCATAAGGACAATGCTTTTCTCTTTTACAAATTCTAAGTTAGGTCAAATTCTCTGAAAGTCACTGCTTTTCTTTACTGTGATGTGTTTTCGGTGAAGTTACAGCCTATTTGCAAATCACATCACTGGTTTGTCCAAGCAGAGGTAGATGAGAGGTAAGCTCCTGTCCTGCTAAAAGTCTCCTAAAAACAGCAAGAAAATATTTTTACATGTTCAAAAATGCTCATTTATTTATATTCCTAAATTTTCTTTTACTCAGTATAATATAGATAATTTAAAAATCAGTAGAATATTTTTATTATATATGTTTTATTTTTATACTTCTAGTTAAATTAATAGTGGAACATTATATATCTATTAAATGTTTTAAATTACATGGAATTAAAATATCAAAGTTAATTATGTTATTATAATTTTTAAATTTCAGAAACCTTCTCTAAAATTCTTACTGTTTTATCTTAAAAAATTCATATAGAAATTGTGGTCAGATGTAAACTGTGACTCTGAGCACAAATCCCAATGCTATTGCCAATTTAATTCCAATTTTTGTGTTCACACATGAAATGTAGTTTTTCTTTTATTGAGTTTTAAAAATCTGTAAGATTTACCTATCTGAATATACACTCAGGTCTAGCTTCATGTTCCTGTGACCTGTGTGGTCACACAAGGACCCATGTACATAATGACCTCATACTTGGCCTAATGCTCTGCTGTTGCCATCTTGAAACGCTTAACACTTTGAACGAGGTACAACATCCACGTCATTTTGCACTGGGCCCTGCAAATCACGTAGACAGTCATATATGAGTCCAGTATTTTCCTACCACCAGACATTTTAATGTACTGAAGAGATAAAAAAAACTAATAATTAGAAGTTTTAAAAGAATATTTTTAAGAGTTGTTGTTTGTTTGTTTGTTATTTAATCCTAGATGTCTCAAGCTTGCCTTCCATTAGATAATGCAGTAAGGGCCGGGCGCGGTGGCTCACGCCTGTAATCCCAGCACTTTGGGAGGCCGAGATGGGCAGATCACGAGGTCAGGAGATCGAGACCATCCTGGCTAACACGGTGAAACCCCGTCTCTACTAAAAATACAAAAATTAGCCGGGCATGGTGGCGCACGCCTGTAGTCCCAGCTACACGGGAGGCTGAGGCAGGAGAATGGCGTGAACCCGGGAGGCGGAGCTTGCAGTGAGTCGAGATCGCGCCACTGCACTCCAGCCTGGGCGACAGAGCGAAACTCCGTCTCAAAAAAAAAAAAAAAAAAAAAAAAAGATAATGCAGTAAGGAACCCCCAGTTTACAACACAGGGCAGGCAGGAAGACAACCAACTCAATGGGATCTCTGTCCTGTGCAGTCACCACCAGCTGAGCCTTCTTTTTCTCCACTAAGGTGGTGACAGCGTTAACCCCCATTAAAAGGACAGGTGATCTCTTAGTGGGGATGTCTCCTTTGCTTTCTTCTCAGCCCAGGCCAACAGTCTCTGCTGTTTCTCTTGCTTTGTCTCTGGTCTGTACTTGCCAGCCCGCTTACCCCATTGAGCAGCTGTTTGGTGGTCCAAGGCCCTGGTGAACTGATTAATCACAGAAGGCACTTCTAGCTGTTTATAGAGGATGGCTCTCTGCTGCTGCAACCTAGTATAATGGGGCCATTTGACAAAGTAAGTGAGGTCCCTTTTGGGCTGGATGTTCTGTCCAATGCCAAAATGTCCTGTCCAGTGCCAAATTTCTCAAATGGAAGATTCACCACTTTCATGGTCTCCTGCTTTTTCAAGACAGCAAGGGTGAGCACCACCTTCTTCCCTTCGGCCTTCTTTCTTTTTCGCACCTTGGGTAGCTGGAGAAGAGAATAATAAGATCTTGAGAGAAAAATAAGTTGAAGCCAGAGGTAAAACTCAATATTGGTAATATCTTTTTGTTGTAGGGTTGCTTTCCATTTTAGAAAGTAATTCAGAGTGTTATTTTTTAAAAATCATATATCAGAGTTCTCTAATAAATTTCAAACTTAAAAGAACATTTAACTTCATAAGAGAAGAGAAATGTTTCATGAACATATTTTAAAGATAGGGAAACTAGAATACAATTTGGAGTAAAACTAATATTTTAAGTAACCTGGAGATAGGACTCATATCTTTTAATAGAACATGCATTCTAACAAGCCAGTGATTTTTCAAAGTTTTCTAAAACACTTTTCTCAAACCACATTTAACCTAGAAGTAGAAACAAATAAAAGACACAAAATTAGAGTTAATTTTATTGTAACTGGGTTGGCTCCAGAGATTATAGTTAGGAAGTGATTACATTAAGCTCTACATATGCAGCATTCTAGAAAATTTCAATGCAGTAGACAAAATCTATAAATAATGTGAAACACATATTAACATGTTAAGCATAATATGCATTCATTGTCTTCAACAGAATAGTTCTCTATTAATTTTTTAAACGTAATACAATTTTACTTTAAAAACTGAAAAATCAACATATTTCATTAAGAAAAAAATATAAATGTTGCAAAATGATGATGAAAATACCGATAGTAACAATTCCCAACTATAACAATTTTGTTTTATCTAATACTGGTCAGCTTTCCATGTGTCCAAGCATTACAGGACTTTTCATTAAGCCTAATCCTCACAAGAACATTGCTTTGAGTGATATTCCAGAGTGGTAGTCCTTTAAGGCATTAGAACGATTTGTGAAATCACTAAAAATACTAGGGGAAATATTCAAAAAATGACAATAGTGCCATTATTCCTCCTCCTCAAAGAGACTATCAGAACTAAAACTCTTTGCTTCATGTTCCTGTTTACTTCTGTCCCTTTCAAGTCACAGAGGTATTATCAGACTTTCATCATTATATGACTCTGCTTTTCCAACAGAATCAATTACCTATCCCTTATCTCACATCTTGATAGTGATAGATATTGAATGCTTATGTTCTGATTAGCAAACTCTTTTTGCATTTTTAGTAACAACTTGAACTCCTGATATGTCTGGAAAATATAACCCCTTCAACAGCCCTTTCAATGGGTTGCTACTATTTTGCTCACCCCATCTTCACCTGCCTAATCATGAGGAGGCGGGGTATATACAATTTCAGTTAATTTGTAGTTATCAGTCTATTATAGTTCTTTCCTTCTGAAAACCAACAAGTAAATAAACCAGCAAGCATCACCAATAAACTTTGACAGTTTATGGTTCATAACGTATGTCTACACCAAACTTTCCATTCAAATGCTTTTTCAAACCTTTGGTTTCTTTCTCTATTAAGACAACTTTTGCTTTTGGCTTTCAAAGACATTCTCTCCATTATAAACTCTGTCATTATTCTCTATTGTGCTTACCTCAAACTGGTAACTCTTTCAAATCTTACCTGTCAGTTTCTTGACCACCATGCATGTTAATAACATTTCTTCTCTATTTTAGACAGCAAATGTTTCTCAATATTTAAAAAAAAATATCCTACTCTTTGGTCCTCTCTACCTCCCATTTCATCCAATATCACTTGTTCGAGACCTGAACTCGTACAGGTTTTTAACCTGTTGAAGACTGTCACTCTATGGACTCTACTCTCTTCTCTCTCCTCCATAGCCTTCTCATTGCCTATCTTCCCTACTTGTCCAGGAAATGATGACATGTTTCATCACTATAATTAATCCATTTCAAATGGCCTTTATGCCAAATTATTTTATTATATGCTCTTTCTGTGCCATGCCTTGTTTTCCAAATTTACCACAGTACAAATTTTACAATTAGTTTTCCATTACTGAATTAGTACCAATCTCTGTCTTAAAAAATAAATACAGTAAAAAATGATAATGAATTTATTTCTTCTTATAATACTATCACTGGTGCATGATTAGAATAAATTAATCTTAAGATAATATAAGCATTTCTCCAAATGGTCTTCAAATTCATTGATTTTTTTGTGATTTCAATTTGCATATTTATTGTTCCTGTTGCAATTTTTTCAGATTTTTTAAGTATATGTATTAACTCAGAACACATAACTCTTATCACACATATTTTTCATGTAATTTATCTAAATCTCATAGAAAAGGGTCCATTTGCATTTTCTCTTATTAGACTCCTGATTTCAAATAATATATTACTTATGAGTATTTTTCTGTGCTGTAGTTATTCATTCTTATAGATATGTAACATAATTCCTTTTTCAAAGGTAAAAATTGAGCTATCTCTTGTTGAGGATTTGTTGATCTCTGTCTAAAGTTTCAAAAATAAAGAACTTTAAAAGCAAAATGTAAATTCCTTTCAAGTTTTAGTAAAATTACTTCAAACTTAGTAGCTTAAACAATACAGATTTATTATGTTACAGTTCTGTAAGACAGAAATCTGACTTGATCACACCATGTTAAAACGAAGATACTGCCAGGGTTGGTTTTTTCTTGGGGGTGGTCTGTGGGAAGAGTTCGTTTCCTTTGGTTTTCCACAGCCCAGAGGCTGCTTGCATTCCTTTAATCACTGTCCCTTCCTCCATTTTTGAAATGAGGAATGGAGTCAGGGTGACTATGGTTAGCAATATTGTATTGTATATTTCAAAATAGCTAGAAGAGAGGATTTTTGAATTCTCTCACCATAAAGATATCAAAGATGTATGAAGTGAAGAATATGTTGAATATCCTGATTCAATATTTAAACTATACATACACGTGTTGAAACATCACACTGTATCCCATAAATATGTACAATAATTATGTGTCATAAAACAAGATTTAAATTGTTTTAAAGGGCCAGCAATGGCAGTTTGTGAGTTCCCATCTCATCACTCTAACTTCTTCTGCCTCCTTCCACTTGTAAATGTCCTTCTGATTATTTTGGTCCCATCAGGATAATCCAGAATAACTTTCCTATCTTAATATCAACTGATGAACAACCTTAGTTTAGTCTACAATTTCAATTTTCCTTTGCCATGCAACTAACATATTCACAAATTCTGGGGACTAGAATGTGGACACCCGTTGTATTAGTTTGTCCTCACACTGCTAATAAAGACATAGCTGAGACTGGGTAATTTATAAAAGGAAGACGTTTAACTGACTTGTAGTTCCACATGGCTGGGGAGCCCTCAAAATCATGGTGGAAAGCGAATGAGAAGCAATGTCGCATCCCACGTGGTGGCAGGCAAGAGAGCTTGTGCAGGGGAACTCCCGTTTATAAAACCAGCAGATCTCGTGAAACTTATTTACTACCACAAGAACAGCATGGGATAAACCGTCCCCATGATTAAATTCTCTCTACCTGACCCCATTCTTCACATGGAATTATTACAATTCAAGGTGAGATTTGGGTGGGGATACAGCCAAATCACATCATTTGTGGAGAGCTGTGATTCTGCCTACCACAAGTAAGATGTACAAAGCATGGAAGGAGCTACAGCCAGAAACAATTATACCATTGGGAATTTCTAGCAGAATAAATAGCAGTTATTAACTGATAAGTTAATAGATTAAGTAAACCTAAATAATTGCCTTCATTAGCAGTGAGGCTTTTGATGGTCCATGTATCACAGATATTTAAACACAAATACATTTTTCTCATTTATTCCAATAACAAAAGTGTTTTTTGGTTTGTTTTGTTTTGTTTTTGAAAGTTTGGTATGAGAGAGAAAGAGATGAGCTGATTTGACTACTCCAGGCTAGAGGATATGTAGCTGAGAGTCTATGGCTGAGTGGAGGAAAAAAAAAAAAAAATCACAAGCCCTGTCCAGGATAACAGAGAGAGAAAGCTGTTTCTGTTGAGATTTGATGGCCCCCATCACACCAAATTTGGGCTTCTAGCTAGCCTCAGTTCTTCAGATAACTGACCTTCCTTCCTTCCTCCCTCTTGTAATAGTCTTTGTGTATTAGAAGTACCTTGAAATACTGGGTCAGAAAATGTGGCACAAAAGAGAAAAGCTTGCTCACTCCACATCTTGACCTGATCATTTCCTGAACATGATTGAGGTAGATGACTCTTTGCTCCTCTTTGGCTGACCTGCAGGAATAATACTGGGAATAAGCAAATCTCCTTTGGACTCCAGAGGGTGGTGGTCAGGAAGTGGGCCATTGAGAACCTAGGCAGAAATGCAGGCCAGATTATTGGAGTAGTTTGCTTTATAATGTTAAGATATTTATACACATGTTATGTGGGCCTCTATTTCCACTCTTATCTTAGAGCCCACATGTATTATGGAGGGCCTAGAATTGTTTCTGGAGTTTTTGGTATATACCTTTTTCAGAATAAAGTAAAAAATATTTATAGATAATTTAATTGTTCCCTATGTAGATTCCAGTGCCAAATTCCTTTCTTAGACACTTTTTCCAGTATAACATGTTAATATGTGACCCCTGCTTCACTTACAGATTTTTAGAGATCTATCCCAGGTTACTTAATTCAACTCCAAGACATACTTTTCTTTTAAATGCAGTGAATAAAGCGTCAGTTACTTAGTCACTCCGGTTTTATTTAATCCTACTGTCATCTGACAATATGGTACTGATACTATTTCCTATTTCTAGATGGTTGCTAGAAATATACTGTAATATTTATTCTTGATATATGTTTGTTACTTTAACGGGAATACATAGGCTATAAATAGTCCCCTTGCCTCTCACAAGTTAGACAGTCCTGCCCAGAATGCCCTGCTGAAGAGTTGTAGCAGATCACCCTGTTCCTCCTTAACCTCTCTGTTCCTCATATGCTCACCTATAAAATAGTGATCATAGTAACACCCATCTTGTGATGATGTAGAGAGGTTCAAAGAAGCGAATTAGGGGAGGCCAGGCATGGTGGCTTATGCCTCTAATTCCAGCACTTTGGGAGTCCAATCACTTGAAGTCAGGAATTCGAGACCAGCCTGGCCAACATGGTGAAACCCACTTCTACTAAAACAAACAAACAAACAAACAAAAAACAAACAAACAAACAAAAAACACAAAAATTAACTGGGCATTGTGGCAGTTGCTTCTAATCCCAGCTACTTGGTTGGCTGAGGCAGGAGAATCCGTTGGACCCAGGAGGCGGAGGTTGCAGTGAGCCGAGATCACACCACTGCACTCCAGCTTGGGTAACAGAGCAAGGTTTTGTCTCAAAAGAAAAAAAAAAAGAAACCAATTAGGGTGGAAACACTTAGAACAGGGTGTTCATAAGTTGTCACCCTCTTGAAGCAATTGTTGGACACTATTTTAAAAATGTTTTACTTCTGAGTGAAATGTTGCATTTTATTTTACTAGAAGATTCTTATGTAGTTTAAGTACATTTTACGGTATTGTCAAAGAGCATGAGCAAAATATTTAGGAAAGATGAGACCATATTTCTTTTATTTATGACATTGCCACAAAAAAATCAGGTAGATGAATTTGTATTAAGTTTTTGTACCAATTTCATATCTAAAATTTCAAAGAATTTTATTGCAACAAACTCTTTCTTACCATTAACTCAAAAAAATTCTGTTTTAAATTGACTTCATTCCATAAGTCTCTACACTACTAATTTGGCCAGAAGTTATTTTCAATCCTAATTGGGAACAACAAAGATCCACATGATATCCTTTCAATTTATGATGTTGAAGAAAGTTGAATTGTAATAATTTGAGTGTGCAGTCAAAGCAATTTTCAATACTATGTATCACTGTAGAAACAAGGGAGAATGTCTTGGTTAACTATTTAAGTGGCTTGAGTATGGCAATTAAAATTTCATCTAAGCTCATTTTGATGAATCTTGTAAGGTGACATTTATTTCTTAGGCTCTGAACATTGTAAGTTCTGTTGATTTTCATGGGAAGTTTTCAAGGTCATTTTCAGAGATCTATGACAAAATGACATTATTTGAGAAAAAAAAAAAAAAGAAGAAATAGCTCAAAGTTTAAAGCATTATGGTATTCCCTAAGCCCAAAATTTTCTCCTTTTACAGAAACAAATGAAATGCAAAATAGACAAACAAACAACCCATCAAAATACCTTGAATCACTGTTGGTGGGAATGAAAATTAGTTCGACCATTGTGGAAGACAGTGTGGAGACTCCTCATGGATCTAGAATCAGAAATCCCATGACCCAGTAGTCACATTACTTGGTATATACCCAAAGGAATATAAATCATTCTATTATGAAGACACATGCACACATATGTTTATTGCAGCACTATTTATTATAGCAAAGACATGGAACCAACTGAAATGCCCATCAGTGATAGACTAGATAAAGAAAATGTGGTACATATACACCATGGAATACTATGCAGCCATCTAAAGAACTAGATCATATCCTTTGTAGGAACATGGAAACCACCATCCTCATCAAACTAACACAGGAACAGAAAACCAAACACTGCATGTTCTCACTCATAAGTGAGAGTTGATCAACGAGAACACATTGACACAGGGAGGGGAACAACACACAGTGGGGCCTGTTGGGGCGTGGGGGGAAAGGGAAAGGAGAGCATTAGGACTGATACCTAATGCATGCAGATTAAAACCTAGATGACGGTTTGATAGGGGCAGCAAACCACCATGGCACATGTATACCTATGTAACAAACCTGCAAATTCTGCATATGTATCCCAGAAATTAAAGTAAAATAAAATAAAATAATAAAAACAACAACCAAATGTACCTTGAATCTCCAAAATAAGTTAACACAAATAGTTAAAATTGAGCATGCTTTTATTAGAAGAAGAAAATGTCATTGAAAATATAACAGATAATTTATAGGTGGGAACATACGTAAAAACGTATAACTACTTAGATCTGCTAGATAAAGTGAGTCCCAAATGATAAGGTTACAAAAATAATGTTTTTTTGTAGAATATGTGTTTTCAATGAGAAAGTGTTGCAAAAGTCAGTCATACAGATTGGTAACTTTTATGTTTATTTTTCAAAAGCAGCTCAAAATAGTTCTTTAGATTCTGTAACAACACGGTGTCCTAATTTTGCTCCTAAAATTTTGTCACAAAATTTTAAATTCACTTGCAAATTGATCTTCATTTAATCTTCCTCTAGGTGTGTAAGCTAAATCAGAGATCTGCATGAACTGCTTGTTACTCTTTCATGCTATACATCCTCCCTAGGTAATTTTGATCACTGCAATCTTTTCCATCATCATTTCTACTTGAAGACTAACTAATATAGGTAGAACAAATGTCAACTTCTAGATCTATATGCTTTCCAGATATCTCAAATAAAAGATAAAATTTGGGGAGATATACCATGTTCATGATTTTGAAATAGTCAAGACTGTGTGATATTGTCCTCAAGAAAGACTAAATAGATCAACAGAACAAAATAGAAAATACAAAAACAGATTTACACATATAGTTAATATCTTTTTTTTTAAATAGCAAGTCAATTCATCAGGGAAAGTATCAGCTTTGAAGAAATGGAAGACTTTTCAAAGCAAGAAATGTAAAACAGTTGGGTATTTATAAGCAATAGAAAACAAATTTGATTCATAGCTTGCAAAATATATAAACATTAGTAATAAGCCAACCTGCATGTATTGAAATCCTAGATATAAACATAAGATAAATCTTTGTGACCTTAGTTGAAACAAATAAGTGCTGTATATGACATTAAACATTTAATTTGTAAAATAAAATATTAACTTGAACTTCTTCAAAAGTGAAAATTTTTATTCTTTTTTAAAAATTATTATACTTTAAGTTCTGGGAAACATGTGCAGAACGTGTAGGTTTGTTACATAGGTATACACATGCCATGGTGGTTTGCTGCACCCTTCAACCCATCATCTATTTTAGGTATTTCTCCCAATGCTATCCCTCCCCAAGCCCCCCACCCCCTGGCAGGCCCCAGTGTGTGATGTTCCCTTCCCTGTGTCCATGTGTTCTCATTGTTCAGCTCCCAATTATGAGTGAGAACATGCGGTGTTTGGTTTTCTGTTCCTGTGTTAGTTTGCTGAGAATGATCATTTCCAGCTTTATCCATGTCCCTGCAAAGGACATGAACTCATCCTTTTTTATGGCTGCATAGTGTTCCATAGTGTATATGTGCCACATTTTCTTTATCCAGTCTATGATTGATGGGCATTTGTGTTGGTTCCAAGTCTTTGCTATTGTGAACAGTGCTGCAATAAACCTATGTGTGCATGTGTTTTTATACTAGAATGATTCATAATCCTTTTTCTATTTAGTAATGGGATTGCTGGGTCAAACGGTATTTCTAGTTCTAGATCCTTGAAGAATCACCACACTGTCTTCCACAATGGTTGAACTAATTTACACTTTCACCAACAGTGTAAAAGTGTTCCTATTTCTCCACATCCTCTCCAGCATCTGTTGTTTTCTGACTTTTTAATGTTCACCATTCTAACCAGAGTGAGATGGTATCTCATTGTGGTTTTGATTTGCATTTCCCTAATGACGAATGATGATGAGCTTTTTTTTTCACATGTTTTTTGGCCGCATAAATGTCTTTTTTTGAGAAGTGTCTGTTCATATCCTTTGACCACTTTTCGATGGGGTTGTTTGTATTTTTTCTTGCAAATTTGTTTAAGTCCTTTGTAGATTCTGGATATTAGCCCTTTGTCAGATGGATAGATTGCAAAATTTTCTCCCATTCTGTAGGTTGCCTGTTCACTCTGATGATAGTTTATTTTGCTGTGCAGAAGCTCTTTAGTTTAATTAGATCCCATTCATCAATTTTGGCTTTTGTTGCCAATGCATTTGTTGTTGTATTCATGAAGTTTTTGTCCATGCCTATGTCCTGAATGGTGTTGCCTAGGTGTTCTGCTAAGGTTTTTATAGTTTTAGGTCTTATGTTTAAGTCTTTAATCTATCTTGAGTTAATTTCTATATAAGATATAAGGAAGGGATCCAGTTTCAGTTTTCCACTACCCAGTTTTCCCAGCACCATTTATTAAATAGGGAATCCTTTCCCCATTGCTTGTTTTTGTCAGGTTTGTCAAAGATCAGATGGCTGTAGATGTGTGGCATTATTTCTTAGGCCTCTGTTCTGTTCTGTTGGTCTACATAACTGTTTTGGTACCAGTACCATGCTGTTTTGGTTACTGTAGCCTTGCAGTATATTTTAAAGTCAGGTCACATGATACCTCCAGCTTTGTTCTTTTTGCTTAGGATTGTCTTGGCTATACAACCTCTTTTTTGGTTTCGTATGAAATTTAAAGTAGGTTTTTCTAATTCTGTGAAGAAAGTCAATGGTAGCTTGATGGGGATAGCATTGAATTTATAAATTACTTCAGCAGTATGGACATTTTCATATTGATTCTTCCTATCCATGAGCATGGAATAATTTGCCATTTGTTTGTGTCCTCTCCTATTTCCTTGAACAGTGGTTTGTAGTTCTCCTTGAGGAGATCCTTCACATCCCTTGTAAGTTGTTTTCCTAGGTATTTTATTCTCTTTGTAGCAATTGTGAATGGGAGTTCACTCATGATTTGGCTCCCTGTTTGTCTGTTATTGTTGTATAGGAATGCTTGTTATTTTTGCATATTGATTTTGAATCCTGAGATTTTGCTGAAGTTGCTTATCAGCTTAAGATTTTGGGCTGAGACGATGGGGTTTTCTAAATATAAAATCTTGTCATCTGCAAACAGAGACAATTTGACTTCCTCTCTTCCTGTTTGAATACCCTTTATTGCTTTCTCTTGCCTGATTGCCTTGGCTAGAACTTTCAATACTATGCTTAATAGGAATGGAAAAGGGCATTTAAAAATAATTTTTTAAAAAGCTATGAACTGAGAAAACATTTGAATAGCATATATCTTATTGGCCAAGAAAGGTTTATCTCATCAGGACTAATGTTTGTCTTTAGAACTGGCACTTGGCTGGCTTTTGGAAGATAATCTGTGGGCCCTTAATATATTCTGCCTGATGACAGTGTTTCTATACATCTTTGGCTTTAGAGTACAGTGCACAAGTGGTTTTCAGCGTCTGAGGCCTTGGACCATGCTGTGCTCATTTGAACAGTTAAGCTTATCCTAACAATATAATTTAGAGTCAATGGCTATATTTGATCTGACAGATGCTGTAGTCTGAGTAGCTGAAATCACTCATATAGGCACCACCTTACATGACTGATGCCCAGTAAAAGCCCTGGAGACCAAAACTTAAATGAGCTTCTCTGATTGACAACACTTCAATATGCTGTCAAATATTGTTGCTGGGAGAATTACATGTGTTCTTGTGGGATTCCACTGGGAGAGGACACCTGAAAGCTTGTACCTGATATCTTCTACATTTCTCCCCATAGGTTTTTTTTCTTTGTTGATTTTAATCTGTATCTTTTCATTGTAGTAAACTGTAACTATGAATGTAACATGTTTTCTAAGACCTGTGAATCATTATAGTTAATCTTTGAGCCTAAGGGTGGTCATAAGGAGCCCCAACACACTAATAAATTACTTTCATAAAGAATATATAAAAGCTGTCAAAAATCAAAAATAAAACAAATCACCCAATTTTCTAAAAGGCAAAAGATTGAAAAAGACGTCATGATAGAAGACATGGATGACAAATAAGTATATCAAAAAATTTTAACATCTGTAATCATTAAAGAATTGAAAACCACAAAGAAATACTACTGATAGTTATTACAATGTCCAAAGTGAAAAAAAATATTGACCCTACCAGGTATAGGCAAGAAAATGGAGGAACTGAAACTTTAATATACTTTTGATTGACAACCAGTTTGTAAAATAGATTGACAGCTTCTTTAAAAAGTAAACCTATGCTTACCACTTAATCTAGTCATTTATCTTCTAGATATTTCCCCCTCGAAAAATGAAAAAGAAATTGTTGTATATAAATGTTCATAGGCATTTTCTCTTTAATAGCTAAAACGTGGTCATGACCCACATATTCATTAACAAGTAATTGGTGATATATACGTACAGAAAAATTCTGCTCAGCAATAAAAAGGTTCGACTACTGACACATGCAACAACATGAATGAATTTCAAAAGAATTTTGCTGTAAAGCAAAAATGCCAGCCAAAAAATAGTGCACCTTATATGATTCCATTTATATAAAACTTCTGGATGCACCAATATACAATATACAGTAACATACAATACTGAAAGATGGTCAGCAGTTGTCTAGCTAAGATGCTTATTAGGAGAGACAATAATTGCAAAAGGGGATTATTAAAAGTAGTCATGAGGAAACATTTTGTGGATTTATATGTTCACTATCTTGACAATAATGATGATCTCATGGATGTATAAATATGTCAGAGCATATCTAATAATTTATCTTACATATTTTTGGCTTTTAATATGTTAATTATAGCTCAATAAATTTCTTAAAAACTCATTGGACTCTATCTGTAATGTGTGTATGTTTAGTTTTAAGTAAAGTGCAGCTAAATTTTTCTCCACCATTACAATTTTCAAACATACTTTCACTTACAGAATAGCATACTGAAAATTAACACATGCTTTTATAATTATAAATAAAATAGTAATATATCTTTTCTGCTGAAATAAATGCAAACCAATTACAAGGAATTTATTAGTTTTTATTTTAGTTACTTCATATATATTAGCACCTAAGCCTCAAAGATTCACTATGTAATTGTGTAAATTAGTAGTAGGGTTACCTGAATCTGGCTTAATAATCAATTAATCAGTATTTATCTTTAAACATTTTTTCCTTTATGAATTGTGTCACACTTTTAAAGAGCCCTTCCTACATTACAAGCATATATAAAATATATATTTTTTTTTTTTTTTTTTTTTTTTTTTTTTGAGACGGAGTCTCGCTCTGTCGCCCAGGCCGGACTGCGGACTGCAGTGGCGCAATCTCGGCTCACTGCAAGCTCCGCCTCCCGGGTTCACGCCATTCTCCTGCCTCAGCCTCCCGAGTAGCTGGGACTACAGGCGCCCGCCACCGCGCCCGGCTAATTTTTTGTATTTTTAGTAGAGACGGGGTTTCACCGTGTTAGCCAGGATGGTCTCGATCTCCTGACCTCGTGATCCACCCGCCTCGGCCTCCCAAAGTGCTGGGATTACAGGCGTGAGCCACCGCGCCCGGCCATAAAATATATTCTTATACTATTTTAGAATAATTTCAGAAGTTAGATTGTTTTCTAGTTTTTAGTGTTTTCATTGATACCAAATTTATTTTTATGTACATAAATGTATGATTTTAAGTTAGATTATTTCAAACTCGTATCCCTGCAATTATCTGAACAAAATTTTTAAGTAGTCACATTGACTTTTTTTTCAAAAGTTAGTTTTAAGCTATTTGATAACATATGGATATACTTCACTAAAGTTGTATTTTTGTGTGTAATTCTTTAATCCATCTGGAGATATTTTGGTTGTTTTTCGATCAGATAGCCAGTTAAACCAGAAAGAAAAATCTTACCAAAAAGTTTCCACTTAGAAAATTTAATAGCCAAAAAAACTAATATATGCAAGAATGAACAAAAACATATTGATAAAACTTATACATCATATTTTTATTGAAATATTTCATAATGAAATGTTTCACATGGTTAAAGAACTACAAATTCATCCAATGTAAATAAAAACTTCATGGGAAATGTATAATATATGAGGGATTATTTGATATCTGAAAAAATTAGATAGAAAATAAATGCTTAAAAACTTCTAGAAGGTAATCCAGTAGAATATTTATCAGCTTAGGCTAACAAATGATATAAACATGATTAAAGAAGAGCTAAACTTAAATAAAAATATTAAGTTGATGACAAGTGTAAAACACCATTCTTCAAAATATGCAATTACAAATAGGAAAGCGCTAATAGGAGAAAAAATAAAATGTTTATAATGCAAAAAGTATTAACATTCAAAACTGTTGATAATATAAAGAAAGATATTATAAGGAAAAGTATTCCAGTAGTAGAGTAGCCTAAATATAAGGCAATTCGAAGAAAGAAAAGAGGAATCATGAATAGGTTTATCAATCCTGATTCCATCTTACCAGTGATTAGACTGGTAAATAAGAAAATGTGTGATAATACCAAGGGTAATAAAGATATATTTCATTTACATTTACAGTGCTGGTAAACATACACTGTACAACCACTTTGGAGAAAACTTGGAAGTACCTAAAATGTGAAAATGTACAGTTGCTCTTGATCCAGCAAGGGTACCTCTGAGTATATATTGTGGAAAAATTCTCACACATGCATACACAGTGAAACATGTAAGAGTGCTTATAGCAGCATTGTTGGGATTTTCTTTAAACCCTAGATTTGACCTATATATCTATCAGTAGAGAATCAAAATAAAATTCAAGCTATTGTTATACAGTGGGATATAGTACATCACTGATAATTAATACAAATTAATATTACGAACCACTCAAGTTTGAATCAAATATTAGGTCATGGTATAATGAAATTATAAAACTATTTAGAGTTAAAAACAGGCAAAAATGTCACATTTATTTTAGAATTCATAATTGAATAGTAGAAGAAAGTAAAAATGCATAGGAATCATCAACATGAAACACAGGAAAAATAAATGAAACATAGGCAGGTGATTGCCTGCAGAGCAAGAAAGTAGAGTTTATTAAGGAGGGCAGTATGAGAACTATTTAAGATATTTTAGGATAAGAAGCGGTTTTGTGAATTTGAATTCATTATATAACACTTTCTATTTTGTTTTGTTATTCATCATTTAACATTTTTTAAAAAATATAAAGAATTCTCATAAGTATTTTTAAACTAGAAGACAAATAAGTGGAATGAAACATCTAAATGTCAAATTTTGGTGTGTATGTCCTATTAATTTCTAAGCAGGGACACCTGGCAAGCAGAAATAACTCTGAGGACATGTGGGATTTTGAATTTTTTGACACCTCTGTAAAGTTATTTGGCAAGCAATAATAATAGCTACCACTTATTTATCAAGTGTTTACTAATGTACTAAGCATTGGCATATATGGTTTATTACTTCTATCCTATTTAGTATTCAAATCAATATGATGTCTATTTTTTGTTCTGTTTTAAAAATAAAGAAGCTAACATGTCCAAGCCACATATTTAGTAAGTATTGGAACTACATCAAAACAAGAAAGAAACATTTCAATGGTTTATCCTACTGTCTACTTCCTAAAGGAAAATTATAAATTTGCAGTAACTGATCCAAATACATTTCCAGAGTTACTTTAGCTTTCACAGTGTTGGCCAGCACAATGTGTTTTTGTTTGTTTGTTTGCTTGCTTCCTTGTTTTTTAAGAACATTCCCATAGTTGACTATTTCAATATTTAATTCTCCAATCTTGTATTTTGGGTTTCTCTTGATAAACATCAAAAAAGGTGGAGGCAGTTTACACTGAATAGACTTAAGAAGCTGACCTTTACAAGAAAGTTCAGATGCTTCATTTTACCACAATTTCTCCACTGCTTAGTTTTATTACACCTAGTCCATATCACGCATTTGGGTTACTTGCCTGGCTCATCTATGACAGAAAAGAAGGAAAGGAGAAAGGAAGCAAAAGAGAATAAAGAACCTAAATAAGTGCTATTCATCTATTCAGAGCTGTTTCAAAAAATTAAGTAAATGTTTTCTTCAGTATTCTCAGTCAAATCTTGCTTCATACTTATTATAAATACCCTGAAGGAGTCATACCAATGTGTTCTCTGTAAATGCCATGAACAACACTTTGTTTTTGTATAACGGTTTTCATGACTATTGTATTAATAGCACATTTAATAATATTTCAATAGGTCAAAATTATGTCATATGTTTTCTTACAAATTTTTGTCATTTTTTAGAATTAATGCTACAGCCCAGAAGATAAATATTATTATGAAAGCTTGTTTGTAAAAAATTTCAGTAATTTTATATCTTTTTGGTAAGATTAATGGCTTCTATTGTATATATTTACAATGGATATCAATGTTGATATTGAGTTATCCAATCTAATATTTTAATAGCTCCAGCTTGAACTATGAATGGTAGATGACTGTGTTCTGTACGTATACCAATATGAGTATTTTTCTATGTTAAAGATTTTACTAGAATCCTTAAATAAACCATAATCATCTAATATGATTTTCTGCTGGAATTTATATAATTTATTATCATAAAATATATTGAATTGCTCAGATAAAAATTTTAATTTCTATAAATCTTAATATATAAAAATATGGTCTTCTTCAACAAATTGACATTCCAAATTGGTTTAGAATATCCTTAAATAATTATAGTTTTATTTTCAAATAAGTTAATTTTACAAATTGTTATCATTTTTAACTTAACTTTTGTGTTTTGTTTTTTGTTTGTATTTATGTCTTCCCCAAATGTCCTCTTTTTAATGCAAATGTAGAGAAGGCAGACACCTAGAATTCCATCCTAGAATTAAGACGTGACAATTAACTTTGATTTTGTAAATGCATTGTATGCTGACCTAATAGAAGATGAAAAGTGGAAAAATTTGCACAATGAGTTCAAGAACTCTGAGGAAAAGTATTCAAAGAGTCTAGTTAAGAAAACCTTATTAAGTGGAAATTTCATACCAGACAAGGCTGCACAGCTTGGAAAAGCCCTGCACTTAAAATTAACTTCAGCCGGTGATGTGCTGAGGCTCTTGACTCAAGTACAGGCACACGGGCTGGCTATGATTTGGAGAAACATGGTAAGTCATATGAATGTTAGTTGATAACTAATTTTATTGTTCATGTGCGGAGGACATAGGGTCAAATGTGCCCCAAGAGGACCTCGAGAAAATATATGTGGGTCTGGATACAGACCTCATGTGACAAAAAGAAGCAATAACCGGGAAAGACTGATTCTCTCTGCTTATCATTTAGAACAATCAAAATAACTTTGAAATGAAAAAAACTCTAGGAGTTTTGAAATTATTAAACTGGCATGTACATATTAAAAGGGAACAAATAAGGAATTTACTACTAATAGGGCATGGGGGAAAGCAGACCCAAAGTTCTAATTAATATTTTAAAATGATGGTATCCATTTTCCGGTTTTAAGGTAAGTCCATACTGCTGAAAATTGCTCTATGTTTCTTATCAAATTTATCTATATCAGCATTTATTTTACTTCTAAATTTAATTACAATTTTTAAATTCCATTAAAAAAGTTATCTCACATTTAACTATTTGTTACCTTTCCTTCTCATCTTACAATATTACTTCTCTACCTGTCAAACTATATACAGTCCAGTTCCTATTCCAATTATGGCTATAATTGCGGTACAATTAATCAATTAATTAACAAAGCATAGCAAAAAATCAAAAGAACTTTAAAAAATTATGTATAATTGTGATCAATATGATGTTTTTAAATATGTTCAACTATTTATACTATTTTCCTTCTCAAAGAATCATCAGAATGCTGAACACATAAAATAAACATTGAATAAATTAAAAATAATTTTTCATTCTAAACAATCTAATTTAAGTATAGTTCCTATTTAGACTTAACCATAACACTTTGAAAAACTTGAAAGAATTCACTGATTTTTTATAAAATTTAAAATTAATACATATTACACAATTTGTAATATGTATTTTTACTTTGAACACAAGGGCATTTTAAATTGAGCTTCTTTGAAATATAATTCACATATAAAAATTTCAGAAAATTTTAAGGACCTTTTTCTTTTTACTAATGCTTTGATTAGGATTTCAGTCTGCATACGAATTTGTCATGATTTTAGCTGAAACTATTTAAATAGATCGCCGCCGGGAAAAAAGGCGGGAGAAGCCCCGGCAGGTTTGAAGCTGCTTCTTCGAATTTGCAATTCAATATGAAAATCACCTCAGAGCTGGTAAAAAGAGGCTTAACCCCTGTCTTTAGATTTACAGTCCAATGCTTCACTCAGCCATTTTACCTCACCAGATCAATACCTTTCCTTATCTCTCAATGTCATTAGATATATACATTTTAATCTTAATTTATAGAACAAATATACATATCTTTTTCTGATTATGTGCCTCTAAGTTTGGTAAAAAGTTCTTGATGCAACCAGTGGACTCAACACTTCTCCTTACTTTGCATTTATAATAATAGGCTTATAGCAGTTTTTTCTCCAAATTAAAGTATAAATATTTAATTTTTACTTTTAATTTTTAAACGTTACTCAATATTATGTTTATAAAATGACTTCTGGAAAAACATGTCTATTTTCTATCATTTATTATGTCATAATTGAGAGAAGCAAGAACCCAAATTCATTTAATTATAACACATAAAACTGAATAAATATAGATGACAGATATGTGTTCTTTGTTTTTACATATCTGTTGTAAACCATATTACTCAGATTATCTCACTTCTTTCAACTTTTCTAATAAAAGCAATTACCATACCTATGTGGAATGTATTTTAATAGTAATTCGTTTTAATAAAAGTTATATATTTTTAGGAGGTCAAAATAGCAATTTCAATTTATGAAATGTTGACTTTTTAATCTTATTGACATATTTTCTGGAGGCAAATTGTAGAACTATTTGAATAGCAACAGAAATTTCCAGTGGAGAGACAGTCAGATACGAAACTTCCGTGAGAAAACTGTATTTATCAGTGACTGAAAATCCTTGGATTAGGACCTAACTCCCACCTACTTGTTCTTGTAGATACTCTGTCTAAATACAGATATAGATAGATACAGATACAGATATAGACATAGACATAGATACAAGTACAGTTACATAGAAAAATGAAATAATATTATAAGATATCCTGAAATATATATAATATGTTAGTTCCTAACATTGTTTTAAAAGTTACTTGTTTAACCAATCAAAGAAGAAACAACTTAAACAGACTTTACAAAAATTCATCAGATTTAATAAAGTTGTCTATTCGAAGATAGGGACTTTTTTCTTTTTTAAAAATTAAATGAGAAAGCAACTATTGGCAAATTCAAATTCCTTTCTTATCAAAATATATATTTTGAATTTTTATTGTTTAAAACAATATAGAATTTGAATTAATAGCTTAGTAAGGAAATGTCTTTCCTCAAGACTACAATGTGCTATCTTGCATACAAAATTACCAAATAAACACAGTGGCTGCTGATAAATTTTTACCTAATTATTCAATATGTTTCCCTTGAAAAATGAATGATTAAATGAATTAAACAACAGTTAAACAATTAGATTCAGTATGAATATTATGTGCATACTGTACATACTTTTGTATTTTCAAGGTCAATCATTGCATAGAAAGAAATTAATTTTTTTAAGAAGTTAAAAATATAGTACTTAATCTTGAATAAATTTGTTAACAACTAGGGCACATTAAAATATGCCTGAAAGGTAGTAAAATTACATTTTAACATTTATACAAGAGGTTGTCTAGAATATTACAAAAGAAAAATAACCTAAAAATAAAAACTTTCCCAAAACAAAGACTCAAAAGCAGCCCAAAACTGTTACAACAATAAAAATAATGCTACAATATTTGTTTCTATTTTAATTGAAAAAAGGAAAGGCAGATTTAGTTATTACTCTAAATAGATACTTTATTGTTGATTTTTCTAGATTTAATAGATTCAATAGTTTGAACTTAAAACCGTATTTCTCAATTTTACTCTAATTTTCTAACCTCAAACTTAAAACACATCATTTCCCTCTTTACTTTCCCACCAACCACACACACTAGCCACGTCATTCTATTTGTATTTACCTCATTCTTTTTCACATACTCTTTGTGTGTGATTCTGCTTTACCATTTTTTAGAATATCTTTTCTCAATTTTTCACCTATGTTAAATATTGTTTTAATATATAGCGTATTAATAGAAAAGCTAAGGTATAGTAAAGCAAACAGATCAGAAGACAATTGCCATTGAAAAGATACTCACAATTTCCAAGAGAAGGGAGCATGTCACACCAGGGGAGACTACAGGGAAGAACTCAGGTCCATCAGGAAACAGAGAGAGGGAGGAATTCAGGAGCAAGACCCTAGACTGTGGTGTTTGCAGGAAGAAACCAAGCAGGGTAAACAAGCTTAGGACTGGCTCATTTGAATAATTTCAGTGGGCTCTGGGGCATAAGAGCTGTCTCTGGTTCTCTGGTTTTTGGCCCTAGCGTGATTAGGACAGAAGCACAGTGGCCTGGAGTGTGACAGCCCTATAGAGTATGAGTTTGGGAATTGGTTAGTTTGTATTTGTAAAGCCCATCTTCATGAGGAGTTCAGGGGAGACTTCGTAGCCAGAAGCTGAGGCAAGGTGACTCCAGCATACTATCCATCTTCAAGAACAAGATGTGTCTGAATTGCTGTATGTTATAAAGTTTCGATGTCTAATAGAGTAAATCTTTCATCCTGTTGGTTCTCTTTGATTTAATTTGCTTTTTTCTCTCTCTCTCTAAGTCCTGTTCTCGGAATAATCCAATCTGATATGTGTGTCACTATTCCAAGGAATGAGTAAATCACACTTTATTTTTCTGCTTCTTGTGAACATTAATTTGTTCAGTTTTCTGAAATTTTAAATGCTATTGTGATTTTTTTAAATTGACAATGCTACTTTGCTTATTGTGTACTTGTCACCAGAAATGCAAGAGCTAAGATGTCTCTGGAAATGGAATTCCTGGGTCACAGGGTTGGCACATGATCAACATTATTAGATAATGTTAAATTGTTGTACAATGTAATCACATTAATTTGTATGCCAATAGTAGTATATAAAAGTTTGAATTGCCCTACATCCAAACTCACACAAAAATAAATGCAGTCTAAAAATTTATAATGTGATGTATATGAAATTACATTTTGGGCTGGGCGCAGTGGTTCGTGCCTGTAATCCCAACACTTTGGGAGGCCAAGGTGGGCGGATCAACAGAGGTCAGGAGTTCAAGACCAGCCTGGCCAACATGGGGAAACCCCTTCTCTACTAAAAATACAAAAATTAGCTGGGTGTGGTGGTGCGTGCCTGTAATCCCAGCTACTTGAGAGGCTGAGGCAGGAGAATAGCTTGAATCCAGGAGGTGGATGTTGCAATGAGCTGAGATCATGCCACTGCACTCCAGCCTGAGTGACAGAGTGAGACTCCCTCTCAAAAAAAAAAAAAAAAGAAATTGTATTTTGTTGTTTTATAGTTTTAATTTGAATTAATAATAAGCTTTGGTACCATTTCATATATTTTAACTTTTTTATTATTTAAAAAGTCTGCTTATGTATTTTCCTATTTTAATTTTTATGTCTTTTTCTAAATCCTTAACAGAGATTAATTGTATCGTGAATTTTACTAGATTGTTATGTACTTGCAAATGTTGCCATGCTCTTTATGATGATTTTTCATTTTACCAATGGTGATTTAGAAGGAACAGATACTCTTGATATGAGTGGGACCAAACTTACAAATCATCTTGCTCCAGTCAGTTTTTGTGCTGGTTTGAAAATTTTTTTCATACTCTGAGATTCAGGCTAAATTGCTTTTAAAATTTTAAAGCTTTGTGTTTCAAATTTATATTCTTGATGAGATGTATAGAGTGAGAATGAGATACATTGTCTTTTTATTATAAACAATCTTGCTTTAGTAGCTACTGAAGTTTACTTTTGAAATTGTATTTCTTAAATATTTCTGTTAATTATAGAAAATTGATTTTGTATTCTATTTTATATCCATTAACTTTGCTCATTTAGTAATTCTAATCATCCTAGGCATTCTTCACAATGCATTGTAAGATAATGTATACATTTCATAGGATGACAATTTTTAGGTACACTTAATGGGATGGGACTATAGATTATTGGGATTTTCTTTAATAATAGTTTAATAATAGTTTAAAATTGGTAAACTATTTTTAAGGGGAAGTTGTTAACAATCACTTTCTACAATATGTGACTCTCTCTTCAAAGAGTAAATCAGAGACAAATCTTTTTTTTCAAATTTCTTTTTTTGAAAATCAATAATAATGACCCTATTTTTTAGTTTGAATGGATTCTCATTAATTTAAAATGCAAATATTTTGGACTAAATGTTTGTGTCCCTCCCACCCCAAATTTAAATTTTGAAGCCCTAATCCCCAGTATTATGGTTTTGGAGATGTGGGCCTTTGGAGGTCAAAAGGTTGAGATGAAACCATGAGGATGGAGTCCTCATGATGGAATTAGTGAATTTATTATAAAAGACACAGAAGAGCACTTTCTTGTACACTTCCTTTGTCTCTGTCTCTCTGTGTGTTTCTCTATCTCTCTTCCCTGTGGGAACACAACAAAAGGTATCTGTGTGACAAGCATGAAGAATACCCTCAGCAGAAACTGACTATGTGTATGCTGATCGTGTACTTCTTAGCCTCCAAACTATGTGGAAAAAAATTTGTTGTATAAGACACCAAGTTTATTGCATTTTGTTACGGCAGCCTGAGCAGTCTAACAAGAAAGCAATAAAAAGTATAAGTAATTAAGATGAAACTAAATTTATCATCCAAATTCTCACCATAAAGAAATAACCATTTTCAAAATATGTAGAACAAGATTTCACATATTTTCCTAAAGTTTATGGACAGAGATAATTGATAAAGATTTTATACAAATTGACTATTAAGAAACGATTGTATTTAATTATAACAGAAGATAAAAATAATTTTGTATAGAGAAACTGATTAACGTTTATGCATATTTGTTCCTAAAGTACATTCAAAGTTAAGAGAACAGATTATAAAATCATAAGTTAGAGTTCTTATAGTATAGGTTTCTTACAAGAAGGGAAGAAAGCAAAATAAATTTAACACAACTAAAGCAGATCTTGCAGAATGTGATTTATATATGGACATGAGTCAGCTTCCTAAACTTGAATCTCAGTGTTATATAGATGAACCCACTCAGACAGAAACAACGTTGAACTAGAACAGAACTCCTTTGACAGGCAATGCACATGTTTTTAGGAGAGCAGACTGTAAGCTTTCTCTGAGCCTCCGAGAGGCAGAAGGTAAGAATGATTCTGGGTTATGCATCCTCAAGTTTTTGTTTAAACTCTCTGAATAAGTACCTCATTCCATTTTGCTGGGGCAAAGTGAGTGGATGGGGAAAGCAGGCCAAGGGCATTATGTGAATGGGTCACTTCAAAGGGAAAAACATATCTGAAACATGGTAGAAGCACCCCATAACTACTTTTTCATGCCTTTGGCCTATTGGACTTAACCATTATAGCAATGATGACTCAAAAACTACACTAAAGCAGTGTTAAGAGGAAAATTGATGGTGCTAAATGCATTCATCAGGGGGACAAAAAGTTCTCAAGTTAATGACCTAACGTAGCAACTAGGGGAATTAGAAAAAAAGCAACAGAAAAGACCCAACCCCAAAGCTAGTAGAAGAAAAAAAAAACTGAAGTCAGAGAACTGAAAAAAAATTGTTATCTAAAAGTCCACACAAAAGATGAAGCCAAGAGTTTTTTTTAATAAACAATACTGATAGATCATTAGCTAGATTAGCAAAGAAAAAGAGAAGATCCAAATAAGTATAATCAGAAATTATAAAGATTATGTTAAAATTGATCCCATGAAAATACAAAAGATATGCAGAGACTATTATGAGCACCTCTCTGCACACAAATCTAGAGGAAATGAATAAATTCCTGGAAACACACATTCTCCCAAGATTGAATCAGGAAGAAAGTGAAAACCTGAACGGACCAATAGGAAGTTTGGAAATGGAATTAGTAATAAAAAACCTACGAAAATAAAATAAAATAAAATAAAAGCCCCGTAACAGATGGATTCACAGCTGAGTTCTATCAGATGTGCAAGGGAGAAATGATACCAATCCTACTAAAATGTCTCCAAAAAATCAAGCAGGAGGGGCTTCTACCTAACTCATACTACAAAGCCAGCATTACCCTGTTACCAAATCTGGCATAGACCACGGAAAAAGAAAAGAGAAAACTGCAGATCAATATCTCTGATGAAAATACAAGCAAAAATTGTCAAACCAAATCCAGCAGCACATCAAAAAGTTCATTCACTATGACCAAGTAGGGTTTATTCCTGGGATATAAAGTTGATTCAACATATGCAAATTGATAAATGTGATTCACCACATAAACAGAATCAAAAACAAAAAACACAGGATCATCTCAATAGATACAGAACAAGCCATCAATAAAATTCAACATTCCAGCCAGGCGCGGTGGCACACGCCTGTAATCCCAGCACTTCGGGAGGCCGAGACGGGCGGATCATGAGGTCAGGAGATCGAGACCACGGTGAAACCCCGTCTCTACTAAAAATACAAAAAATTAGCCGGGCATGGTGGCGGGCGCCTGTAGTCCCAGCTACTCGGGAGGCTGAGGCAGGAGAATGGCGTGAACCTGGGAGGTGGAGCTTGCAGTGAGCTGAGATCTCACCACTGCACTCCAGCCTGGGCAACAGAGTGAGACTCCATCTCAAAAATAAATAAATAAATAAATAAATAAATGAAATTCAACATTCCTTTTATGATAAAAACCCTCAACAGATTAGGCATTAAAGGAACATACCTCAAAATAATAAAACTATCTATGACAAACCCACAGTCGCCGTCAAACTGAACAGCAAAAGCTGGAACCACACCCCTGGAGAACTGAGACACAACACGGATGCCCACTTTTACCACTTCTATTCAGCATAGCACTGAAAGTCCTAGTGAGAGCAAACAGGCAAGAGAAAGAAACAAAAGCCATCCAAATAGGAAAAGAAATTAAACAATCTCTCTTTGCCAATGTTGTGATTCTACACATAGAAAATCCTAAAGTCTCCATCAGAAGGCTCTTTGAACTGACAAGTGAATTCAGTAAAGTTTCAAGAAATAAAAACATTGTAGGAAAATAAGTAGCATTTTTACGAACCAAAATCATTGCAGCTAATAACCAAATCAAGAACACAATCCAATTTACAATAGCCACAAAGAAAATGAAATACCTAGGAATTCATCCAACCAAGGGGGTCAAAGACCACTACAAGGAGAAGTACAAGACACTGTTGAAAGAAATCAGAGATGACACATAAATGGAAAAATATCCATGCGCATGGATTGGAAGAATCAATATTGTTAAAATGGATATACTGCCTAAAGCAATTTACAGATTCAATGCTATTCCTATCAAAATACCAATGTCATTTTTTAAATAATTAGAATGAAACCTATTATAAAATTCATCTGGAACCACAAAAGAGCTTGAATAGCCAAAGCAATCCTAAGCAAAAAGAAAAGCCAGAGGTATCGCATTGCCAGACTTCAAACTGTACTATAAGGCTACAGTGATCAAAACAGCATGGTACTGATACAAAAACAGACACACAGGCCAGTGGAAGAGAATACAGCACCCAGAACTAAATTTGCCCACCTACAACTATGTGACCTTTGAAGAAGCTGACAAACACAAGCAATGGAAAAAAAATCCCTATTCAAAAAATTGTGCTGTGGTAATTGGCTAACCATATACAGAAGATTGAAATTGGACCCGTGCCTCTCAACATAGATGAAAATTAACTCAAGATAGATTAAAGATTTATGAGTAAGACCTAAAACTCTAATAATACTGGAAGAAAATCTAAGAAGTACCCTTTTTGATATAGGCTTTGGCAAATGGATGACTGAGTTCCCAAAAGCACTTGCAACAAAAACAAAAATTGACAGGTGGGATCTAATTAAACTAAAGAGCTTCTGCCTACCAAAGGAAACTATCAACAGAGTAAACAGACAACTTAAAGAATGGGAGAAAATATTTGCAAACTATGCTTCTGATAAAGGTCTAATATCCAGCATCTGTAAGGAATTTAAACAAATCTACAAGCAAAAAACCCAAAAAATCCACCTAAAAAATGGGCAAAGGACATGAACAGATATTTATCAAAAGGTGACGTAACAAGCAGACAAGAAACATTAAAAATTGCTGAACTTCACTAATCATCACATAAATTCAAATGCAAAAACCACAATGAAATACCGTCTCACACCAGTCAGAATGGCAATTATTAAAACTTACAAAAAACAACAGATGTTGAGAAGTCTGTGGAGAAATGGGAAGGCTTATACATTGTAGGTGGGAATGCAAACTAGTTCAGCCACTGTGGAGAGAAGTTTGGAGATTCTTCAAACAACTTAAAATAGAACTACCATTTGACCCAGCAATCCCACTATTGAGTATATATACCCAAGGGAAAATAAATTATTTTATCTAAGAGACACATGCACCCGTATGTTCATTGCAGCACTATTCACAATACCAAAGCAATAGAATTAACCTAGGTGTCCATCAATAGAGAATTGGGTAAAGAAAATATGGTATGTATACATCACAAAAAACAATGCAGCCATAAAAATGAACAAAGTCATGTTCTTTGTGGCAACATGAATGGAGCTGGAGACCATTATCCTAAGTGACCTCATAGAAGAACAGAAAGCCACATACCACATCTTCTCACTTATAGATGGTAGCTAAACATTGAATACACATGTTAAGATGGGAACAATAGACATTGGGGACCACTAGATTGGGGAGGAAAGGTAGGGGTTGTGGGCTGAAGAACTACCTGTTGGGTACTGTGTTTACTGCCTGGGTGGTAGGATCACTGGGACTCCAAGCCTCAGCATCACACAATTACTCATGTAACAGTCTTTCATTAACCTATAATAAAAGTTGAAATTAATTAAAAAAAACAAAACAACTACACTGTTTCATTGCTCTAGATTTCTTTTTGTCTCCATTTAATTATGGAGAGACTTGCAGAGACAGAAATGACTGTCACATGTTCTTATACACATAAAGCCCTAGAAACAGGAGCCACAGCACATCATGCACTGGGGCCATATGGGGAAGTACCAGAGTCAGTGAAGGCAAAAGGAGCAAAACTAAAGCATGAGCCAGAGCCTTTAATATGGTTTTCCTTGGAAGGAATGAGTGAGACAGTGTAAGCAGCTGAGCAGGTTTAAGACTGGGTAGTGTGAGTACTTTTTGTGTAATTTAGTCCCTAGTGTTCCAGCACCTGATTCTGGGGTGACGAAAGCAGAGGGATAATGTCCCAGACCACAGGAGCCATATAATAAGAGTCAAGTGAGGGTGTGGATTCTGGATTGGTTGGTTTGCATATAAATAACATGCTCATAGGCAAGTTGTTTAGTATTTCTAGAAATTAGCTAACCCTAGGAGGAGCACTCTGTCTTGAAACCTATATGGTCTCAAGATGTCAAAGCAAAACAAAAACAATAACCATGATTAATACAGCAAGACGGAATAAGCTATATATTGCCTTAAGGAAGAAGTTACTTGGCTCTCTATGGCTGATCGTCATAACCTGTAAGATTTGTTCTCTTGACTTGAGTTGGACAACTGGGGTTTTATTTCTGAAGCATTTTATAGGAACTACTCATTGTTCTTGTTTTTGTCATATTAGTCATGATGCTGGCCAATTGCATTCAACTCAGTCTTAACTTCCTTTTTATAGCAGCCCTCTCACCAGAAGATTGCCCTTACTACAAAACTGCAAAAAGTTCAAGAACATCTCATAATATGGTTGACAATAGAGACAATTAAACAGTCTCTAAGTTGTGAAGATCTGAATCTCTAAACTTCCCTGAATTGGCTTGGCCAATGCCTCAAGCTAGTTAATGACAAAATGGGAGGAGGGGTAGCCAGACCATATATAAGAATAGAGCTCTGACCCACATCTTTGTAGCAACCAGCCTGGGAAGCCAAACCACAGCCTCTGCATCAACCAGCCCCAAATGAATAGGATTTAGTTAATGATTGCCAGGTTCCCTATTTTTGCCTCAGCTGCCAACTCAGGACCCATCAGAGAAAGTCAAGTATGCTTTCTGACTGATCACATAAGATGCTCCATTTCCCCTTATTTATTTAGTCCATCTTCAGCTTCCCCATACAACCTTAAAGCAGAGCATATCCAAAAGCTTTCCTTTTCCAAGTACAAAACTTTCCTATTCCTCAGCCTTTCTTTGAGTCACTGCAAAACATATATGATGACAGCTGACTTTCTTGTTATAAAAAGTCTGAATAAATATAGATTCTCTCTGTTATTATTAGGTGTTATTTATTTCCACAACCTACAAAAAATCTTCAGGCAGGGTACTATTTAAAGGTGCAATATTGAAAAATTCCACATAAAATCAGGAAAAAAGAAAGAATGTTCATCTCACTGCTATTCTTCTACACATTACTGTAAGCACTAACCATTATAAAAAGAAGAAAAATAAAGGGCATAATGATTGAATAGGAAAAACAAAATTGTCTTTACTTGAAAATGAGATGATTATGGGAAAAAACTAAGGAATACATTTCAAAAGCTACTAGAAATAAATAATATATATATATGAAATTTATAGCAAACAAGGTTAATATATAAAAGTGCATGTTGAGTGTTCCTTATCCAGATATCTGAAATCTGAAATGCTCTAAAAGCTGAAACTTTTTGAGAGCTGACGTGATGCTCAAGGAAATGTTCACTTAAGCATTACAGATTTTGGATTTCTGGATTAGCACTACTGAATTTGTAAGTATAATGTAAATATTCTGAAATCTGAAAATAATTTGAAATCTGAAATACCTCTGGTCCCAAGCATTTTTTAACTCACTATATGTGCTCATTTTTTTTAACAAATACCTATTAAGCAGACACTATGAAGAAAAACTGTGCAAACATTGGAAATACATAAGTAAGCAAGGCAGAAGGGCCTCTTGTATTAAAAATAAATGAAGGAGGACACTAGTTAAAGTGGTAAGGAGAGATTTTAATCATTTAATAATAATGATTGCAACATGGAACATGGAAAAGAGTGCAGCATGAGTTGAATTCAACTTCAATTTGTATATTGGCAACTGATTGTTTTATTTTATTTTAGATTCTAGGGGTACATCTGAACGTTTGTCACATGGGTATACTGTGTGATGCTGAATATTGAACTTCTAATGATCTCATCGCCCATGTAGTGAACATAAGACCCAATAGACAGTTTTTCAACAGTTGGCCAGCTCCCTCTCTCTTCTCTTTTGGAATCTCCAGTGTTTATGGTTCCCATCTTTGTGTTTTTGGGTACCAAATGTTTACCTCCTACTTATAAGTGAAAACGTGGTATTTAGTTTGCTGTTTTTGCGTTAATTCGACAAGCATTTTGGATAAGCAGTTCTTAACCGGTAAAATGTGTTGTTGCATACTAATAATGAATCATTAAAACATGATAATAAATTCTATTCACAATAGAATAATCACAAGCATATAATTCTTAGGAATAAAGGCAACAAAATATGCGTAGGACTTTTATCTAGAAGCTAAAAATATTATTGAGAAATTTTAAGAAAAAATAGAAAATGTAGATCTATACATGTTCTTATTGATATGTTATTTATATTAAGATATCCATCCACCTTATATTGATCTACAAATGTGTTTCAACTCTGATGAAAATCACATCAGATTTTACTGCAAAATAAAAATAAACAATGTGATGTCAAGATGTATATATATATGCAGAAATACAAAGGAACATAGGTAATTTAACCAATCTTGGAAAAGAATATAATCAAAGAAGTAACATTAAATTATGTTAAGATTTTTAAAGCTGCATGTTAAAAAATGGAGCATCCATAAATATGTTCATGTTTAACGTAGATGATGAACTGATTTTCTATGAAGACAAAGGACAATAGAAAACACATATTTTTACAACAAATCTGAAACAACTAGATAAATTTATGAAAATCAAATTAATTTTTTTATTTCTAACTTTTTCTGTTGCCCAGGCTGGAGTGGTGCAATCATAGCTCACTGCAGCGTGGAACTCCTGGGCTCAAGAAATCCTCCTTCTTCAGTCTCCTAATGCACTGGGGTTACAAATGTGAGTCATCATGCTTAGCCTAACGTCAATGTTTATCCCATATCATTTACAAATTTGTGATGAATCCAATTTGAGATGCTCATAAACATAAATATGAAACATAAATATAAAAACTAATACTATAAATCATATAAGAGAACAATCTTGCATCTCAGGGAGGCAAAATATTACATCTTTAGGGAGGCAAAAATATTTCAGACAAAACAAACAGAAAATGTAGCCGTAAAGGAAAAAATTATATAAATAGGGCTTCCTCAAAATAAGATTTTCTACTCATCAAGAGAAAGCATTGAAAAAAATTAAAAGGCAGGACACAGAATCAGAGGAATTATTTTTAATACATACAAATGACTTAGAAGATCTTAATAAGTAATACTATTCAGTAATAAAACGTCTAACAGCCTCTCCCCAAATAGGCATGGGTCTTGAATATCTTACAAAGGAAGATATGCAATGTCACATGAACAGGCACTGGACATCATTATTCATTAGGAATATGCAAATATACATGACAATGACAGCCATTGCACATTCACTAGAAATTATTTAAAGAAATTTTAAAATACTGACAATACCAAAAATTATAGATATGTAGCAACTGGAAGTCGTTTTGTTTCTTAAGAGTGTAAAATGGGGCAAACACTCCAGAGAACAGTTAATTATTTTCTTATAAAGTTTAAAATATATTTTTCTTTGACCCAGTAAGTTTTTTCTCTGTTATGTACACAAAAGAAATAATAACTGATGCCACGATAAAGATTTATTCAAAACTTATTAGAACAGTTTTATTCTTAAAACTAAACCTTGAAACAACCCAAACAACCTTCAATAAAGGAATGGATACACGAATTGTATATATTCATACAGTGGACACTACAGTACTCAGAATTAACAACAACAACAACAAATCAGATATTGATGTGTAACAAAATGTCTGGGCCTCTATAAAATATTATATTGAATAAAATAAAAAAGTTGAATATCTATTCTTATTATGTTGAACAAATTTAAAAAAAATTACATGGCATAAAGTTCCATTTATATGACATTCCAATAGAGGCAAAACTAATCCATGGTTATGAAAATAAGAATGGATTAAAGATTTGATGTGTGAATGAGATTTAAGTGGAAAGGCACGAAGGAATTTTTGAGGTGAGGAAAATGCCTGTAGCTTGAATCAGTATTGATTATATGGGTCTTTGTATTTGTCCAAAGTTATTGAATTGTAAACTTTAGATCTGTGCATTTCACAGTTTAAAAAAATTTACCTCACCAGTGAAACTCTGTCTACCTAAAGTCTGCAGAAAGCATAACTCAAGAATTTAACATAAGGTCCCCTAATCACATGAAGGTAAGAAACAGCCATCTTTTAAACATTTAAAAAGTCAGGGGAATAAAAATCCAGGAGTTTTTTTTTTTTTTTGAATAACTATTAAACTTATGCCAGTGAAAGAAAATAAAATTAATTTTCACAAAAGTTGATATACATGACTGAGGATTAAATCTATATTGATATTGTTGAGATTAAAATACAATGCAATTTTAATAAACATTTAAAACATGGACATGGTGTCCCTAACAATTTGTTGATAGGGGAGAGGATAATATAAAAATTAATTTTATGAATCCCACATAAGTACTTGTTAAAAACATATGCCTCTGTTCTTTTTATTTAGGAATCACTCACAGAAAGCACACATTCTTTGTTTCTGCACTAACTCTGGAATTCAATATTAGAAGGCTCAACTGCCATGAATATAAATCAAGTTCATCTGCATCCCCTATATCAGACTAAATGTGTTTGTTTCTCAGTATTCTGCTATATTCCTTGTATTAATTTTAATAGAATCAAAACTGAGATATGGAAGAGGATGTTATATATTGAACACCTTTTCTTCCACCTAGCATACCCAATATTTGCCGCATGGGCCAGAAATATAAGAATTAGAAATGCGTCTTTATTTGGGGTCCTTACTTCACTCACAATTCTAGATAGTCTTTTAGTTATGACAAAGTCTAAGAATTTTATTTTTAAATAAATTATTATCATATTTTTCTGTTACCATTTTTTGGTTGGTTTTCCATGCAGTTTGTGCCTACTTCCAGGAGGAAGACACCTACACACATTTACTCTTCTCTACTTTCTTTACAAATTTGAATATGAAAAAGAGAGCCAGGAATTGCCAAAAGCTGGTTACTCCAAGACCCTAGGCATTCTGTCAAAATCTAACTTGGATGATCATGTAAAATACTCATCATTTTATTAATATCAGTATGTTCATTCAAATGGTAACAAGATTTTCACTTGATTTCTAAATCACTGATCTTAAGTGAAAAATATCAAAATAGAGGACTTCACAAATATTATTGTTTAGAACATCCTCACTTTAAACAATCAAAAGTTATTTTTAATGTTGAATCAATCATACTCTGACCTTCTCCATAGGAAAGGAAAATGTAAATATCCCAGACAGCAGAGAGCAAACTGTCATAAAAATAAAACTGTACTTTCAAATAGCTGTAGTCCACAGCACAGCTCTAACCCAAATTGTCATTTCAGCTGCTTCACATTATTAGAAAATACTTACCTTCTAGCTTTGAACATGAAAGAAAAGTACTCTTAGTCTATCAGCTTCCCTAACTAGGAGATTCATGTATTTGTTGGGGTCATATAAAGAAACTGATAGTGCAATTTAATAAGGATAATGCAGAGAGGGTTTGGAGATTCTTTGCAAAGCTGTTGAAGGGATGAGAAAGAACACAAGAGACTGCAGTAACCTTTGGTTAGAGTGATTTTTATCACCCCTAGTTTGAAAGGGCCAGTGGCAAAGCAAGTTTACTAACTTTAGGATAAAGTAGACTCATCAGGAAAAGAGCAACCACCTAAGCTTAAGGGACAAAGCCAATCACCCGTGGGAAGCCAGTGTTAAAAATACTTGATCTTGCTCTCTGCTTTCCTGAGAATACAAATCATTCACTTTAACTCATTGAATTCACTCAGCAGTCAGAAGAAAAGGAAGCCTCTTGTTGGAATTCATACTAAGAAGATCAGAAAGTGTAGTGGAAAAGAGAGGACTAGAACTGCAGGTGCAAGTAGAAGTCGGTGTCCAAAAAGAAGTGTATTTGTATTGTTCATTTGACCTCATTTATTTTAGTATGCAAGCGTGTGCTTAAAAATATTTCAGCCTTCTTTTTACTATATATGCAACTCATCATCATTTATTGAGAGATTATATATCCATCATTACTTCAATGATCTCATTTTTAGCTTTCCTCTTCTTTATTAATGGATGCAGTAACTTCTGGCATTCCCCTGAGAATATTAATTCTACTTATTTGGAAGTACTCTTTTTATTGCTCTCTGCTGTCTTTCTTTTGTATTTTATACATCTTTCATTTGCTTTATGTTATTTTAAATCTTACCCTATGCACTTACAATGATGGCACTTCTCTGAATGACTGTTGATTTTCTTCCTTTCTTTCTTTTTTTCATGTTGTCTACATTTTTTTTTCAAGGTGAGTTTCTGCTAGACTGTTATTACTGAGCAATCCTTTGGTGGAGAAGGAGGTTCATGCTGCTACAGGCCACAATTTGCCTCATTTGCAGTCAGATCAGGCTTTTTGTCAGAGAGAGGACATGCCCATTAGGCAATATGTATTCAGATATTTCCAACTGATCGCTGCCTTTTCTTTCTGATTCAAATTCCCATTCTCAATATATTTACCTAATGTATGCCTCCCTTTTGCCTTTTTAAGCAAGACTAAAAAATCAATACCCTTGAAAAAAATTGATTAATTTGGCTAACTTAAATTTAAAGTCTTCACTTCTAGCAAAATAGTTTTACTACATGTTTTTTACTATGAGAAAATATGTAAACTATGTATACCAAAGCAAATCTATAAATAATTTAGAAAAATAAAAATATTTCGATAGAAAAGTGGGAAAATGTAAAAATAGGTACTTACTGGAAGAATCAAGAGATTAGTTCTAAAGACCTTAATTATTTGTTTAAACTAATTTAATTAAAATTTTAAAAATAATTAAATTTTTCAATAATCAAGTAAAACAAATTAAACTTAAACAATAGAACCTTTTATTTTGAGATGCAAAAGCATGAATCAAAGACATCTGTAAAGCTTAAATGTATTCAGATTGTAAAGCTAACCCATGTAAACCAAACTAGGCCAGGAATTAGACTATATTAGTGCCCCAGACTCCCCCAAGTGTCCCTTCCTAAAAGAAGCTCCTCTCACCCTAAGTTTTATGTATAATTTTTTTGCTGTGCTTCAAAAAGGTATAGCATGTATGCATCTCTGAACAACATACCTTAGTTTTTTTTGGCCTGCTTTGATAATTACTATGAAATCCTCTTTCTGTATTATTTTGTGCCACACTCCTTTTGTTCAACATATGTTTATGAGTGACAGCCCTGTTGTTGCAAGCGGTTGTAATTTATTTATTTTCACTGCTCTATAATATTTGATTGTTTATATAGATGAGAATTTTCTATTTTATTCCTTATATACATTTGTGTTATTTTAAAGTTTGGGTGCTTAGGAGCAAAGTCAATATGAAAATACTTGGACATATGCTCTCAGAATTATATGCATAAGTTTATCTACAACATATAACTATCCAAGGAATTTTAGGAGCAAACATATGTGGATACTTATTTAATCACAGACTAACTTTTTTTCAAATCAGTTGTATCAATTTATACTTCTTCCTGTGGTACCTAAGATTTCATAAAATTATACTTTCAATCCATGGGTTTAGCAAAATAATTCAAAGTTTAATAATATCAAATTGACATCTATAATTTAAGACCACTTTAGATGAAAATTTTTGATATCTATTAAATTTTACAATGTGAATAACTTATAAGCACAATTTTCCTTAACTCATCATCTGTCTTACGAAATACTAACATATGTGCAATAAAATGCAATAGGATGTCAATTACAGCTTTTTAAAAATAGTCAAAAGCCCATTAAATAGATTAAATGTCCACCAATAGAGAAATGGCTAAGTAAATATGACATATCTAAGAGTTAAAGAAATGATAAAGATTAACATGTGTTGAATCACTAAGATTTCCAATACATATTAAATTGAAAAATAAAAACACATTATTGTGGTTAAAAATACACAAAGTATTAGATTATCAAATCAGACTCACATGCATCGGAGATCTTATGCAAACTTAACTAATAATTTTATGGATAAAAATTATTGTGAGGTACAGGTGGAGCAAGGTAAGGTCAGATAGCACTGTGAGAATCCCTGGGTCCTTTCCTCCCACATCAGATATGCTTTGAACAAGGATAATAGATGATGATTCTGAGTAAGATGTGCGGTCATCTCACTTACACAGAGGAGATATTTAGATCACAAAATATCTCATTTTGTCTTTAGATGGTCCAGGAAACTATGCCCCATGAGTCAAAGAGATTTAGGTTTTATTATAAACAACCCTAGAAAAGAAATCACAGCACATACATTCTTCTAAAAGCATTCTGTAGGTAAGATATTCCTCCCTGGAAACTTCTTAGTTTGTTTGCCAAGAGGTTAGCCAGTTATATGGTTACCAAAAAACCTGCCTTCTTTGTCTCCAGCATGTTTCTTATTAAAGAGAATGAATGAATTGCAGAACTATTGTTTGCAGATTTACTTTTAAATGGTTTATCAGTAAAATATGTGAGAATACATTTTTAAAATGAACTTATGTGATTGCTTTGGAAAATGTCTGGAAATACGCAAACCACACTGATAATAATGGCCTTCTGGGGGTGAACCAACACACAATAGATTTACTGGTAATCGTTTGATTTTTTCAAAAGTACTACATTCCTGTATAATTTGCATGATTAAAATGTATTTAATATAATTTCCACCCGTGATAATTTTCTTGTGTATAAATAGGACATTGCTCTTGCTATTAGCAGCTATATACTGTAATATTTCTAGTTGAACCACAGGGTTTAGCAGACTTCAGCCCATATACTGAACCTGTCCTATTGCCTGTTTTTGTACAACCTGCAGCTAAGAATGTTTTTATATTTTTTGAATAATACAAAAATATCAACAGAAGAATAATAGTCCGTAACACAAAATTAACAAAATTTAACATTTGTGTCTATGAATAAAGTTGATAATATTGTAGCCACAGCCATTTGTCTGCATATTGTCTACTTTCTTGTTACAACAGGGTTTAGCAGTTGTGGCAGAGACTTCTACAATGTTCCCAAAGCCTAAAATATTTACTGTCTTACCCTTTATAGAAATAAATACTTTGCTGACACTGTGACTCATAATAATGTTTGCAACTACTTTTTGAATAAGCTCAGAAGTTTACAGACACACACTCCTAAAATATTTGTTATATTGCTCTTTATGGAAATAATTTGCTTATCCCTGTGAATTATAGTGATGTATACAACTGATTTTTGAATAAGTTAAAAAATTTAGCTGGGGCGGTGCCTCACACCTGTAATCCCAGCACTTTGGGAGGCTGAGGCAGGCAGATCACCTGAGGTCGGGAGTTCAAGACCAGCCTGACCAATGTGGAGAAACCCAGTCTCTACTAAAAATACAAAATTAGCTGGGTGTGGTGGCGCATGCCTGTAATCTCAGCTACTCGGGAGGCTGAGGCAGGAGAATCGCTTGAACCTGGGAGGCGGAGGTTACAGTGAGCCGAGATTGCACCATTGCACTCCAGCCTGGGCAACAAGAACGAAACTCAGTCTCAAAAAAAAAAAAAAAAACTTTACACACACACACAAACATGGATTATGGATTGAGTTGCATGTATTTGAATATTAGTTTTGTTATTCTTGCAACTTATTAGGGGGTTTGACACTTTTTCTAAATTACAATTGGGTGAAATTTTTGCAATTGATAAATTGCTAGATAACATAATCTAGCTCATATTATATGATAACTTTAGATGTTAAATCAGTAATAAACCTTATGAAGATCTATGTTTCTAGGAAACAATTACTTCAACAAGAAGGGAAAGTAAAGACAGAAGGTAAAACAAAATATAAGACGAAATAAAATAAAGATGGGAATTGAATGCCATAGAAGTGTGGAAGTTGGAAGGAAAGTTTCTAAAATTATTTGGATAAAAAGGAAGCCATATATTTTACTGAATCTTCTAGATGGGTTTTAATTCTGTATCCTTTCATACTCATGTACTATGCCTTTTTTTCAACTTTTCATTCCACTTGTACTTCCTAACTTATGATGAATTTACCTATATAGAGTCCTTTTATCATTTAGACTAAAATTGTATTTATTTGAAGGTAAGAACGGTCATATACTTCTTAGTTGTTTTCAGAATTGAAAACATGGTTGAGGCCAGGCACGGTGTCTCTCATCTGTAATCCTAGCACTTTGAGAGGCCGAGGCGGGGGGACTACGAGATCAGGAGTTCGATACCAGCCTGACCAACATGGAGAAACGTGGTCTCTACTAAAAATACAAAATTAGCTGGGCATGGTAGTGCACACCTGTAATCCCAGCTATTTGGGAGGCTGAGTAAGGAGAATTGCTTGAACCCTGGAGGCAGAGGTTGCAGTGAGCTGAGATCACGCCATTGCACTCCAGCCTGGGCAACAAGAGCAAAACTCATCTCAAAAGAAAAAAAAAAAAAAGAAAACATGGTTGAAAGTCAATATCCATGTGATAAATTGAGTTAGAAAGCCAATGAGAGCTTAGCTAATATAAAGGTGATGGAATTCACTATCAAAACTTTTCAGAGACTTAGAAAAAATATGGAAAATTAGTGAAAATGTAACAGAATGAGGCTTGAAATCAAGATAATTAAACTGCAAACTTTAAGAAGGCAGGAAAGATATCCTTTACTTAGTTTGTCTTGTCCAACTAATGGTTAGTTGAATGCCATGCACATAACGCATCCCTCTGAGTACTTATTGAATAAATGTAGAATGTCATTCTGGAATAAATTGAGGCAAGAAACTAGAGGGATAGCAGTGTGAAAAGTGAGATTAATTTATTTGGTATAGAGTCAGTAAATTTAAGTGGGCCATTTGAAACAACAAGCTTAAAAGAAAACCAAATAAGCATTTTCAATGCATAGAAATGCAACCATTTTTCTCCTTCTGTACTTTATCCATTCAAACATTGCTTGAAAAAAAATATAACTTTCAGTCTTGCTTTTTTATCTCCACCAAACTCAGATAATTTTGGTCGTTGATGACCTAAGCTAATTCCTATTTTAGAATGCTACGGACGAACGAATCTCAAAACTTCTTTTAACCAACTTATTTTATTCCATTTCCTAAGGAATAGAAATTTTTTACCTCCAACCAGGGGAGCTATGAAACAAACTCCCTATTTATTTCCAATCTAAACACATTTGATAAAACAGGCAGAGGAATTTTTTATCAGATCTGTATTTTAAATTTTCATGACTGTTGTTCAAGAGTTTCCATTCTTCTTCATAAATATGTAGAGGCTTAAAATTCTTTTCTGAAAAATAAACTGCTATTTTAAATGATTTTAACTCATATTTATAATACCTTTTTTTATTCTCTGATGATCTCTTGCTGTTTTTCTTTCTCTAGAAATGTTCTAAGAATAAATTAGCTGTTATACTAAGAAAGGTTCACAAAATGAGTCCTTCACCTATACAGCACCTCTTCTAAATAACAGAGAGATTACAAATCCAATGTATTTAAACTCTGAGATGTCTATATGTGTAGTGTTAAAAAATGTAGCTGTCAGTTTTAACAGCTTTTCCCCTGAGATTTCAGTGGCTAGCTAATGATCTCTTTTAAGGATTAGGACAATTTCTAGATAGTGAAATGGCAGGAAAACATATCAAATACATATTTTTCCATTATACTATTCTGAGGACTGTAAAGTCTTACTCAATGTATATCACTTTTAATTTTTAGGATACATAGAAATATTTGCTAGTAGAAATAAATGGCAACTGTTTACTTGAAGATGGTTTAGAAAGATGCTTTTCTCTTTTAATTTGAATTGCTACTGTAAATGTCATCACATGTATTTCAGTATTGTCTATGCCAACTTTGTACCTGAAAAACAGTATTATGAATTGGGCATTATATTCCATCTTCATAAATTAAAAAAGAAACATAATAACTAGCGAAGTGGAATGAGGAAGGTGTGGGGAGACACAGAATTTTTCAAAAGTAGTAACAAATTCAAGCATGTATTAGCTTAATATATCATAACTTAAATGATTTAAATTAGGTATATGTTTATACCAATAAGTTTTAAATTCTTAATTCTAACCTCATCAAGTACCAACAAAGAATGCCCTTCCATATTAATACACTTTGGGAATTAAGATAAAGTATATGTAATTAAATCATCAAACTCCTTTTGTTGTTTAGCAGGTAGTTTGATATAATAAGAGAAATTGTGTTCTCATTATATATTTGTCACAATGAATGAATGTAAAACCTTAATCAGGCTATCTGACTTCTTTTAGTGACATTACCCTTTTTGCAACCAACACATCAAATTAGTAATATTTATCCTACAAAAATAATGTGAAGATAAATGAGATAACATATATAATAGTCACAAATACTTATTGAATAAAGCTGTTTTTATTTATATATTTCTATGTACTTACTAGATATGTTCTTATTAAATATTTTATTATGGTATATGTCAAGTCTTTTACTTCTTTTTTTATACTTAGTATATTATAGAACTCATCTTCCAATAAAATTGTAATACAATTTTCTTGATTTACTAATCCTAGGTGAAAAAAATATATATATATATATGTTGTCTTCTGTTTGAATTATGCTTAGTGGATGGCATTTTCAATAATCTCTCTGATTCTTCCTTTTCCTGTTTAAACTACTCTCATTCTCATTGTGGCCTAGAGTTCTTTTTCCCTAATATTGCCTTCAGAAGGCTAAGTTTCTAATATAATAACAATTTGAGTCTTTACCACTTCTCTCTAGAATCGTGATTTAGACTAGGTTATTAGAGTAAACAATATGATTCCAAATTTTTTCTTTTTTTTAATGGGCTAGCATCCAAAAAGCTTAAGAATTCTTGGGGGAAATGACATAATTAAGCTAGATTATTTTAATTTAAATTCAGAATTAAAAATCATTTTCAATAGCTTCTTTGTCTTAATTTAACAAGCTTTTGTTGAACATTGATTATATTTTGAATTCTATTTTTTCTTTTATTTTTAGTTGGCACATAATTATACGTATTTATGGGATACAGAGTGATATTTTGATACATGTATACAATATGAAATAATCTAATCAGAGTAATTAGCATATCTATCACCTTGTACATTTGTCATTTCCTTGTGATGTGAATATTCAGAATTCTGTCTGGTACGTTTTTAAAAAAATTCACTAAATTATTGTTAACTTAATTCACCCTACAGTGCTACAGAACAGTAGAGCTATTCCTCCCTTCTAGCTACAACTTTGTTACAAAGTTAACTTTGCTTACCAACCTCTTTCCATCCTCTTCTTATTCCCATCCTTTCCAGCCTCTGATAACTACAATTCTACTTGTTACTTTTATAAGTTCATTTTTACCTCCCACATATAAGTGAGAACATGTGGTTTTTCTCTCTCTGTGCCTGTCTTATTTCACTTAACGTAATGTCCTCCAGGCTCATCCACGTTGTAACTAATAACATGATTTCAATTCATTACAAAACTTAAAAGGATACTCAACAGTGCCAAACATTCTATTTTAGTTTCCCAATGCATTCACTCCCACAGCATTCATAACAATAACCTTCTACAAAGTTACCACGTCTTATGCTAAATTGACAAGATCTCCCAATATTAAGTAAATTCTGTCCTTAGCTCTCCCTCTCATTTTAGTATTATCATTCTCATTAATGAATAATTCCCTTTTTGTTAAAAGTTTACATTGACCTACCGTTGTCCTTCAGTTATCAACTTACTTTGTATTCTTTCTTTGAAAGAAATCAATCAAACAATAGACAGTCTCCTTCAATATTTCCTGTACTGTCTTCAACCCACTTAGCTGAGTACTTTCTTTTTTCTCTACTTACTCACTTTTTCCCGAGTGTTCTCAAGCATTTTCATGGGTTTAAAGGCCAGTTACATGATAGCATCTCAGAATATTTCCCATTTTGGTATCTTCTCTGAGGTAGAGCTTTGCATAGTCATCTACTTACTTAATATCAAATGTGGATTGTTTTATAGACAACTGAAATTCATAATGTTTTAAGTAGAGTTTTGTTATTTTCTCTGCTTCCCAGTTTGTGTGTGTATGTTTGTTTGTTTACTTCAGCTGGTGTTCCCATTGATTTTATCTTATCTAATACACCAAAACCCTATCAGTAGCTGTTTTCTTCAAACTTGCACATATCTTAAATATGTATTTCATTATTTTGAACAAGGTCTCCACCTTCTTGTCCTTTCACTTTAATAGTTTTCTAATTCATTTCCTTGTGTTTATTCTTGTCCCAGTAAAAATTATTCTTGGTTTAAGAGGCAGAGATATATATGTATTATAAACACAGGGAAACAAATTAGATATAAACCAATTATTATAAACCAATGTAATAATAATAATATATATTACATTTTTTTCTTTTTTATTTCTTCTTTTTCTTTTTTATTTTTTGTAATGTAAGCAAGATTCTTTCCCTCCTTTGCCTTAAATCCTTTAGTTACTTGTGGAGTACAATTACAAATCTCCAGGATGCTAAAGCTCTGCTCTGCTGTCTACAATCAAAGGCACCATTCAAGACCCTCACTCCTAACGAGACAGGGCTCTTTCCACTCTTGAAACACAGTTTTTCCCCATGTCAGGGTTTTGCACAAGGTAACAACTTGTCTTTGAAGCTTCATAGTTTGGCTTGTTAATCAAATGGTTCCTTTTCCATATTTAAGTCATCACTTTACATTTCATTTTCTTGGAGAGGTCTTCGCATGACTCCAAGCTATCACCAGTTATGTGCTATCGTAGAACATGGTTTATCCAGAAATAGTGATAACTTTCATCACTATTGATCATTCTTTGGTTTTCTTTACATTTATTTTATATCTTAAACACTGTAATATAAAAGACCTCAGGGATGGACCATGAATTTTATATTTAGCACAATACTTCAGAAGATCCATACTATCCTTTTTCTTTTTTATTCATTTTATTTTAAAATTTTCATTTTGAACTACTTTAAAGCTTACAAAAATATATTTTAAAAAATCAAGAGTTCCTATATATTCTTCACCCAGCTTCTTGACTGCTAACACCAATCTAAGAGTACAGTTACTCACATTAGGAAATTGATATGGAATTAGTTACTTACCTACATATTTTGTTCATGGTTCCACTAATGTTTTTTAACTAGGATCAAAATCAGGGTCACACATTGCATTTATCTGCTACATTTCTTTAGTCTTCTTTATCTGGGTGCGGTGGCTCATGCCTGTAAGCCCAGCACTTTGGGAGGCCAAGGCGGGCGGATCACGAGGACAGGAGATAGAAACCATCCTGGCTAAAACGGTGAAACTCCGTCTCTACTAAAAATACAAAAAATTAGCTGGCGTGGTGGCGGGCACCTGTAGTCCTAGCTACTTGGGAGGCTGAGGCAGGAAAATGGCGTGAACCCAGGAGGCGGAGCTTGCAGTGAGCAGAGATCACGCCTCTGCACTCCAGCCTTGGCAACAGTGCAAGACTCCATCTCAAAAAAAAAAATGTTAAAAAAGAAAATTCAGCTTTTCTTTTTGTCTTTCATGCCCTTGATACTTGTTTTTTGTAGATTATTCTGAAGTTTGATTTTTTTCTAATATTTCTTCATGGTTAAATTCACATAATATATTTTGGCAAGAATGCCACAATGCCGAGGTTGTCCTTCTCAGTGCATCATATCAGGAGGCACATGATATCATCGTGTCCTAATACTGTTGACATTAACTCTGATCACTTGAATAAGATATTGTCTGCCACATTTCTCCACTTCAAAGTTACCATTTTTAAAATCAGTATTTTGTTGAGAGATACTTGGAGATTATGTAAATATCTTGTTTCTCATAATTGTATCCACTAATTTTAGCAGACTTGTCTGCAACAATTATATGGTATTTGCCAAGAAATGAGAATCTATTTCCACTATTCTTTCTATATTTATTGATTAGAATTCTACTGTATGGAAAAGCTTTCCTTTGTCCCACTTTTCTTATTTATCCAATTATTTATTTATATTAGTGTGGATTCATGTGTATTTGGTTTAATTAATCTGAATAATCTATTGCCATCATTATTTATTCCCTTGCTCAATTTATCTCAGTTTGTGTCACTGAGAGCCACTTCTAGTTAGCTCCTATGTTCTTTGGCATGTCTCCATCATTAGTTGAGACTTCCTTATTTTCTTAACAACAACAGATGTCTCAGACCCATTTTGTTCTTTCTGCCGCATGCACCTAGAATCAGGCATTGATCCAAGCAGCTCTGTATCCTTTTAACGAAGAAAAAAGTGAATCCAAGATTTGAATGCTAGATGTGCTGATTGCTATTAAAATGTTATTGCTTCTAGTCTTAGTGGTTAAAATTAAGAAATATACACACATTCAGCCGGGCGCTGTGGCTCACACCTGTAATCCCAGCACTTTGGGAGGCCAAGATGGGCGGATTTTGAGGTCAGAAGATTGAGACCATCCTGGCTAACACGGTGAAACCCCGTCTCTACTAAAAATACAAAAACATTAGCTGGGCGTGGTGGCAGGTGCCTGTAGTCCCAGCTACTTGGGAGACTGAGGCAGGAGAATGGCATGAATCCAGGAGGCAGAGCTTGCAGTGAGCCAAGATCAGGCCACTGCACTCCAAGCTGGGCGACAGAGAAAGACTCCATCTCAAAAAAAAAATATATATATATATATATACACATTCACACACAAACATGTGCATCTAGGTCTATTTATATATCTACACATTCTTTTCAATTTCTATCTAATGTAGAAAAAAAGTAAACTTAAGTATATATTGATAGTTTTGATTCTGATTGAACACCATAAGTGTTATTCTAGTCTCCACTCCCCTTCATTTCTAAATTCTTTTTCTAAAACAGAATCACTTAGTTTTGTTTTAGTTAATATACTTAATATAATCATTTGCTTTTTATTTTTATTTTTTTAAATTTCAACTTTTAGATTTGAGGATATATGTGAGGGTTTGTTACAGAGTATACTGCATGATGCTGAGGTTTGGGGTATGACTGAACCCATCATCCAGGTAGTGAGCATAGAACCCAAGAGGTATTTTCTATGGCACTTTACACATTCTAGAAAACTGGTTGTTAATTAGCACAAGCACCTATAATAGTGCCTGATATATTTAATACTCAAAATATATGTTAAATTAAAAACAAATGTATAAATTAATGGTTGACTATCATAATAATTACTCAAAATGTAACATAATTCCAAAGGAGAAAACTTTTTTCTAAAAAGGCTCTCTCAATTGCTCTTTCTGATTTATTATTTTCCCCAAATCTGTAGTTGCTTCATTATTGTTTGGAATTTTGCATTAGTTGTCAACAAACAAAAAATATGGATCATACCACAGCTCTTTCATTGCTTTCATTTCTTGAGATATATGAATGTATGTGATATCTTTGATGTCCTGTATTTTATCTTTATTGCTTTTTGTTACTTAAGAACATCTAGAAAAGAAGATAAATATTAATCATGTCAGAAATTATCAAAGGTTGATTACAATAAAAATTTCTCTAATGTGATAACCACTCAAAAACTTCCTTCTTCATCAAAACACAGTATTTTTTAAAAAATAGAGTGCTTCATTTTTATTTCACAGAAAATAATCAAATGATAGCCATAATATTATGAACTAGAGTCACATAGGCTATTCTAATAATACTTTTTGTGAAAGAAGTATTGAGGAGGTCTTAGGACCAAAGAATATTTGTTTAATAGTGTCAGAATTCATTTTAACACCATAAAAAGGATATGTATTTGTTCAATTTCACTCACTGCACAAAGAATTAGATAAAAGAAGATTTTCAGTAATAGCATTCATTTTGAGTCTTACCAATCCTTTCAGTTTTGGTATAACAAAAAGGCTATTAGCTTTTACTCTGTTGTGTTGAATTTTGATGATTTCTGACAGTCTTCACTGAGATGCTCAAAGAGATGAGACTTGCCAGTCTAATAACTTAAGATCTCATTAAATTTACCAGCAACATAAAAGCTATTTCTGCCTCTTAACTTTTTGATGTGTTGCCTTTTTCTAATCCTCTTCTCAGGACCTATTTGAAAGACAATAAAAATTTTGTTTTTGTGTGTTGAAAGATTTCTCCATTATCAAGAGAGTAGTCAGTTCTTAACTTTAGAATGATTGTATATATAGATATGAAAAATAAGGAAACAATTATTAAGAAAACTAATCAAATTTTGTACTAACATTTAGTAATTTTAACAAAATTATTGTGCATTGTATTTTGCAGCATTTATGCAGAGGATATACTAACCTGTTTAAATTTTTAGACACAAATAGTAGAAAATAGAACATCATCATTTTCAGGAGCAAGGAAGTAACCTGTGAAAAAGTGAATGCCTTTCTTCAAATAATATGCTAATGAAAGGCTGAGATATTAATGTCCAAATATTATAAAACGTTCATTTTAATATAATGTTTTACTTTATATTTATATTGTATTGTATAACAAAGAAATGTGAGTCTTCTTACACCTGAGAACTTGAACTGGCAATCTACATATTGTTGTTGAAACAATTTTAAATTAAACATACAATGAGAGGGAAAAATGATTCTGTTGCCTCAATTTTAAAAGGAATATTTTGAAGAAATAATTTTCCATATAATAGCTTGTTATGATCTTGCCTTTTAGCCTCCCTGGATAAAGAAATGCATACTTATAATAATTGAAGGAAGACAATTTTCCTTGTTTTCTGCAAATTAGAAATATATTAGGCTATTAAATACATAATTCAAAATATACAGAATAAAGGTATTATAGAACCTAAGAATTATATAAAGAATTATATACATAAAGTAATGAATACATATACAAATAGTATAAAAATACTAAAAATAGTATTTGCTTATTGATTAATTACTATGGGTATTATATAACTCTTAGTTTCTACATTGCCTTTCTATTCTTAGTTATTATAATAGGTATATTATAATTACTAATACGTATAAACTACTTATAGTTTATATGAATGTGTTATATGTACATGTATATTATAATAACTAATACCTATAAACTATTTACAATTATACATATTATAATAACTAATAAATATAAACTACTTATTGTCAAAACTGTTTTTAACTATTAAAAGATAAAGCACACAGATATGTTTTCTTTACTAGGTATTCCCAGAAGCACTCATAAAACTCGGAGTTTTCATATAGCAGTGATTACAGACTTGCTATTTTTATTATTCCCATTTCATAGATTAAGAGCACAAGACTCATATTAGTGTTATTTAGCCATGTCACAGAGCCAGTTCCCAGATATTTTTTCCACTTGTTTTGTCATGAAGAATGAGAAGTAGAATCAGCATCAAGTTTGTGCTAAACAAGTACAATAATAAGAAAGCACAGCAAATGCTGACTAGACTGTAAGAATATTTTTGCTTTTAGGCTACCCAAAAAAGATAAGATATATGAGGTGATCAAAGTGAATAATTATATAAACAAGAGGAATTAGAATATGAATAAGCCAGGAAAAATAGGAATAGTCCAAAAAAACACACACACCCATTTCTTATTTAAACTTAAAAGGAGACAAATTCATTCAATCTATATATATTTATTTTGCTACCTCAATAGAGATAAATATCTTCTCTAAGAAAAATCCCACTTTACTTAATATGTATCACATTTACCTAACAAGTAACATATTACTAAAACAGAGAGCAACCAGTGTTTTACTCTTTTTTTTTTCAGAGATTTTTTGCTCTTGTTGCCCAAGTTGGAGTGCAATGGCATGATCTCGGCTCACTGCAACCTCCACCTCCCAGGTTCAAGCAATTCTCCTGCCTCAGCCTGCCAAGTAGCTGGGCTTACAGGCATGCACCAACATGCCTGGCTAATTTTTGTGTTTTTTTTTTAATAGACACGGGATTTCACCATGTTGGTCAGGCTAGTCTCGAACACCTGACCTCAAGTGATCCACCCGCCTCGGCCTCCCAAAGTGCTGGGATTATAGGCATGAGACTTTGCGCCTGGCCTCATTTATTTTCATATAAAATATAGGGTCAAGTATGTTGAGATATTAATTACGCTATATTTTGCTCAGTATTGCCTGAGAGTTGGATTATTATTTTTTTTTTTTTTGAGACGGAGTCTCGCTCTGTCGCCCAGGCTGGAGTACAGTGGCGGGATCTCGGCTCACTGCAAGCTCCGCCTCCCGGGTTCACGCCATTCTCCTGCCTCAGCCTCCCAAGTAGCTGGGACTACAGGCGCCCGCCACTACGCCCGGCTAATTTTTTTGTATTTTTAGTAGAGACGGGGTTTCACCGTTTTAGCCGGGATGGTCTCGATCCCCTGACCTCGTGATCCGCCCGCCTCGGCCTCCCAAAGTGCTGGGATTACAGGCGTGAGCCACCGCGCCCGGCCGGATTATTTTATCATTGTAGAGAATAGCTTCTAGGTTATGAGAATATTAAATAAAATAAACTGGAGAGACTCTCAGCAGCAAACTATGGTATGTAAGTATATAGGTAAATATGTATCTATCTATCTATTTATCTATCTAATCTAGCCTATCTATCTATCTATCTATCACCTATCTATCCATCTATCTATCTATCTCCTTTTCTTTCATTTATGTCTGGATCTGTACCAAACACCAGGCAGAGGAGTTAGGAGAAGTAACTGAAAAACCCATGGGTGACATCACCAACTAAAACAGGTGACAAATAATCAGCATAAAACCCAGGATACAAGAGTAATTGTCCTAATCATTGGCAGCATAGGGCCAGTACCAGCTGGACTTAATGGCAAAGATAAAATGAAGATAAAAGGAAGTATTGTAAGATCTTAATATCAATAAACTACAACAAGAAATCATCAATAATGCTCACTCCCAAAAGAAAAATACTTACCCTGAAGAAAAACAATTGGAACAAAATCAAAATTAATCAGAGAATCAGATAATCTGAGACAAGTAAGATAATTTTTAGAAAATAATTTTTAGAAAAAAAAAATTTGAAGGTACATAAAATCAAATAGAAGTGGTACAAACTATAGTAAGAGATATAGAGTATAAAAATAAGAGTAAAAAACAGAAATTGAGAGATTAAAAACATCTAAAAATTTTCTAAACATAGAACTTCGGCAAAGAATAGTAATACCCATGTAACGGTTATTTCTAAGAACAAAAATTAAAATAAAAAATAATATTAATTATTTGAGCATGAAGGTAAAAGGATAAGAAGTTTATATTGATAATAGACTTCTTGATAGCAACATTTTATACAGGATGATAATCAAGAAATGGTTTAATGATTATGAAACAGATAACACAGTAGCGAGATGAGATTTTATTCATCCAAACTATGAATCATGTCTAAGGAATGTAGAACATCATGAATATTTATGATTTTAAGAAACATTGTTCCTGTGATGGCTTTTTTAGAAATGTCCTACCTACTGACAAGAAGACAAACATCATGTGAAGCTTCTGGATAAGGACTAAATATGTTTAATTTTATAATTAAGAACAAGTAATGGGGATTAAAGTGACAAAACATGATGCTATTAAGTGTGTTAAACATGAAGAAATAATGCAACTCAACAACAAATGGAAAAAAGGAGAAGAAAAAGAAAGTAGACGAATCTTAATGACTATCTCAGGAGTATCTAACTGCCATTAAAAAAATATGGAATTAAAGTAAATGTTAAGCAAAAAGAGAGAAGAAAGGAAAGAAAGTTTACTAGAATACAGTATTACTACTCATTGAAGAAATCAATAGACAGTATTCAAACACACTAGAGGACTAGTATATTTTATTATAATATTATTATAAGATAATAATAAGAATAAACATAGAAACATTTATAAATACCAAATGAGTATATCCTGCCCCTCAAATTAAAGTGTAAATACAGGGCAAGATTTTATATAAATTATTTATATAGCAAAAACTTATATAACAGAACTTAACACCAGCATAACAGGTATATCAAAGACACAAATGGGCTTAACTCACCATTAAATGGCATACTTTTAGATTGGCTAATGGAGCAGAATCCAATCTATTCTGTGTGCAAGAAACATATTGAACAAGGCAATTCAGAATGGTTTAATGTAAAAGGAAGAGCAAAGATAGATCTTGTATGATAGCAAGATCCTGAAATAGTTGTCAGAATTTTGCTATGAGACAAGATAGAATTTAAGACAAAATAAATTTAACAGGATAAGGAAGGGAAATTTATTCTACAGAAGGATTCATGCTTCATTCTACATTAAAAATAAAATATATATTAATAACATACACAAAATTACAATTTTCATAAAGCAGAAAGAAGTTGAAAGAAGAAATAGACATTAAAACTGGAGATTTTAACATAGCTTATTAATTGGTAAGTCCTTGAAGAATGCAAATAAGCCTCACTTTTACTAATTAAAAAAAATTAACACAAATACTGACAAAGACTCCTTCATCAAACTTTAGTCAGATTTTTGAGCTCTCGTCTCAACTAGATCTTCACCTAGGCCCCTTGCCTAGTCTCCATAGCTCACTTTTAACAAGAATCCTTAAGTCCATATAGACAGAATCTTGATATCTGATCACCCTGAGCTGCCTTCAGCAAGAATCCTGTTAATTTGGTTTAGCAAGAGTTCCCCTACTTTTGATGTCTCCTCTTAGTAATTTTCCATCCACTGACCCCCTCACACTGCTCTTTTGCTATAAATTTCCATGCGTGCTTGTATTTGGAATTGAGCTCCTTTCTCTACTAAAGTCTCTTTTCCTGTGTTGCAATAATTTCTGAATAAAATCTTTCTTTACTGCTTTAATTACCCTCTGGCTCTGGTTCTCTTTGACATTACTCTTTGAAGAATCACTTTAGGGGAAAAGAATAAATGCAAGAAGACAAAGGCAGAGACTATTATCCAAATATAGAATGGAGATAATGATATCATACTGAATGGGCAAAAACTGGAAGCATTCCCTTTGAAAACTGGCACAAGACAGGGATGCCCTCTTTCACCACTCATATTCAGCATAGTGTTGGAAGTTCTGGCCAGGGTAATTAGGCAGGGGAAGGAAATAAAGGGTATTCAATTAGGAAAAGAGGAAATCAAATTGTCCCTGTTTGCAGATGACATGATTGTATATCTAGAAAACTCCACTGTCTCAGCCCAAAATCTCCTTAAGCTGATAAGCAACTTCAGCAAAGTCTCAGGATACAAAATCAATGTACAAAAATCACAAGCATTCTTATACACCAATAACAGACAGACAGAGAGCCAAATCATGAGTGAACTCCCATTCACAATTCCTTCAAAGAGAATAAAATACCTAGGAATCCAACTTACAAGGGATGTGAAGGACCTCTTCAAGGAGAACTACAAACCGCTGCTCAATGAAATAAAAGAGGATACAAACAAATGGAAGAACATTCCATGCTCATGGGTAGGAAGAATCAATATTGTGAAAATGGCCATACTGCCCAAGGTAATTTATAGATTCAATGTCATCCCCATCAAGCTACCAATGACTTTCTTCACAGAATTGGAAAAAACTACTTTAAAGTTCATATGAAACCAAAAAAGAGCCCGCATTGCCAAGTCAATGCTAAGCCAAAAGAACAAAGCTGGAGGCATCATGCTACCTGACTTCAAACTATACTACAAAGCTACAGTAACCAAAACAGCATGGTACTGGTACCAAAACAGACATATAGATCAATGGAACAGAACAGAGCCTTCCGAAATAACGCCGCATATCTACAACTATCTGATCTTTGACAAACCTGAGAAAAACAAGAAATGGGGAAAGGATTCCCTATTTAATAAATGGTGCTGGGAAAACTGGCTAGCCATATGTAGAAAGCTGAAACTGGATCCCTTCCTTACACCTTATACAAAAATCAATTCAAGATGGATTAAGGACTTAAACGTTAGACCTAAAACCATAAAAACCCTAGAAGAAAACCTAGGCATTACCATTCAGGACACAGGCATGGGCAAGGACTTCATGTCTAAAACACCAAAAGCAATGGCAACAAAATCCAAAATTGACAAATGGGATCTAATTAAACTAAGGAGCTTCTGCACAGCAAAAGAAACTACCATCAGAGTGAACAGGCAACCTACAGAATGGGAGAAAATTTTCGCAACCTACTCATCTGTCAAAGGGCTAATAACCAGAATCTACAGTGAACTCAAACAAATTGACAAGAAAAAAACAAACAACACCATCAAAAAGTGGGCAAAGGATATGAACAGACACTTCTCAAAAGAAGACATTTATGCAGCCAAAAAACACATGAAAAAATGCTCACCATCACTGGCCATCAGAGAAATGCAAATCAAAACCACAATGAGATACCATCTCACACCAGTTAGAGTGGCAATCATTAAAAAGTCAGGAAACAACAGGTGCTGGAGAGGATGTGGAGAAATAGGAACACTATTACACTGCTGGTGGGACTGTAAACTAGTTCAACCACTGTGGAAGTCAGTGTGGCGATTCCTCAGGGATCTAGAACTAGAAATACCATTTGACCCAGCCATCCCATTACTGGGTATATACCCAAAGAACTATAAATCATGCGGCTATGAAGACACATGCACACGTATGTTTACTGCGGCACTATTCACAATAGTAAAGACTTGGAACCAACCCAAATGTCCAACAATGATAGACTGGATTAAGAAAATGTGGCATATATACACCATGGAATACTATGCAGCCATAAAAAATGATGAGTTCATGTCCTTTGTAGGGACGTGGATGAAATTGGAAATCATCATTCTCAGTAAACTATCGCAAGAACAAAAAACCAAACACTGCATATTCTCACTCATAGGTGGGAATTGAACAATGAGAACACATGGACACAGGAAGGGGAACATCACACTCTGGGGACTGTTGTGGGGTGGGGGCAGGGGGGAGGGATAGCTTTAGGAGATACACCTAATGCTAATTGATGAGTTAATGGGTGCAGCACACCAACATGGCACATGTATACATATGTAACTAACCTGCACATTGTGCACATGTACCCTAAGACTTAAAGTATAATAATAATAATAAAAAATAAGGAATGGAGATAATGATGATGGTAATGTCTTGGATACTGATTGCAATGGACTGCATGTCTGTTGCCACCCTGTCTCTGAAACTTATAGGTGGAAATCCTAACCCTTAATATGATGGTATTAGGAGGTGGGACTTTCAGGAGGTGGTTACATCATGAGGTTGGAGCCCTTCTAAATGGAACTAGTTCCCCTATATAATAGACCCAAGAGAGTTCTCTCACTCTCTGGCATGTGAGGATACAAGAAGAAAATGGTAGTCTGCAACTTAGAAGAGAGATATCACTGAAACCTGGTCACTCTGGTACCATGGTCTCAGACTTCTAGCCTTTAGAACTGTGAAAAAATTGATTTTTGTTATTTCTAAGCCACCTAGTCTATAGGTCTTTGTGATAGCAGTCAGAATTGACTAAAACAGTAATAGTAGCAATGGCGATGGAAAGAGTGAATGCATTTGATATATACTTTGAAGAAAGAAATAACAGGACTATCAGTCATGTGGATGTTTGGCATGAGAGAAATGCAAGATGGTAATTAAACAACTTTGTGTCTAAGTCTGAAGGTTGGAGAATAGGCAAAGGTAAAAGTAAAGCTATGGGAGTTACCGACACTTATGAGCCCTTTAAAGGAATTATTTATTTTTATTGTTAAATCACCAAGGAAGGGTTGAAACAGACAATAGAAATTAATGCCAAATGAGCTGAAAAAAAAATGTGTTGCAATTAAGTTGGGAATAAAAAGCTGAGGTGGCAAGAAGAAAAGCAAGGTTGGTATATTTTTAAAGAACTCTATAATGAATAATGTTTTGAAGAGGAAGAAATTTTCAACAATTTGAAATGCTGCTGAGACTTTGGGAAATGTGAATGGTGCCCACGTAGAAGTTATTGACAGTCATTGAAACAACACTCCCTTTAGCATTATGTATAAGAAACTAGATTAGAATGAAACAAATGGATTCTTAATTCCAGAATTGTGGAGAAATAGAAAATCTAAAAACTTATTGGAAACACAAGAAATGCAACATGAACTACAATAACCATCCATTTCAATAAAATTAGAGGATTTCAGGTTCAGGTCATGATAAAGTAGCACAAACTCACACCCTGAAGTTGGCTATAAAAGCTGGGCAAAATATGTTAGACAATTGTTGGAAGACACGGGAGAACAATCAATGTATACAGAGCTTGAGTGGGATTATTATTAAAAAGAAATAATTATAGACTATAAATTACATTCACTCAGACGTTTTTCCTCTAATAACATTTCCCAAATAGTGATGTGAAGAAAGAAAGCATACACAGAAAGTGAAATTTTACTGTGTTGAGGTGACAGAGATTAGAGTTCAGAGTATCTAGTGTGTATGGGGCTCATGAGACAAATTTCCAAGAAGGAGGTAACCACAGAGAGAGAGCCTGAATATCTGCATACAAATGCCCCTTAAGTGTGGCCAGTATCAAAGATATGTATGCACAAGGTGAGACGTCAAGAAGCCTAGCAGAAATCAATAAATGGGAGGTTGGAGTGCTGAGTTTAGATTTCAGCTAGTGGTTTAGAGAAGAAAGAGGTTGTGGTTCAAACACTGGTAATTACAGAGGATGAGATGGGAGTGAGAAACTATATGGCTAAATGTGGTCATTCTTCAGGTTTTAGCTTTTATGCAGGGTGCTATATGCTGGTTGCTTCCAACACTGAAAAAGTTATTATTTAATTACCTACATATAAAAGATGACCATGAATAGGCATAAGATGAAAGTATGTCATTAATCAAAATGATGATTAATTCAATTCTCTATAATTGAGATTCAATTAAAAAGAATATTATTCATCACATTCACAGAGTAAATGAGAAAAATCACATAATTTCAGTAGATGCAGATACGTTAAGATCTGTATCCTAACAGATATTGATACAAAGAAGTATTTGATAAAATTCATCATTAATTTACTGTATATATATATATGCTCTTATTAAACTAGGATTTAAAAGGCACTTAATTAAGTTGATAAAGTGTATCTTTTGAAATCCTATAAACAATATGTTATGACATAATAATGTGGGAATGTTAGAAGACTTGCTTTTAAACCTGGGAACAAGAAGAGATTCTCTGTTATTTTCCTATGCTGCTGTAACAAATTGCCACAAAATGGGTAGCTTAAAGCAACACAGACTTTTTCTCTTATAGTTCTGAAGGCCAAAAATTCATAATCAGTATCAGTGGTCTAAAACCAAGGTGTGATCAGCACCCTATTTTTTCCAGAGAACTCAGGGGAGAGTAATTCTAGAAATTATTCCAGAAACGCAGCTTCTAGAACTACATTTCTTGTCTCAAAGGCCACTTCTTCTATCTTCAAAGATAGCAGCGTATAATTTTCAAATATTTCTCCACTTCCATGATCACATAACCTAGATTCTATGTCAAATCTCCCTCTCCCTCACTCTTATAAGGACACTTAAGATTGCATTTAGAGCCCACCAAGATAATTCATGATAATCTTCCATCACAAAATTCTTCACTTATTCACATCTGCAAGTCTCTTTGCCATAAAGGTTACATTTACAGGTACTAAGGATTAAGACCTGACATCTCTTGAGGCCATTATTCACCCTAACACAGATGTCCTCTCTTGCTGCTTGTTTTACACATTGTACTTTTCTGAATACTTTTGAGAAAGTTTGCTCTAAAGAAGAAAAAAAAGTAGTTCTATATTTGTGAGACATGTAGACTGAGGAGAATGACTATTTTTCTAATGTGATATATAAAAGCACATTTATGTGACAATAGCAATAATAGAGAAGATAAAGTTATGCAGAAGGGAGAAGATTTGACAATAGCAAGCATGAAAGTCCTGCAGGAGAAAAGTTTGGATGGGATACTGAATAAAATTGTAATATTACTTTTTGATGCATACGTTCACACCATTTTTTCACAATGCTTCCTAGATTGCTCTGTATTTCTTTCCCATCTATATATATATACGCATATATATATACACATATATATACACACACATATATATACACACATATATACACACATATATACACACACATATATACACACACATATATACACACACATATATATACACATATATATACACATATATATACACACATATATATACACATACACACATATATATACACATTTTGACTGAAAATGATTGACTAGGATGAAAGAAAATGAGAAAGAAAAACGGAACAAGGAATTCTCAATTATATAAATAGAATATTATAATTAGTAAACCATGAATAAAAGAAGGCATATGGGCTGGGCGCGGTGGCTCACGCTTCTAATCCCAGCACTTTGGGAGGCCGAGGTGGGCGGTTATGAAGTCAGGAGATTGAGACCATTCTGGCTAACAGGGTGAAACCCTGTCTCTACTAAAAATAGGAAAAATTAGTCAGGCGTGGTGATGGGCACCTGTAGTGCCAGCTAGTCGGGCGGAGGCTGAGGCAGGAGAATGGCGTGAACCCGGGAGGCAGAGCTTGCAGTGAGCCGAGATCGTGCCACTGCACTCCAGCCTGGGCGACAGAGCGAGATTCCATCTCAGAAAAAAGAAAAAAAAAAGGAATACTTGATAAAAAAGGTATCCATATATCAGATAAGAAGATGTAAAATTTATGTGCTATCTACTTCTGGAATTTCCACCATAAGGGAATAATAATGACGTAGGGGTTCACTTAAAGGACAGAACTTGTACTTGGTTACTTATGTACACAATCTCTGCCTTACTTGCTTTTGGTGGATCGTATTGTGTCATTTCAATGTGGCCATTATTGTCTTTTATGAACATATACAATAAAGTAATATACCTTTACATAATGTCTACATCTCTACTGTAATTTAAACTTTAATGGCTCAAAAATGCTAAATTACAAAATAGAGAAAGATGTGTGTTAAATGCAGATTAATATAATTTAAATAATATTATATATGATAAGGGTTTGTAAAACTTAACTATTAAGATGGATAGATGAGAAAGATAGAAACCTAGAATACAATACTAGAAAATCTAGAAACATAGTAGAGATGAGTTCAATAATTCAATTCTATATAAGAGGTCATCAAACTACAAAGCACAGAGCTAATCAGGCCACTGATGCATTTTGGTAAACAAAGTTTTATTAGAATAAAGTGACATCCTTTTATTTTACTTATTGTTTATGGATACTTATGCACTACGATGGCAAATACTGGTACTTGTGACAGAGATCACATGGCACGTACATTCTAAAATACTTAATAGTTGGCCCTTCACGAAAGGTTTTGAGAGCTACTGCTCTAGGAAATCTCAGGTTCAATGTCAGTTATGAATCAGCTTTGCTTAGCATAGCCATGTTTGAAATCCTTTCCAATGACAATAATTGTTACTGCCTCTAGACAGAAGAGTCCAATTATTTTAAGGTTTCATTATTAGGAATGGTTCATTTAATTAAGCCATAGTTGTTACTTCAAGTATAATTAATTAGTGAAGGTATATTGCTTTTATGGGATATAATTAATAGGAAAATAGGTTACTGCTCTGTGGCATAGTTAGAATTTAAATGCTGTGGCTTTATAGAATTTAAAGGTAGGGTCTGTTTATTATGAATTATGCCTCCCATCATCTAGCTCATGTGAGGTAGTTCTGGAATAGCACATTATTTATGTTTGCTGATAATTTATTTTAGATATAATGGTTGGTTAGGAAGGAGTTCACGGTGAAGAAGGTAGATGTCACAAAAACATGCCTGAAATGGTGATGGAGAAGACGAATCCGTGTATTTATTCATTTAATAAGTTATGTTGTCATTCAAGCAAATAAAAATAGTCTTTACTCTGAACATTCATATAAAATATCTGTTGTATAATTAATCGTGTGCTTCTGAATAAAATAGATGAAAGCATAGTTTGCATTATAAGCATTAATTCATTAAAATTTACCCTGAACATTGTTATTTGGTTTTATTAGCAAGAAATATAGCACTTGGAATGGTTTTAGTAAACCATACATGTGAAGAACTCTAGATCATAAAGAACCTAAAATACAGAATTTTCAGCATTATTATAATCTATTTAATTATACATTCAGGTTTATTTGTTACTGAAACTTAGTAACTTGATTTTGGGAGTTTTATATCGCTTCTGTGTCTTGTTTGTTTGCACAAGTTTGTTTATGGTGAAGTGCAAAGTATTTTAGTAAAAGGGATTTGAGCCACAGATGACAAATAATTACAGGAACATATAAACTACACTTGGACTTTAAAGCAGGTTTAGATTATATTACTTTGGTTATTATTCTTTGTTTTCAAAAGGGAATGATGGGTTATAGCTTTATGCCCAAATATTTAGGCAAAACACGACAAAAGAAGGGTGAAGAGACCTTTTATCGAATGGACAAAGTAGAAGGTAGCACTCATAAAATATACTGTTTTGTGTAATAAGTGAATGGAATCTTTACACAATTTTTTGCTAGGGTTAATTGTTTAGGAAACTTTTCTAATTGGCAACTACTTCATAGAAAAACTTGATCCAGACCTATATGTGGAACTTCCCTTTATATTAACTTGCTGAAATTATTAAAGTTAAAAGCTTGTTTTTCCAGGTTGATACTCTCAAGACCTACAAAGACCAGCACATTGAAGCAATCAGTTGATTACCATCATGATGCCTGCGTATGTTTATTTCATGTCAGACACACCTGAGGTCTGTAATTGAATACATAAAGAGTGCAACCATGGAAGAAACAAGGTTGGCTTGTGGTGCTCCTATGGCAGCATCAACACAACTTCAAGTGCACCATGAGCATGAGCACTGCCAAGAAAATATATTGGCTCTCAACTCTCAGAATACTGCCATGTCTAGAACTTTTGGCCTTGCCAACCACTGGGCAGTAAGAGACAGTAACAAATCACAGCAGATACTGTTTCCTTAGAGCAATTAAATTACATCAGAAAAACTAAGCTGAGTGATAACAAAACAATTTCTAAATGTCAGGAGCCTATATCAATTCATTCATAAGTTGCTCATTTCACATGTCCTTGGTGTTGCTTATGATTCTACTCATGGGTCATTGTCACCTTTATACCAGGATCTAGAGGACAAAGCAGCCACTCCAGAACATTGAAAGTTACTGTAGTCAAGGAAAAAAAGAATGTTGTGAGGCACGCTCTGAATTTTTGCCTCTAGAAGGAAACAGACACTTTAGTCTACTAACATTTCAATAAGCAAAAGGAAATCACATTCCATAACTGAATTAAACAGGGCAGTGAGCTATATCCTACCATGTGTGTGAAGAAGCCAAAAAATATGTAAGCAATCCTAATGTTTATCACCTTAAATTTATCCATGCATGCTACTGTGGTCACTTTCACTGTAAAAGCAGTCATTGCAGAATCATCACCAGTATCTCAGTATATTAGTCAGGGCAATTAATATTAGTTTCTGAACCAAACTGCAAATATCTGTGACTTAACACAATTTTTTTTCTTCTCATTCATATAATTCAGTAGAGGATTAACTTTCTGAAATTCCTTAAACGTTTTCACAGAATCCTCTGCATTTAATATAAAGAGGAGTATGAGAAGCATTGCATGAGGTATCTTATAGCTCAGTCTAAAAGTGGGAAATATAACTTCTACCTACATTTCATTCACCAGTGAAATGGTCTCATCCTACCTGCAATTGAGGCTGAAAAATACAGCATTTTCTTGTGGTCCAAAGAAAGAAATAATGTTACCTCACCAATCTCTGTCAAGGTCAGTCCTTCTGATGCCAAAATACCTGCTTTAATCTTCCTCCCATTATAAAACACACTGACTTCTCTCAAAATGAAAAATGCAGAGTTCTTTCAAGGTCTGGCATCCAGCTCAAAATGTAGTATCTCTGGCCACTCATAATTCTCCCAGTGAAGTCCAGATAAGGTCCTCATTTCTCAGTAAAATCTAAACTTAAAAGAATAAATATGTGTCCTGTGTACAAATATGCAACGGTGAAGTGGGAACAAGGTGGCAGCAATAAATACATCTCTATCACCACAGTCATTTGTTCTTGACTATTTGCAAATCATTTCAGGAAGACATGGTGAAACATCCTACACTGTGAGTGGCAGAACCCCATGTGCACTGCAATCTCATTTCCTACCCTCCAGAGGAGTATATAAACTTTTCCTACATAAATAATGGCCACATTTTTGTATCGATACATTGTAAGTTCTAAGATGTGTGTGTTTTTTTTTAAGAGGAATTAAAATAGAAAAGCATATACCTAAAAGATGTTCCTCGGGATATATCTGCATATATTCTCTACTCTTGTCATTTTAAATAAAAATACAGTGGTCCCTTGATATCCTCAAGAGATTGGGTCCAGGACCCCAGAGGATACCAAAATCAGCACATATTCAAGTAATCCTGTGGAACCAGAGTATACAAAAAGTCAGTCCTCCATATCTGCGGGTTTTTCATCCTGTGGCTACTGTATTTTGATCCACATTTCAATGCAGATGCTGATTTTTTTAATTAAAAGAATCTCTATATAAGGGGATGCACACAGCTCAAGCTCATGTTGTTCAAGTGTCAACTGTACTAACTTTTTTATTTCTGTCCAATATAATTTAAATAACATAATTCTGTGAACTGCATGTCATTAATTACATATACTAAGAGGTGGCGTAACAATGTGTTTAAATTCCAAGAAATGGTGGCTAGCAAATTTAATTCTCATCTCTGCTCTGCCACAGACAAGTTCTGAAGTCTTGAGCAAATCATGAGTATCTATCTCTAGCTTACTCATCTTAAGAAGGAGCCAGTAAGTAGCAATTATCTTTCAGTGTTCTTATGAGAAGTAAATAACCTGTACACATCAATGCTCAGAACAGAGACTGCCATGTGGTATTATGTCCGGAGTTGGTTCCTGCCTGTGGGTTTGGTGGGTTCGTGGTCTCGCTGACTTCAAGAATGGAGTCATGGACCTTTCCCGTGTTACAGATCTTAAAGATCACGTGGACCCGACGAGTGAGCGGTAGCAAGGTTTATTGTGAAGAGCAAAAGGAGAAAGCTTCCACAGCATGGAAGGTGACACCAGCAGATTGCCGCTGCTGGCTGGGGTGGCCAGCTTTTATTCACGTATTGGCCCCTCCCATGTTCTATTTTTGTCCTATCAGAGTGCCCTTTTTTTCAATCCTCCCTGCAATTGGCTACTTTTAGGATCCTGCTGATTGGTGCATTTTACAGAGCGCTGATTGGTGCATTTTACAGAGCGCTGATTGGTGCATTTCACAATCCTCTTGCTAGCTACAGAGCACTGATTGGTGCATTTTACAATCCTCTTGCTAGACAAAAAAGTTCTCCAAGTCCCCACTCCACCTAGGAAGTCCAGCGGGCTTCACCTCTCAGTATGTTCTGAATAAATTGGGCTATTAAATATGTGATATGAATTAATCAAGCAGAGAAAAAGTTACTAGTGACAGGGAAAAGGAGAAAATATGTATTCAATATTATTTTGTAAACAATTTATAAATATGCTGCACCTATGAGTTTCTTCTCAGTACCTTAGAAACTATAACACCATGGAAAATTTTGGATAGTTTAGGGAAGTGCATTATTTGGTAATGTGAAAAATAAGATGGTCGTGATAAAGCAACTTGGGAAAAAAGAAATGGCATGAATCTTGAGAACACGTACCTTCTGAGAATTTTCATGTTTAGAAAAGAGCAAGCTAAAAATCTGGAAGCGTATTTGTTCACAGGCAATTTTCAATTGGTCTCAGGCATTTCTGTGCATCTTGCAAATAGGCACTAGCTTCACATTTATTACAGGTTTTCCTTTTTAAAGATCTTTATATAGTGGATAGCCCTGGAAGATCAAGATATTGTTTATTTATGGATGAGAGAACAGATTTGTTTATTTTCAAGTAAAACGAAGATAGTGTTTCCTCCACAGAAAACATCAGACAGGTGTGCTTACTGCTCATTTATTAAAGATTTAAGTTTCCTTTACTTGGAGTTCTTCATCTATGACACAAACTGTGTGTAGCATCAACTTGAACTCCTTGTCATCATCTCCAGTAAACTTGAGGGAAAACAGGAACCAGAGCAAAGATGAAGCTCGTGCAACTCTGTGCTGTGCTGCAAATAATGGAAGTCTTTCTGTCTCTGACCAAACAGTTATGTGTCTTCTGCCAGCATCCATAAAACTGAAGCAGGCTAACTTGTAAGCTCAGATCCTTCACAGTTCTTGACAATAGTCCCTAAAACTGTCTGCAGATGCACATCCCTTGGAAAAATTTTGCATCCTTTTAAGAATAATTAATATCCTAGTTAATGACAACTATATGACAGGATAGATCACTTTAAGCTTCTACCCAGATTACTATAACTTTTAGGTAAATAATGTATATGCCACTTTTTCTAAGGTTATCTAGCCATTTTCGATGTAGAAAACAATATTGCGTAAGATAAGCTGAGCATATTTTTCACTTCGTTTTTGTTTTGCAAAACAATTTTATTGGTTTTGTTAATGCCCCAATCATCAGTACTGCTTGGTATAAGAGCCGAGTTTGAAGAATTATCATGTTGCAAATGTATTTTGTTCAGTTATTTCAAATTAGTAGACAGAATTGAGAGGTGGAAAATTTTAGAAAAATCTTGGTTAATCATACTTGGAATTTGGTTATGTAATATCTCTTTCTCTTTTGGGGAATACAAAGGTTCATAAACTAGTGATAATCTTCACTCTTGGAACCATTAGATGCTATCATGATGTTAGCATAGAAGATAAATTTATAAGTTGCAGTGAGGTAAGGAAATAAAACACGTAAGTCTTTGAAAACAACACTATGACAGTCCTTGCAGGCTAAAACTTAGACACCAAAGCATTTTTTGTTACTTTTGGAGAATAAAAGAAGTGTGCCCCTCAATGTCTTGTGGGAGAAAATATATAGTTTGATACACTTGTCAATATCTCTAACTCAAAAATGATGAGTATAAGGAGTGACCCTTATTGTAGTCTTATATTTCTCTCCAACAATTAAGAGAGTTGGTGGGGATGTTTTTTCCATGAGTTCATCCCAGGCCCCAGGAGATTTTCATCTTGTATTCTCTTTATAATCCTATCTTAGTGTTTCATCCTCATGGCTAAGTTCAGCAATACTTCTGCATTCCAGACAGTAAAATGTGTAAGAAGAGATGTAAAAACAATCGGCTTTGCCTTTATGGAGATTAACTTAAATTTATGCTCATAATATAATTCATATTATATTTGATCAAAATTAATCACTGATAAGAGACTATAGAAGGTAATCTCCTGCTTGTGGTCATATGTACTTAGGATTCTATTACTAAACAAAATGAAAGAATGCATTATATGCACAATTAGTGGTCTCTAGTACAAAGAAATTACCAGGTCATTTCCAATTCTCAATATTAAAAAAAAGTTTATTTCTTACTGCACTATCAAATTGGAAAGGTCAGTACAGGGGCATTCAATAATAGTAAAAATATGAATAACAATCATGTATAACAACAGAATCATTTAAAAAGATGTATATTTAAAATGTGATTATTGCATTTTATTTCCCCTGGCAGAAAATAATAAACTGGAGAAAAATCACATTTGATTGATGTCTGTTACATGGATTTTTAAAATTTGTATCAATGAATGCTTTTTAAAGGTAAACTAATTGAGGCCTACCGAAGGTAAATAAATCTTTAGTTATTTTGGTAAATATATTTTACAGTTTCATTCTTTTTCAACTTAAGTTAGATAATAGGTACTATATTCTCTCCTAATGTAAATGTTTACGAGCATTGAAACTCCATCTGGAGAAAATAGAAACACTTTTAATTTAAATGACATTTGAAGAAGGAAATGTATAAATGTATTCAAAACTGTAAGTGAAAATGGGAAGGTCCTATTAAAAAAAAAAGAAAGGACAAACACTTTCCAATGACCTTTCTATAATATTAGCAAATTTATTATGATCTGTTATGAAAGACTGTTTTGCCTTCCTTGTTTCTACTGTCTCAACTGCCTAAGTACTAATTCAATTGAAAAGTAACTTCAGGTATGGGTCCATTTTAATGTCCCTCTACAAGATCTGCAGTGCCATTAATTACAATCATATAATCTTAGAGCCAAGGACCCTTAGAGATTATCTAATCCTATTCTATTAATGCATGATGAAATGGGCTTAGCAATCTGTCTAAGGTTACACAAATTCAAAAACACATAGAAAGTTTTCATAATCAAATTAAATTAAAAGTATAAAACAATGTCACTAATTTATGTATAAGAAAATATTAAATATCATTTTATATGAAGTGATTCTGATAATTTTAATGAGTTCATAACAATGCTTCTAAATATTTCAAAATTTTAGTTTATCATCCAAATATGATAATACTATACACTTTTATAAGTGAGTCTTCTACAGTGAAAATTACTAATTATAGGAAAGAGAAAATCATGGATAAATAGGGTTGTATCAAACTCTTAAAATGTACATGTGGAAATTTAAAAATATCCTCTTGCCAAGGGGATGTTGATGTCATTCCATAACAGGATTGACATGTGTAATTAAAACAAACAATAAAAATTAAGAATATATAAATAATATTTTAAATGCTTGAATTTGTTATTTATAATGAATATTGAAATTTATTTAGTGAGATAAAAGGTTAACAAATTCTTGAATATAATTATACTACTTTTATAATAAAATGCATCCAAGCTGAAATCTCACTTCTGTTGTCAATTGCTTTGATGGTTCTAGACTCATTTCCCTATTTTTGGTGAGTCATAAGATGGATGACGCACATGCTCAATAGCAGGTTATGTTCATGGCTAAGGTTTATCATAGCAAAAATTACAGAGCAAAACCAGTTCTATTCATATTTTTAATAAATAGTAAACTAATTATATCTTGTTATTCCTATGCTTTGTCTATCATACCTACACATAAATATAAGCACTGGTAAGTTCTGGTTCCAAACATAGCTTATATATGAATGCCATAATCATTCAATATGCATACATTAGCCTTGAATTTTGAAGATTAAAAATTGTTTGTAAAACTATCTAGAAAAAATTTATTATGATTACAGCCACTATTAGGTTTCAAAAGGGTTCATCAGAAATCTCTGAGGTATATAATGGGGAAAGAATATTTTGACTACCACTTTAACAGGTCTGCTATTTAATAATATTAGTTTCTTTTTAATTGATGTTTCATGGACATCCAGAATACTAGCTATAAAATCATATATGCTGCATAATGCAAGGAAAACAAAAGCACCTGTAAATATTACAGAAGACTATACATGTATGTATATCATTGCCATAAAATACCTATATACATATATGTATATACACACATAATTGTTTTCACAACCATGATATTATTACTTACAAAAGCATGCAAATTTAGGGAGATGGCTAAATAAGTTATGGCTTTTTCATAAATTGTAAGCCTATTCATTATAAAATATTATTGAGGATCAACTTTCATTTGTTCCCCAACAAATTATTGAGCATCTACTATGTATATTCTAGGCCCATTTCTAGGGACTGGGGAAAAAATAGTGAAAATAACATTCAGAATGTCTTGGCTTCACAGAGCTGTTGTTCCAGTGTTGGGAGAAAAACAGTAATTAATACCACAAAGTATCATGTGTTGTATGCCAGATGGTTTAAGTTCTATTCTAAAAAATGTGGCAAAGAAGGGGAATAGAGAGTTCTGGGCACAAGAGGTGCTGGATACTGAACAAGATGGTTGCTGAAAGCCTCACTGGGTGGTATCATCTGAATACAATGAGTGGTTATGAGAGAATGAGCCAAGAGCATAATTGAGAGAACATATTTTCAGGGAGCAGAAATAGCAAATGAGGCCTTGGTGTATGAACACACCCATGAGGTTCCACTAAGGATGCCAATGTGATACAGCAGAGGAGATGAGGTCACACTCCATGGGGAGATGGTCACATAAAGCTTCTTAGAAAATGGTAAGAACTTTGTTTATTTAATTGGCAGCCATGAAGGGTTTTAAACAGAAAAGCAATCGCCTCTTTAAAGAATTAGCAGTAACAGTTTGACTGATCTGTGAAAATAGACCACAGCATAGCAAAAGAGAAAACAGGGAAATTAGCGAGGAAAGTATCGTGTAAACTATTGCTGAAGCTGTTCTAAACTATAAACTATGTAAATTATAAATTGAAATTGTTCTATGCAAACAAGATATATTTGAACCCTGTATATTAGAGGCAAAAGTCCATGATATTGGCAATGTTTTGGCCTGAACTATGGGAGGAACAGAGTTGGAATTACTCACCTGGGTTTAAATTTGGGAGGAGCAAATTTGGGAATAGAGGATAGGAAAGATCAATAGTTTTATTTTTAACAGGCTTAATTTTAAATAGACAATCATATAATATATTTTAAATAAACTATTAATCATAAAATAATGTCAGGCTATATTTTAATACTCACCTATCAATTATAAATAAATAAAATGATAAGAAAATACATAAAAACCGCAATAGTTTTTGTAATTAGACAGTGGAGTTACTTGTGATTTTAATGATGTAGGAATTATTCAGTTTTTAAATAATAAATCTTTATTAATTTTATAATTATCAAAGATGCTATAAAAAGAAATAATTTTTTTATTACTATGCTACTGATGTATTTCCATTGCATTGACTAACAAAATTAATACTAGAATTTTCAAAAGTATCCACAGTGGTTACTTTATTTGCACTGTTAATTCAGCTCTTTTTAAGTATGCCTTCTCGTTCCCTAATTGATATAATTCAGAGACTACACTTGGACACAATTTAATGAATAAGCAAATTAGGTCCAGTTATTCCAATATGAAATTCCTTTTAATTATGGGCTACTTTTGGAGATGTAGAATAATTTGAATGTTTAATTTGGTGACTCAGTATGACCTACTTCACATTGTTTTATGAGTGGGTGAAAAATATAAGTGCTAGGAAATGTGTACCAGAAATAATTTGTCATCTAATTACATTTCAGAACATTATACCTCCTCAAAGCCTTGTTTCGGCATATATCTCATTTTAAAAATCTATGTTGCATATATGTTTACTTCTTTAAAATTTTAAAAATGTTTGTGGCATTCACATAAAATACAGAAGAGACTAGCAATAAGTGACATACATGTACTTCAGGACCTGAAAATTTATATATTTTTTTCTTTCCTTAAAAAGAATATATTCAAATACATCATGAGAAAAATGTATAGCTTTATAGTTAGGATAAACCTTTAATTCAAGTGCTGTTACTTGAATTAAGGATGCACAAGCCCCGGACTCTACTCCACAAACCCCACCCACTCTTCTCACCACATAAATACCTAGGGAGAGGGATCTGTCTGAAGGAACCTTTCCCACAACAGCCTTTATTCAAAATGACACACCTGCCACTTTCTTGATGCCTACTCTTGTACTCCAACTGCAGTGTGATTCATTACACACAGTTTGCTTGTATGTTATATGACAGTGATTACATCAAGGATTTGGGTACTAGCTAACTGAACTGATATATTTGAAAGTACTTTATAAAACAGAAAGTGCTGAATAACCATTAAGTATACAGAATGATTTGGCAACAATCATATGTAGTACCATATTTTCTGAAATATCTATTTCTTAAAAAACAAGTTTCATTAAGTATATTATTTGCTGAATAATCTCTCAAAGGTCATGTTTTCATATAGCTACTATTATTGCATTTTGAAATCAAACATTATTTTCTTTGCCATTTCAGAGAAGCCCTTGGTAATCCAGCCCGCAAGTGCAATTCATGCGCATGGCTCTAAAGAGAAATGGGCAAACAAAAAGAAGATTAACTACACATTCAATAATCATTTATTTATTTTCTTAGAGATATCTACAGTAGCTCTCTTTTATCCTTATTTTAATAAATGCTGACGTACAGAATTAGTGAGATTTTTGGTAATAATATTTTTTTTTTTGAGGCAGAGTCTTGCTCTGCCAACCAGGTTGAAGTGCAGTGGTGCAATCTCCACTCCCTGCAACCTCCACCTCCTGGGTTTAAGCGATTCTCCTGCCTCAGCCTCCTGAGTAGCTGACAGGTGCGCACCACCACGCCCTGGCTAATTTTTTTGCATTTTTAGTAGAGATGGAGTTTCACCATGTTGGCCAGGCTGGTCTCACTCCTGACCTCAAGTGATCTGCCTGCCTCGGCCTCCCAGAGTGCTGGGATTACAGGCATGAGCCACCGCGCCCATCTGGGTTATAAATTTGTTATTCCTCTTGTGGTTGTTTGGGATGTGTATTTGTGTGTGTGCACATATACATATTATTGAATTTACCACGTTACTCCAAAGGCTTTTCTTTAACTATTTTGCTTGATGTATATTCAACAATGATAGTCTCAAACAAACAAACAGAAAACAGAAACACATCTGATTTTTCACCAATACTGTTTATAGAATGAATCTGTATAGAGTCTGAGGCTATTCTGATGATAAATTGATTATAGGACTAGAAAAAACTATTTTGCCATTTTACAAACTCTCATTATGCACCTTATATAATAGTGCCAAGTTAATAAATTTGCTTCTATGTTTATAGTCTGCAACAGAAAAAACTTATGAGGTACTATTTTCCAGATGAAAGTGAAAGTGATGACAGATTTTATTTCTACACTTAAATTATTAAGATATACCTTTATTATGTGAGCATAATCGATTTTATTGCAGGGAAGGCCCTTAATTCAGTAAAAAAGACAAGATTGCTTCTTGAATATTAAAACATTTTCATCTTTTCAGTTTTGCTTTTCTTGATTATCTATTTTTCTTTTTACTGAGTAATGTATATCATTTTTTAATTAAATATAATTTAAATAATATTTTACAATAATCTAAAATGCTTCTGAATACTTCGTCAATAACTTTTGGATGTTCAATAACATTAAGAACGATTACATTTTTCAAATATTATTTTTGCATTATTTATATGTTTGCATTTTTACAAGTGTTCTAATCGCATATTGCAAGGCCAAATCAGAATTTTTAAAGACTTCATTTTATTAACATTTAATTATAGCAATAATTAAGAAATAAAATAAAATGACATAAAATTTTAAATCATATGAATAAATTAAACCTATATATTTAAATTACTTTACAATTTTAGCATTTTTCATAAATATACAGAAATTTCATTTCGTATCTGTTGTTATAATTATTACAATATTAAAATTATGTAATGGAAAAATACATTAAGCATCAATTAAGACAGCATACATCTGTTGGCAAAAGAAAGAGAAGGTATATTTGATTTCCTTGATTTTTTCCTCTCAAAATTGAGAAATAGTTTAATTTTATAAATCTATATCCATTTAAATTACTTAAGTCACCATTTTAGCCTAATTTTTTCATTTTCTAGATAGATTACTCTTCTTTTTTCTTAAAAAAAAGGTATCATTTATTCTGGTTACGAGTAAAAGACAATTTTAGATGTGCAAATATTTAGATATGTAATCACAATTAGTATTTTTACTTCATGAAATCTTTAGGCGCAAACTTTGCTGTTCTAAACTAAAATTTGGATTCCAATTCAAAAGCTAAAGACTATCATAGTGTGATTATCCCAAATGAACTCTTTTACCTAACACTTACTGAAATTTCAAGATAAGTAGTATTGAGATTCTACAAGTCAGTAAGAGGTCTTCTCTCTGTGAACTTTTAGGTTTTAAGGGCACAAGGAATTTAATGGCTACTGGGCTAAAGAATGTAATAACCACTACTGTGCATATGATTTTAGTCATATAGGCAAAAAGCCTAGGAGTTACATTGTTTGGTCAGATGGCATAAGTACAATTAATTGCAATATAAATTGTCAGATTGTTTCATAAAGCTCTACAATAAATTATTCTTCACCAGAAATATATGAGAGAACACTAGAAACAATAAGTCCTATAGTTATCTTTAAATGCTACCAATTTGATGGTTTTTCTGGTGACATTCCTGTGTTATTTTAATTTGTATTTTCTTTACCACCCATGAATCTTAACAGATTTTTTCTATGAAAGTTCAGCACTTTGATTCATTCTTCTGTGGACTGACTGCCTGTGCCTATCCACTTCCCTGGCTCTCTTGCTTGGTGTGTGCATGTGGCTTAGTTTTAGCAAATAGAATATTTGCTGTCCCTGAGCCTTAGTCTTAAATCCTTATACAAGCACTTTTTCTTGTTATCTTACCTGTTTGTCTGACTTGGGTGATGATTCTTAGAGTAATTTTGGTTGCCAAATGTTAAAGTTAGTAGAACTACTATAAGCCTCTGAGTGGCTAAATGGTAGTTATTTCTGTGGCCTGAATACTCTTATGAGATATTCAGAGAGATTGAGAGGGAAGAATTATTTTTGAAGACATGGAATTTTTATTTTCTATTCCTTAGAACAGTTTAGTTTACCCTAAATAGTAACTACCTATTATTTTCCTCTGCTAATTTTTCTTGAGGCTCCTAACTTTATCAGGTGAATTTTAAGATATCTGTGAGGCTGGGCACGGTGGCTCACACCTGTAATCCCAGCACTTTGAGAGGCTGAGGCAGGCGGATCACAAGGCCAGGAGTTCAAGACCAGCCTGGCCAACATGGTGAAACCTCGTCTCTACTAAAAAGAAAAAAATTAGCTAGGTATGGTGGCGCTCACCTGCAGTTCCAACTACTCGGGAGGTTGAGGCAGGAGAATTGTGTGAACCCGGGAGGCAGAGGTTGCAGTGAGCCGAGATCGTGCCACTGCATACCAGCCTGGGTGACAGGCAAGACTATATCTCAAAATACATACATACATACATACATACAAACACATATATGTAATGTATAAATATTACCTTTTTGTCATCTATTTAACAAAATATTTGCTCAAATATATACTTCCATCTGACAACTATTTAACATTACTTTTCTAATATTTTTACCTTATTGCTGCTGACTTGATACATTTTTATTCATTCCACTACATCCTTGTTATTTTGGAAGATCTATCCTTTATTTCTTTATTAAGGGGTATCTTCAATTTTTTGACCTCACAATTAGATGCATAATTTTCAAGTACTATTTGAAATAAAGATACCTTCTATTGTCTTAGCAAATTAGTCAATTTCTCTACTTACCCCTCCTCAATAAGTTGACAAATTCAAAAAACATAAATTTCCCCATTTCTTTTTCACCACTCCCCTCCAAGAAACCTTGGAACCAGTTTGTTCCAAGGTTTGTTCCCACCAAAGTCTAGATTATACAAAAATATTTTAGAATGTTAATGATATATTGTTAGTAAAATTCTTCTATTGAATAGTTTATGATAATTTGTCAACATGAAATGTTAGGCAGACATTGAATACCAACTAGAGCTATTCATATTCTCTTAATGGGATTTCCATTGAGTTATTGATGAAAGATAAAGTGATATAAAGAAAATGTGTATACACCAAGTGCAAAATATTTTATACCCTTTATGTGGCCATGAATATTAAATCATAGTTATGGGAGGAAATTGCCAAATACATATATTAGGCTGTTAAAAACTGTTTTTCTGAGCTCTGGAAACTGATGGATAGGCATAGCAGAAGAGAGCAGAAGCAAGCCAAGAAATCAAGGAAAAGATACTGCTATATAACAAGAAATAAAATAAAAGTACGTAATGTAATTCCCTTAGAAAATGAAGTTGGGTGACTGAGAAGATGTGGAGAACCTTTATACCAATTTCCTTTTTCTAATCAGATTTGATTATAAAACATCGACATAAAATCAATATATGTGTATTATATTCATTTCAATTTTAATTTCAAGACCTAATTTTGCTGTCTTAAAGATCATGGATAACTCCATCTTATCTCAGTGTTCAATCTATAATTCATTAAAACAGTTTTCAAAAGAATTTTCAAAATATTATGATTACAACCATACTTAATCTTAAATTAGGACATACTATGTGATAAATACTATGGTGAAGTACTTCTCAATAATCCATATTCTTAAACACAACAAGTTCTAGGATCAATCTGCTTAAATTTATATATTTGCTCAATCATTTGCCACATAAATATTTTACAGATAAAGAAACTAAAACACTTTTTTTTTCTCCGAAACTGTTTCAGGGCTAAGTAACTTACTCATGAGCTTGGTAAAAATAAAAATTATTAGATACCTTGTGGATCCGTTGCATATATTTCAAATTTAAGTTTTTGAAGCACTTTTTGAAAAGACTTCTTTATGTGACATTTGTTCATTAAAAACACAGTGATTCTTTTTTTGAAATACGATCCAATTGTAAAATATCCTGTGTCTAGAAATGAATTTATTTTCCTAACAAAAGTGTATTAAATTAATTAATTAAATTCTCAGAACCATTATTTAAACCAAGTTTGTTGATCCTACAACCAGTGAAAATAATCCCTACAATGCTAAAAATGTGTGTGCTATTATCCATCTATTTCCTAGTTCATTAAAGCCAAGTTATCATAATCTGGACTTTTTACCAAAGATTTTCAGGGATGTCAAAGGTTTTTACTCCTAAATTTAATATGCTGAAATATTACTTTATGTTCTATTTATTTTTTTCATTTAAAATAACATTTTTCTCTATGTTGCGATTGCAAAAATTAACTTATTTACATATATACATGATGTCATGATATAATCTAGGCACAATTTTGGATATTTCCTTTTCCCAATCTGTTTAACTTACACAGGTAATCAATATATGTAATCACCAAGCAAAAGACCTTCATTGGTTTCTATTTTGTTATTTTTTCCTCTGGAAAAGTGTTTAAGATAGTTTTAACATGAAGAATAGCGACCATATTTTTTGCATACTGTTATTTCTTCAAAGACGCTTAATCTATATAAACAAATTTTAAAAACCCTGGTATCAGTTGGGTAAAATCTCTGAGATTTAAAATATTTACTAAGCTACTAAATGTTAAGCAACACGGGATTTTGAGAAATTGGCCAATGGCAAGGATTGTAAGGGAACAAAAACTTGGAAACAATGCTGTTTGTCGACATCTTGAATAATTTGCTGTGCCTCTATTTTATGTCACAGTATTTCCACTTCCAGGCCTATACAAATAAATAAAATCAGTATTATACACAGAATAGGTACACACACACACACACACACACACACACACACACACAAGCGTTCAGATATAAAGATTTCAACTGTAGCATCATTTGTAATAAACAATATTGGAAACAATGTTGGTATATATTGCTAAGAAAATGTGTTGAGATCAATTTAGTATAATTATATAATGAGATATATGATTATTTCATTTCTTTATGGAATGAGTGTAATGGGAAAATCCAGTGGAAAGCTTACGTTAAAGCTAAGAAAGTTAAATCTTTAAGACCTTTCATATGTATGGGTCTTTCTCGGGGTCATATGAGTTTTGCAAAATTTGCTGTGTAAGATGCTTAATTAAAAATAAGAAAAGCCACACCTGTTTTGACTCCCATTTGCCTTTAGTCATTTATCTCCCTGTCAGGTAGTGCGGGTCCAGCCTACAACACTTTTAGTATTCAGCTAAGGGGAAGTTGAATAGAGACATATTTAATTTCAGTTCATTGAGGTTAATGTGTTTGATTTAAAGCCACTTCCATGTAAAATGAAGTTGTTTCTGGCAGTTCAGAGACTTTCTATTGCTCACTCCATAGATTCATCCAGTGTCGTAGCACAGAGGTGCAGAGGCAGAGAATGTTGTGAGACACATGTCATGCAGTACTTGGTACCAGAGGCTGCAGAGAAGGAAAGAAACAGCTGCCCTTAACCTAGCTCTCCTTTCCACTAATTCTTACCGTGGTGGTGATGTGGTGAGAACCAGATGTCCTACATGTAAGGGGATCTGCTGTAGGCAAAGAACTCTGGAAAAAAGAACCTGAGCGTTTTTGTGGAAGAGTGACCCAGTTGCTCTTGACCCCCTTCTGAGTGTGTCTCCATAGTCACAAAACGGAAAAAAAACTGAGTTCTTACTTTAACCATTTGGATAAAAATAAATCTCTCTAGGGGAAAGATAACACTAGAGTCTCCAGCTTTGTAACTTCTGGGATGCATCTACTGGGTCTCATCTTCTCTTGAAATGTAAATATATATCCCTAGTGAGGTAAATCCCTCAGGATGGCCCCTAACCATGTTCTTTCTGTGAATTAATTTCCAGAGCTAGTTCTTAGCGTAGAGCAGAAGTCTGAGTAAAATTTGTTGAGAAAGTTCTTACTATGCATAAATAACTTTATTTACAGCCTAACACTATCCATTAAAATCAACAAGAGAAAGACAAACTAATCCAAAATGACCCTGCAATCGGGGCTCTAAAACAATGCAGGTTGACTGTAATTGTTAAAATGAATTTGGAAAGTATTTGACCTTATCTGTTAAAATTAAGTATATGCATACCCTGTGACCAATAATTCTGCTACTATCATCCAACAGGAACACATAAACATATTCAGGAAATGTACAAAATTGTTTATTAAAGAATTATTCACAACAGCTTAAATTGGAAGTTTTGCAGTTATCCATCAAGAGTGAAATAAACACATCATAGCATATATATAAATACATGGAGTATTATCAAGCAAGAAGGATAAATGGTATACCCAAGAGAGCTTTGATGACTCTCCCAAATACATTTCTGAGTAAGAGAAGCCATCCAGAAAAGAATATATATTGTTTAATTCTATTATAAAAGTTCAAAAATAGGTTAAAAAAGTCTATGTTATTAGCAATCAGAATAATAATTACTTGCAGATGGAGCAGATGGTAATTTAAGGGAATTTTATTGTGAAATATGTACAATCACTTTGTTAAAATTAATTAACTATATACTATTTGTGTATTACAATAAAAATGTTTAATAAACTATCTCATTGTTGTTATTTACATTTCTTAAATAGCATTTAGGCATGGGTGAAAAGGTTTAACTTGACTGGCATGAATTGCTCAAATACTGTACATTCCAAAGAGGGGTCCCTCTGCAGGACTAGACCTTAGTCTAGGAGTTCATCTCTGAGCCCTTGGAGTATTTTGCTTGATAAAAGTGTTCTTGTTTTCCTGAAGTCTTGGGCCATACTCTCCCAGTTCGACCAGAAAAGGTTATGTTATCAACGTGACTTATGTGAACATCTGTTTTTACTCTGGGTGTAGGAAGAAAGTTGTGCTTAAATGTCATGGAGCTGAGGTCAATCATATGGGCATTACATGACTATGTGACTGATCCCAGTAAACACCTTCGACAACTAGGCTCCAGCGAGTGTTCCTGGTTGGCAATGCTTTGCACTTTACATATTGTTGCTGGGATAATTAAACATGTCCCCATGCAACTGCTCTGGGAGGGGACACCTGAGAGCTTGGACTTGGTTTCTCCTGGAGTTCACTTCATTTGTCTTTTCTCTTAGCTGACTTCTATCTGTACTGTTTTTACTGTAATATACTGTAACAATGAGTACTACAGCTTCTGATTCCCTTAGAGATTTCCAGTAAATTACCAGGTCTCAAGTGGTCTTGGGAACCCCTGGCATATTACTGAACTTAAAGTTTTCAGAATATCTGTATTTGATATATTCCATGGCAAGCACTATATCCATCATACTTTTTCATTTATTGACATAACTCCAAATATTTCCACATATCTAAAATTCAGGAAAGTAACCCTATCCTTACCTCTGAGGATAAAGCTTGTTAAGTATAGGTAAACCATGATAATTTAAATTCACCTGTTTGTGACTGACTTTTTTTAATGACTGTTTTTAGTCAAGAAAATGTGAGGGTAGGTCTGCCAAGAGCTACTGAAAAGAGTTACATTTTCTAAAAAAAAAAAAATCCTCGTCTTTTCTTTTTGAGAATAATTTGTGGTGTTTCTGAAATCATTGTCTGCCCATAAAGAGAGATTACTTAAACAAAAAGTCTGTATAAAATATGACTACAAATAAAGATGAGAAAAAAATCATATTCTTGATTAATTTATTGATCTATTAAATTAATAGTCTTGGAAGTAGATCCCTCTTTGGACTTCCAGTTAGAGACAGGGCCTTACTCTATGGCCCAGGCTGGAGTGTAGTAGTGCCACCATAGCTCATTGTGTAGCTCACCGCAACCTCAAACTCCTGGACTCAAGCAAACCTCCTGCCTCAGCCTCCCAAGTGGCTGGAATACAGACAGGTGCCACCATGACCACACCTGGCTATTTTTTTTTCAATTGTAGAGCTAAGGTCTCCCTATGTTGCCCAGGCTGGTTTTGAACTCCTGGCCTCCAGTGAGCCTCCCACCTCAGCCTCCCAAAATGCTGGGATTCCAGGCATAAGCCACGAGACCTGGCCTATTTATAGTTTAAATTTTCTCATCGTCTAAATAAAAGATCTAAAACTAATTGTCTAAGTTGGCGGAGCAGTCAGAACACACACATTTATTGATTAAATTCATTGTCTTATATGGATGTGGTTCATGGTGCCCAAAACAATTACAATAGTAACATCAAAGGTCACTGGTTACAGATTACCATATCAAATATAATTATAATTAAAAAGTTTGAAATATTGTGAGATTTACCTAGATATGGCACAGAGATACAAATGAACACATGCTATTAAAAAGTGGTGCCAATAAAGTTGCTTGATGCAGGGTGGTCATAAACCTTCAATTTGTGAAAAACACATTATCTGTGAAGCCAAGTGAAGCAAAGCACAATCAATTGAAGTATGTCTATATTCCACTGCCTTTGTAGAGTGTATATAGTTGTATTACATAACATATATAATATATATAATATATATATTTGGGTATATGTAATATATATTATATATATTTGTATATATATTATACATACATATTATATACATATATAGTATGCATATATATTATACATATATATTACATATATATATATATTTGATATGGACTGTGTCTTGTTTCCCCAAAATTAATATATTGAAGCCTTAACTCTCAATGTGTTAGCATTTGGAGGTGGGACCTTTGGAAGTAATTAGGTTTAGATGAGCCCATAAGGATGGGGTCTTCATGATGGGATTAGTGCTCTTACAGGAAGAGACCAGAGAGCTAACACTTTCTATTCGCTATGTACGTACATAGGAAAAAGGCAGCCCTTTGAAAGCCCAGAAGATGACCCTCCTCAGACTTGCCAGGTTCAAGAACTATAAGAAATAAATGTCTATTGTTCAGACCAGCGCCTATCTTATTTTTATATAGCAGCCTGAGCTTACTAAAACAATTATTAAGAAAAAACAGCAAAGCAAACAAACAAAAGCAACTATGTTTAAAACTCCTGGAAAAATAATTTATCTTCTGTGCAGCTGTTTTTTAAGATCTTCCTTTAATGTATTTCCCCTCATTTTTCTTGCGTCTTATTTGGAGTCTGTAGTAGCATAGTTCTTAATTTGCTTATCAAGTAATTTACATCATATTAAACATGAATTTCAACCAGCAAAGAATATTATTAAAACTTCTGGACTAATGTTATTCACTTGTATTCTTTCCTACTACCCGGAAATGCTTTTGCTGGCAATGATTTCTCCTTTGATGTTGTGAAGTTTCGGGCCATTGTTAGAGAAACAGGTCCACTTGCCGATTAGCAGGCAGTAGGCTTTGTGACCTAAGTTCAGTAACAGAAAATCATTACTTTCTCTGGCAATTTGATACAACATGCTTCATATATTCCAAAATTCATCAATTTTCTGCTCTGTTGATGTCCTCCTTTATTATGTTAAAGAATTGCCACAGTATAGTTTATTCATAATGCTATTTTCAGTTGAATTACTAGAGCTCCACTTTAGCATTTTAAAATCATATTATCGCATGTTTATTTCCAAATTAACAGGGCAATAAAAATCCTCTCTTAAAAATCAGGGATATCAGTATTCATCTCTTTTCATGTAAAAATATTAAAAAATTAGAAGTGAAATATCACAGAAGATATTTTAAATATGAAGACAAATAATGAAATAAGGAGAATTTTAAAAGCCAAATATTTTGGATCAGAGTAAGAAGTTAGTGGTAAAAGATAAAGGTTATCCAACAACCTTTTGCAAATGAAGCCAAAAAAGTAGGTTTGCGCAACACTGAATAACTAAAATTACAACTCTTTTATATTTCATTAAAAAACATGCCCTTTTTCAAAAAGTCAGATCGGTTTAATCACACCATAAAATTATTTACCCAAAGTTAAGGAAAAATAGCATGCTTTCATATAAGTAGAAAATTTAAATACACAATTGATATTTAACGTTCTCTAAGCAATGTAAAGATTGCTTTTAAGCCATCTAACAGAGTTGTATTTATTATTAGGGATCAAAAAGTGTGTAAATTAGCACAATATATTTTATATAAAATGAATCTGTTTTCTCTTATAAGAGTATACAATTATAATTCTGAATTTTGAATTTATTCTTAAACAAATAAAAACAACTGCTATATCTGAATTCTTGTTTTATGTCACTCTATCTATCTATATTTTTTTACTATCTATATTTTTTTTACTATCTATATTTTTTTACTATCTATATTTTAGGCATTTTTACTATCTATATTTTAGGCATTTTATAGGCTAAGTATGCGCAGTTGGTGCTTACTCAATATAGCCTAGCAATGCTCCCTGTTTCTTTTTTTTAACCTTTAATTTCAGGGGTACATGTGCAGGTTTGTTATATAAATACATTTGCATCATGGGGGTTTGTTTTACAGATTAATTCATTACCCAGGCATTAAGCCTATGACTCATTAGTTATTTTTCCAGATCGTCTCCCTCCCCCGACCTTCTGCCCTCTTGTAGGGCCCAGTGTCTGTTGTTCCCTTCTTTGTGTGCATGTGTTCTCATCATTTAGCTTGCACTTACAAGTGAGAGAATGTGGCATTTGTTTTTTCGTTCCTACATTGATTTGCTAAGGATAATGGCCTTCAATTCCATCCATATTCCTTCAAAACACATGATCTCGTTCCTTTTTATGGCTACATCTTATTCCCTGGTGTATATGTTCAACATTTTATTTATCCAGTCTTTACTATTGATGGCCATTTAGGTCTATTCCATGTCTTTGTTAATGTGAATAGTGCTGCAGTGAACATATGTGTGCGTGTGTCTTTATAATAGAACAATTTATATTCCTTTGGATATATACCCAGTAATGGGATTGCTGGGTCTAATGGTAGTTCTGTTTTTAGGTCTTTGAAGAATCACCACACTGTTTTCCACAATGGCTGAATTAATTTACATTCTCTTTAACAGTGTATAGTGTTCCTTTTTCTCTGCAACCTTACCAGCACCTGCTATTTTTTGACTTTTTAATAATAGCCATTCTGACTGGTGTGCTTACTGGTTCTTAATCTCACCCACATCTTAGAATAATGTGGAACATTCAAACTACCCACACCTGTTTCTAAAAACTGAAGTTCTGTTTTAATTGGACTTTAGTAGAGCCAAGAAATGAGTATTACTTAAAATCTTGCCATGTGATTCTACTAGGAAGCCAGAGTTCAGAGCCATGGATTACATTTTTAATATAAATACACATTATTAGTTGAAGCAGTTTTAAGTTAGGATAGCTGTAACGTTGATTGAAAGGGGAATACTTAAAACAGAACCCTGCCTTGGGTCGTCAAGACTTAAAAAATTCTTCTGTTTTTATTCTATTAAATATAATCATGCATTCATTTACTTTAGCATTTGTAATTCTAAAACACATTGCAAATTTCACAAAACTATCATTTTCTAAATGTCAACACTCTAAATACACCATTTATTTTTTAAAGTAGTATATTCACTTCAAATTCCATTGCTGTGTCAAGAGTTAGTTGAACTTAAAATATAATTAATAGTTACTCAGCAAAAATAGAAAGATGTTAGCTGACTGTGTCAAAAGAAATATTTTAACACTGATTTCATTTTTACTAAATGACTGAATTTTTCTTTATGTTTTATGCTTAAGCTTCTCTGCTTTCTTTCTATTTTTTGTGGTTTAAATAAAGAACCATGATTATTTGTATAACTGATTGCTCAAAGTAATTAATCATTTTTCTTATGAAATTACCAGGGTAAATTAAGAATCTTATAATTACAGAGTTTTCTCTTGCCTAGAGGAAACATACTGAGAAACTGTGTTAGGAAATTATTATTTCAAAACCCAGTCTAAGTTCTTAGCCACTGGACATTTAAAAAATACATATTACATATACTTTTTCTAACATGATTGAGAATATAGTTTGTTTCAGATTTCCACATTTCTTAAATGAAAACAATAAAGAATTCAAAAGGCAAAAGGTACTGTAAAAAAAGTTATTTGATCACATGTAAATGAAAATTCTACCTTCTTATTGAATTTTACTAATTAGAGGGGTAATTATTCTCACATCAGATTATTTGCACAAGATACTATTTCTGATGTATTTTATTAAAGAACTCAAAAGGCAAAGGTATTGTAAAAAAAGTTATTTGATCACATGTAAATGAAAATTCTACCTTCTTATTGAATTTTACTAATTAGAGGGGTAATTATTCTGGCATCAGATTATTTGCACAAGATACTATTTCTGATCTATTTTATTAAAAGTCACCATTTATTATTGGTTTTCATCTCATGTTATATATGCAAATGAAACTCCTTTGAGTATGCAATGGTTATTTACTGCAGTGAATATTGTACAATCATATTTATCAAAATGTTCTTCTTCAAAATATTTTTCTAATGCTTATTAGCAAGCAGTTTTTATATTTGAGAAAGTGAAACATGGACTTTAGAATCAGATTTAGGCCATATGGTAAGCCAGCTGCCTGAAAAATCTTCATAACAAATGCTAATATTGATGAATTTTGGAGATGTCATTATATATGTATACCTAAAACTACAGGAAAACAAAGAAAATTACCAATGCCAGAAACACAGGCAACACTTAAAACCAGCAAGACCAGTTGCTCTGACTTTTCTGGATGGAAAGAGAGATGGACCCAGCAATTTATAAATTTGGATTTTCTTAAGGCTCATCAGCGAAGGGGTGATGCATAGCTGGACCTAGATTGAAAGAGTAAAGAAAAATACTTATTAACCAACCCAGTACAATTAAGAAGTTTGTCTGTAAATACTAGAACAATTGGTAGAAAAAACAAATACATATTCTCCCCTGAGAATCTGTAACATCAGGATTATCCATCATGTGTTGTTTGACTTCAAACTTATAAATTATACAGCCTTGAGCCATGAAGCATCAAATTAACAAATTAACATATAGATTATTTTCTGGCCATTGATACACTGGAAGTTTGGTGGAAGAGATGCAAAATCATTCCAGAGCAAAAGCTGAAAATTTTTTTCTGCAAAGGGCAAGATAATAAACATCTTACACATTATTGACCATTTTAAAGAGCAGCTTATAGTCACCAAAAGGAATATCAACAAACTAGCAAGTGAAGATAAAGAATTATCCAGAATGCAGAATATGAACCAAAAGATAGAACATAAGATAAGCTGAAAGACATGGAGGATTGAATAAAACTATCCAAGGAATATCTAAAAGAAATTCTGAAAAGAGAATAGTAGGAATAAAAATAATGAGATTATAATAGTTTGCTTCTACTTCTGGGATGAATGTAGTAGTTGTATAAGACACATACTCTTATTAAAATGACAAGAAAAAGCTGGATAAATTATAAAAGCCACATATCTTTTAAAGCATGAGGGAACTGTAGAAGCAATGATGAATAGATGAACTAAGAGTACAGACATACCTGAGTGTTCGAAATGGGCCAAAGAGCATGATGCATTCATAGCATCTACTAGTCAATTCTGGCACAAATTAGGAAGTAGAAGGCATGTTCAATGGAGGCAAAACAGTAATATATATATAAACATGTGGGTAAGTCTAAAGAAGCATTTGCTATATTGAATCAAACAAATACAATAAAGTAAAACAAATACTAGAGAACATTGTTAAACTGAGTTAAGTTTGGCTCAAAGTGCCCATTGTACTTGCCTAATTAAGTTTGGCCCAAAGTGGCATCCATACATAGTGACTGTACTCTAACTTAATGTGTAAATAAGTTGTAAGCTAATGTAGATGTATGGACTTGTAACCAAGCAACTGAGACTCAACCAATCATAGGAGCCAAACCCTTAGTCAATCCCAAACTGAATGCTGCCAAATTATGCCCAAATAAGGCAAATATTGAACTGCACCAATCAGGGAAACTCTGAATATAATTTTCTATGTTCTGGTTATAAATACATCTCACCACTCTGGATGTGGAGTCACTCTGAACAATCTTCGTTCTGGGATGGTGCCTAGTTCTCAAACCTTTTTCTTGGTCAAATAAACTTAGTGAAATTTAACATGTCTTAGTTGTATTTTTTTAAACAACATTCAAAGACCTACGAAATAGGACAGGGAACTTGTATTTAGACTATACTGTCTAAATGCAACTTATTTATGCTAGTTATTTGTGTGTTATAGAGAATATAGTGATATTGATATACTTTAAGTCATTTATGTACATCGGGAAGAGGAAAAAAAAAAGTTACCCAATTCAATGGAAGTCAAATGAAGAAGCAGAATAGAGCTACCAGAAAAACATGATAAGAGTTAAAGAAGATGGGAGCTCAAAGAGGAAAACTATCACTGAATTTGGGGAACTTCTCCTTGCAAGCCAAGTTAACTTTTGTTCAGATAGAATTCTCAGATGAAAAAAGACAGAAATTATAGTCTATGGCTGACAAAATATAGAGAGTCTGCCCAGAGACTTTTGCTATTCTAAGCTAGAATCTTAAGGTTAATACACTTCAATGAAGGAGAAAACAAGAACCAACTCTTGAGCATACTTGAAGTCTGGGACCAAATCTGAGTTGTTCAGATACTCATATTTTCACCCTGATTTAAGATGATCTGATATGGGTAATGCTTGCATAATCAAAACTTCTGGAGGAACTTATCTCCATAGTAGACAACAAGGTAATCTTAAACTATCCTGACACTAATTGGGTGTATAAACTTGGCCAAGTCATTTTTCCCTTTGAGTCTCAGTTTCGTCAACTGTAACGTGAATATGAAAGTAACTAACTTGTAGGTCTGTATTAAAAATTAAGTCAATTATTTTGGTAAATCAGTTGTATGCAATATAGCGTACATGAGAGAGAGAGAGAGAGTTTGTGTGCATGTGTTTAGAGAGAGATGGAGAGAGAGACACACATACACAGAGAAGAATCAGTATATTGTTAAGGATAACAACATCTAGAAACAAATCGACAGACAAGAAAAACAATTTAAGTAATAGAATTTTCAGACAGAAGTTAAAGAACAAAACATATGCTTAAAGATGCCCACAGGAAAATACAAATATGATCATGGTAGATTTAGAAAGGAAATACCTGCTAGAAGTAACAGAGAACTACAGGAAAATTAATGAAGTGCAGTAGGAAGAAAGAAAATAAATTATTGAAGAAAAGTTTCAAGATACAAAGGATAGAATTAAACATTAATATATGTCTAAACTTTACCAGGAAAAGAGAGACAAAGGCAATAACTAAGGAAATAATAGAGAATGTTTTTAGTACTGATTGAAGACAGATAAGCAGATTTAAGCAGGTCAACAAATTCTGAGTGGAGTAAGAAAAGTACAGTGAAGAAAACAAAAGACAAAGCCAAAATTCTGTAAAGCAACCTGAAAATAAGGCTTATTACCATTAAATAACAACATTTCAGTCTATAGAAACTTACATCCTAGGAGAGGGAATACTTTAAATAAAAAAGTAATGGATGAAAGGAGAAAAATTCCATCAAGTGGGATAACTGTGATCCATAAAGAAGTAGCAGGTGAGATGGGGAGTAAAAAAACAAACATATATAAATCCTCTTATTTTATATATTAGAGCTCAATTTTATTCCCATCTTTGATAATCCAAAAATTATACACTGATCAATATATCTGTTCTAAATGTTAAGATTCCAACAGGTAGATCATGTCTCTCAAAATGTGTTGCACATTGCCTCAACTGGAGGTTCATGATGCATATTAAAATAAGAAAGGCTTAGAGAATTCTTACAGCAAGGAAAACAATGTAAGTTTATTTAATTTAGTGTTTTAGCTACATATTTAATAATTATTTTAGGTAGGCAGTTGTTTAAAGACAATAGAAAATACTTGGAATTTAAAGCAAGCAAAAATGAATGTGTTGGAAAAGCACAACGCAGCTCTTAGAATTGAAAAAAAAGTAGGTGAACCAGGCTCAGGCAGGAATCAGAGAGCAAGTCAGAACCAATATCAGAAAAAGGAAGTTCTGCTTTTCATGTGGCTATTGTCCTGTCAGTCATGACCGCTGGCCACTGCCAGCAAAGCATGCACAGGCATTTTCTGGAATGCTGCTGGGCTCTGCTTTAGCTTGTCACTTCCCACTTTACCATTGGATTCCAAAAATCTATCCATCCGACAGGAATAATTTCAGACTCTCTGCCTACTTCTTACCTTGCAAGGTTAAAAATGCAAGGAATGAGTGGCTATTCTTGGGTCTCTGGTTTACATTTTAGCCTCCAGGTGGTGGGAAGAGAAAAATCTACTCACAAACAGCTTCAAAACGGAAAGGCCCTATATTGGCATTCCTACATAAAAGAAAGTACTGGGGGGCTTGACAAATGGACATTTGCCTTCAAAGAACACATATTCTCCTTTAGACAAAGTTTGCACTTATATAGCACAATTAACCTACTTCTTATCAATCAATAAAATGAAGAGACAATTACAGAACAGGATAAGGTGTTTGCAAACTATGTATTCAACAAGGTTTAATATCCAGAATATATAAGGAACTCAAAAAACTCAATAGCAAAAGAAAAAGTTGATTAAAAAATGGACAAAAGAAGACATACAAATGGCCAAAAAATATATAAAGAAATGCTCAACATCATTAAGCCTCAGAAAAATGCAAAACAAACCCACAATGAGCTATTACCTTACCCCAGTTTAAATGATGAATATTATCAAGAAGACAAAATATAACAAATGGAAACGATAATGTGGAGAAAGAGGAAAGTTATACACTGTTGATGGGAATATAAAATAGTATAGCTGTTATGAAAAGCAGTATGGAGTTTCCACAAAAAATAAAAAAGAGAACTATTATATTACCCAGCAATCCCACTACTGCGTACGTAATAAAAAAAAAAATGAAATTAGTATGACAAAGAGACATCTGCACCCAGGGATATTGAAGCATCATTCAAAATAGCCGTGATATGGAATCTGCCTAAATACTCATCTAACAACAAATGGATAAAGAAAAAGTGGTGTATAAATGTATATCTATCTATCTATCTATCTATCTATCTATCTATCTATCTATTTATCATCTATCTATTTATCATCTATCTATCCACCCCTCCAGAACAATATTCAGCCATAAAATGCTGTTATTTTTAGCAATGTGGATGAAGTTGGAGGACATTTTGTTAAGTGAAATAAGCCAGGCACAGAAAGACGCACTGCATGATCAAATTCATATCTGGAGTTTTAAGGATATGGAGAAAGATGTTAGGTTTTTTCCTTGTGTGGACAATATTTAAAATTATTATATTTGGAGAGATAACTAGAATACTCCTGCCAACTTAACTATGACCCATTGAATTGCTCTGAATTATAAATCAGATACTCTGAATTAGCACTTCACTACCATTTTTAAATCTACAGCATTTATGTAAATTAATAACTGCTGTAGAGCATACTACTCATGGCTGAAAAAAGTGACCTGATGATTCGAGCTATCTAAGACTCACCTGATGTCTAACAGCACTAAGGATCAAGCTATCACCTCTCCCTTAACACATCTTTCACACCAGTGTGCTAGAGCAGATAGCTGAAAAGTTTTCCCTAAGCCAGAGATCATTCTGACAAGGCATATGGAACAATAGAGATGTCAACATGCTTTCAAGACAAGTAACAGTAATCCTGGCTCTTAACTTGCTTTAATAATAATGAATTCTTTTATCAAGTCCTGAGGAATGAGGGCTTCCAGGTGCCATATTTCCAGGTGCTTATCAGAATTTTTCTTTGCTGATAAGAACAATTGTTGCAGCATGCTTTGCTATTCATATACAGAAAGACAAGAAATTTATATTCTAATAATAGAACACAAGTCCATCTCTTGCATCTGATTTAGCCAGATTAAGTCACCTTTCCACCAATATCAATCTGGAAGTGATATCATGAACTAAATGGTGTCAACCTGGGGTTTCTATTATATCTCGACAAAGAAAAAGAAGTTGCCATCATTGGCAAGGCACATACAGGATACATCTCTGTTTCGGGAGATGGGATGAGATTTCCCTGATTCTCCTACACTGCAGAGGGTAGAGGGAGGTATTTATATAATACACGGGATTTTAATTGAAGAAGCAAAGAGGAATGGATTATTGGGATTAATAGTGTTTATCCAATACAAGATGAAAAACAACATATTATTGTTTGTATTGTGATGGTTCTAGAATAAAACACATCATTTCTCTAATTTTGGTTAGATCTTTGCTGAAAGAAAAAGATAAATAAAATATCCTACAGTTTATCCATATCCATGTTCCTCTACACTAAATATTCATCTTTGATTAGTTATTTTTAACTATATTTGATTTCTTTATAAATTACCTTTTGAAACTTTAAACACATAAAGACATTGTTTCCCCTCAAAGGATTTTTCTTTTGCTTTCTTTTGTTTTTTTTTTATCTAAAACTTTCTTTCAAAAACAATGACTTTCATAAACTTGCAACTTGTTAAATATAGTATTTTTATTAACATTCTAGTTTGTAACACAAGGCAAAACCTAAACACTTACCATTTATAAATAATGGGTAATACTGTTTCAACTTAACCTTGAGAATGTAGAAAAAAAATTGAGTCCAGTCTGATAGCAGCCAAAAGATCTCAGAAACAGTAATCTTAGTGCTAGCCTGGCAGACACAATCTGCACAGAACTTAATCAAAATAAGATTAAAAGTCCATAGCAATTTCCTTGAGTGGCCAGTCAGATATCCCCCACTACAGTCACCAACCAGCCTGCCCCTGGGGCCTATTTCAGAAATAAATTGGTTTGTAGATGAGCTGATGCAGAAGAAGGAAAAAAAAATGTTTTCTTGAGACTGTACCTAAATCTTATCAAGTAATACAAGGAAGCTTCAAAGTCTTTTTATTCTGAAATGTTATTTTATTCTGCTTTATATCATCTTAAATTTATTAGTATTATATTAAATATTAGTTTATGTAAGCTTATTATTTGACTCTGTATAGGATATAATAGATGGCATTGAATATTTAATAAGATAGCAACAGCAATAACACCTGAGAAATTGTTCAGGGAAGGATTCTATTCAGTTATTAAAAGATTTGCATACTTATTTCACTAATATTACTCAGCAATCACAAACATTGGGTAATGCTAGACAAATCTGCAAGAGGTACTGTTATTCCAGCACCTTAAAAACATTTTTCAATCTGAAAGATACTTCTAGATGTTTTTTTCCATAACAGAGCAGATGATTTCTAAGTGTTTATATCACTGAAACTTCACAGTATTAGTGGAATATGTTATCCTTTATACCAAAAGTAATCAGATTATTTTATAAAGCAATTATCAATTAAATATAGATTACTAAGAACATACTGTATAAAATGCCGTATGGGCTATTAATTCTGCATGCATTGCCACATTTGATTATCTCAAAAAACCTCCTGAAATATGTATTCTTAACACACTTTTATTGAGATTATGAGTAATAAAAGTTAAAAGATTTTCCCAAAGACGTACAAGTAAAACAGGTCCTCAAATAAAGTTGTTTTGTTCAATGATGTTTCGCTATAATGTAGATGAGAATAAATATTGATTCCTGGACAGGGCTACCATCTGTGTAGGGTCTGCATGTTCTCCCCACGCCTGCATGGGTTTTCTCCAGGAACTCCTGCTTCCTCTCACATCCCCAAGATGTGCATGTCTGGTTAATTGGCATTTCCCCACTGTGTGTCCCCATGTGAGTGAATGTGGTTGTGCCCTGCCATGGAATAGCATCCTGTGCAGGGTTTATTCCTGCATTACATGCTGAGTAAGAATAGGCTCTTGCCACCCGAGACTCTGAACTGGAATAATTGGGTAAATAATCATCTTACTTGTTTTTATTAATCTTTTTAAAAATGTATGTATACCTCACACTTATTTCAGTGTTGAATGTTTTAAGTGTTTTAGTCTTCATTTAGAAGTACAGTGATAATATTGTGACCAGAAATATGCAGTAGGAACTTATATATTGTTTTATCAATTGGCCTATGGTAAAATTTGTTTCATTGTTCACCATTTTGCTGATAGTTGCAGTTTCCAATAATCTACTGATATTAAATGTGGACTTACTATGTAAACAATAGCAAGGATCCTAAATCCTAGGTTACATCTAAGTTTAAATGGCTTGACACCATGTCAGAATTGCCTTATCACCATGCTCTTATAAGTGTTTCATTTTTTAAAACAGTGCAAACTGAATTTTGCATGAGTATTATCATTAAAAATTTTTTTGTTACAGATAGGATCTTGCTATGTTGCCCAGGTTGACCTTGAAGTTCTGAGTTCAAATGATCCTTTTGCCTCAGCATCCAGTGTACCTGGGACTACAACTGTGTGCCACCATACCCAGGGCTGCAGGAAAAGTTGTTACGTAAAGCAGTGATTTATGAAAATAAGACTTTATTTGGGCAACATAGAAAATGTAAACAAAAAGAGTTGCTCAACATAAAACTTACTCAAGTCACAATTTACCTCTGACATGACATATTTCCATCCACTTCAGAAAAAAAATGTGTATACCTTTTTATTTCTTTTTTTCTTTTCTTTCCGTTTTTTTTTTTTTTTTTTTTTTTTTTTAGACGGGCTGGAGTGCAGTCACAGCTCACTGCACCTTTGAGCTCCTGGGCTAAAGTAATCTTCCTTTCTCAGCCTCTTGAGTAGTTAGAACTAAGACATGCACCACCATGTCTGGCTAATTTTTAACATTTTTTTTGTGGAGATGGAGTCTCGCTATGTTGCCCAGGCTGGTCTTGAACTTCTGGCCACATGCTATCCTCTCACCTCGACCCCCCAAAGCACTTGGATTATTGGCTCAAGTACTTAGATGTATTAACCAGGATCACAGAGAGCTTGATTTTGTAAGTTTGAGTTAGCATGTAATAACTGCAGTTGATTTTGATGCATGTATTTAATGAGAATCATTGCTTTAGACTATATGATATTTGAAACAAAAGAGCAATAGGACTGCACGGCACAATATAAAGTCTGTTATGACATAGTGACTTTAATATATTCTAATTAAAATTATAATAGTAAAAGCTAAAAATGACAAGACAATTGTTAGAAATCATATCACGACAGCATAATCATGTATCCAGAAGTGATTGATACAATAACATGAACTGACATTTTGCTACAATATTAATCAGTTAATACAGGTTTTGAGGTTTCAGTTAACTGGTTAATCATAAAATATTATATAAAATATTATCAAATTGTTGTGTAAGTCATCTCACTGTATTCTAAAATTTATGTTATTTTATATTTCTAATCTGTGTTTTGCAGAGATCATGAAAATTTTAACTGGGTAACTGAAGAAGAATTGTCCCAAGGACTTGAATAAATGTTAATGTTCATAACAGTATGTTCTAAAAAGAAATTTAAGTAAAAAAGGAAAAAACATATTTCATTTTAAAAATATCTACCCATGCACATCATTCATCTAAAAAACCCATTTACTATAATCATCTAGTTATGTAAAGATATACCCAATAGCTACTTAAAATAGAAATATTCTATTTCATTATTAGAAATTATTATTTTAAAAGGTTGTTAAAACATCAAAAATATGCTTATTTCTAGTAACCAGAGAACACAGCAGGGTTATGAAACTTCGGATTCCTGTTTGGTTTGGCAGGTAACTAGATTAACAAAAATACGAGGTTTTGAGTTTCAAAACACAATAGCATATTTAAAAAATACTTGGTGGGAGTCTGGCAATTGAGAGACCTTAGAAGCATAATCATTGGTCTTCACAATCACTGCCAGGTACTCTTTCAAACTAGCTTGAATAACTGCAAAACACATCATCAACCCAGCTTTTTTTTGCTGGACCTGGGCATATATAAACTGATTAGATTTAAAAATAAAAAAATTAGAGTTTTTTCTGTTGTGTTTGAAGAGGTGAACCCTTGGACTCAAAATCTCTCAAAAGTCCTGTCTTTCACTTCAGAATCTGCGTTAATTTGCACAGGAATATACTTCTGTGTTTTAATAAACACATGTAATTTTTCTGTTTTCATCTTGCAAGTAATGACAGCTTTGTTCTCAAACCAATTTTGTTTTTTATAGATTTTACCCTGATATATAATGAAGAGACAATTACATGATCTGTGTAGAAATTCTTCCTCTAAACTAAATTATACTACCTTAGAAATCTGACATGAAAGTACCAAAACTATGTAAATTCATTTCACCAAGAAAATTATTACATAAAACAGTGATTCATGGAAATAAGACTTGATTTGGGCAACATAGAAAGTATTAAAACTAAAAAGGAGTTGCTTGAGATAAAATTTACCCAAGTGACAATTTTACCTGTGACAAACATATTTCCATCCACTGCAGTAACAAATGTGTTTAGTTTATTAAAGTATATGTTTAACAGCAAAAAATAAATAGAATAAATTTATTATCCCTATCCAGTGATAAACACAATTTTAAAATAAAAATAAAAACATCCTGCTTATATTTGCTATACTATTTCATGCATTAGGCTAAGATATATGGTTATTTCCATGCTTTCAGGATGTGTTTAACAAATCTCTTATACATTTTCCTATTGTTGTCATTTTAATATCTTGAATATAATATTAAATAAACATTTCTACAAATAATTTGAACCTCAAAGTTTCATAAGCATCTATCCTTCAATATTTAGGCCTAAAAAGTAATCTCCATTATCTATCAAATTCTAAATTTGAACTTATTATGGTTTACTCCTACTTTTTAATTATTACTTTGGTTAAAGATACTTCATGATATTATTAAGTTCCTTACTAATAATGTATATGGTTGTATTACATTCATTTATCCATCAAGACTAACTTTGAGCTACTATGAAATATAATTCAAATCATTCATATAATATCTAATGAATGATTATTATAATACAAAGCACTATACTAGGTTTCATAAGTGATACAAAAACAAGTGCAACCGCCTCAGTAACCAACACATTTGCAGTCTAATAGAGGAAAACAAGCCCTGTTATAAGAATAATTATAGTAAAAGACTATATAAAATACAATCCATTTTGACACACACACCTTCAACTCTATTTGCTAATTCTAATTTTCACTCTTCAGTTTATTTTTAGATTAAATAGTTATTTTCACAAATCAGTCTGAGGACAGAGTTTTTTGCTTTGTTTTGTTTTGTTTTGTTTTGTTTTTGTGAGTCATCAGCACTATGCAATTGCATATACCTGTCGTGTTTGGTCTACAGAGGCTAAACATCATGTAATAGTTTTTATGCATTTTGTTCATAGGTTACTGGGTGCTTTAAGGCAAAACTGAATGAGTTTCCAATAGTCCAAAACTACAAGAAATACAGACACAAAGTGCCTGGGGTTATCCTCAAATGAAGTTAGATTTGAATTGCATTCAATAACCTTTTTTACAATGTGTAGATGCTCAAAGCAAATACAATAGTTTCTCTTTGCCTCTGTGACTTGAGTTCATAGTGTTGTGTTTAAATATAACTTTTGTAATGTCTACTTCACTGAAGAAACTTTTAAAAAAATTTGACTTATAATGGTTTTCTGTAACAACCTATGGTGCTTGGTTTGTAAAGTAAAACAGGAACTCAATTTAGTACCTACTGAATAATAACATTTTTTAACTGAGATTCCACTCATAAAGCACCTAAATGTTTAAAGTTAAAGCATATTATGTTGATATTAAATTTAAAAAGAACAAGTTAGAGAAGAAATAAAGAAAAAAAACTTCGGAGAATAAACTGCTTCCAAGTATACAAGCACTAAACAGGCTATACACTGGTATGCTCATTATAAATAAAAACATTCATTCATGTCATTTTATCTCATTACTACATATTTAAAATAATCTCTTATCATTATAGTAGGCCATCATTTTCCAAATAGCATCAAGAATCCTTATTTTGAAATAGTAATCAGATCATGTAGTTCTCCTGATCAGATCTCTTCACACTCTAGAATAATATGCATACCTTCATTTTAGCTTTTAGACTTTTTTCTGATCTAGCTCTAGATTATTGTTTGATCTCATTTTTACTATTCTTCTCATTGCTCATTCAATTCAATTTCAAGCATAATGATTTTTTGCTCTTTTTGGAATACACTAGCTTTTTGATTTCATTAGAGCCTGTACACTTCCCTCTTCCTGAAATGTTCTTCCCCAAATTTATGTATAGCTTATTCTCTCTTTGTTCAGGGCTCAGTGTAATTGTAGATTGTTCTCTACCTTGAATATGTCTTACCCCTCATTTGACTGGTTTTCCTTCATACCAATTATTTGTATTCTAAAATATTTTATATTTTTCCATTGACTTGTTCACTGAGTTCCTTCCTCTAAAATGTAGCTTCATGAGGGCAGATATTTTGTTAAAATTGTATGCTACTGTATCACTAGAACTGAGAACAATGCCTGAACAGAGTAGCTACTCATGACTCATTGGCTAAAACAAGTTAATGAATGAGAACAGGCAGGTAGAAAGCCAGGAAGGAAAGGAGGCTATTATATTAAGTTGAATGAGGGATTAAATGAATATAAATCAGCTGAAAGTAGCATAGGTTATGCAATATGCTTAATAAAGTATGTTTGTCTATTTTCGTTATGTAATCCAAAACCTGGCCAACCACAAAACTGGCTTTTTACTCACTTTCTCTTTCTTCCCTGTTTAGTGCAGCATAAAATTAGTTATTGATTTTATCTCTTAACGCTCCGCCTCTATTAGTGAAAGGATCTTCTCTTATCATATTTCCAGTCCAAAGTTCAGTGGAAACTTTTTACACTCTTACAGTCTATTTGAAATCCTTATATCATAAACATACCAGCACTTATCACAGCACTATTCACAGTAGCAAAGATACTGAATCAACCTAAGTGTCCACCAATAGATGATTTGATAAAGAAAATGTGAGATGGTACCATCTCACTCCAGTTAGAATGGAGATCACTAAAAAGTCAGAAAACAACAGATACTGGAGAGAATGTGGAGCAATAGGCATGCTTTTACACTGTTGGTGGGAGTGTAAATTAGTTTAACCATTGTGGAAGACAGTGTGGCGATTCTTCAGGGATCTAGAACTAGAAATACATTTTGACCCAGCAATCCCATTACTGGGTATATACCCAAAGGATTATAAATCATCCTACTCTGAAGACACATGCACACATATGTTTATCGCAGCACTGTTCACAATAGCAAAGACTTGGAACCAACCCAAATGCCCACCAATGATAGACTGGATAAAGAAAATGTGGCACATATACATCATGGAATACTATGCAGCCATAAAAAATGATGAGTTCATGTCCTTTGCAGGGACATGAATGAAATTGGCAAACATCATTCTCAGCAAGCTAACACAAGAACAGAAAACCAAACACTGCATGCTCTCACTCATAAGTGGGAGTTGAACAATGAGAATACATGGACACAAGGAGGGGAACATCACACTCCACAGCCTGTCAGAGGGTGAGGGGCTAGGGGAGGGATAGCATTTAGAGAAAGACTTAATGTAGATGACAGGTTGATGAGTGCAGCAAACCACTATGGCACGTGTATACCTACATAACAAACCTGCAAGTTCTGCACATGTACCCCAGAACTTAAAGTATAATAAAAAAGATTTCCACCTAAAGATAAGAAAATATGATGATATACACAATGGAATACAATTCAGCCTTTAAAAATAATATACTTATGAAACATGTATTTTGGAGCAGTTTGGATGGAACTGGAGGACATTATCTTAGATGAAAGTCAGACACAGAAAGACAGATACTGCGTGTTCTCATTTATAAATGGGAGGTAATTAATATGTTCACATGGACATAGAGTGTGCAATGATAGAGACTTGGACATGAAGACTTGGAAGAGTTGGGGGAGAGTGAGAGGGGAGTAAATGATAAGAAATTACTTAATGAGTACAAGGTATGCTTTTCAGGTGATGAATATGCTGAACATCCTGACTTCACTATGCAACATATGGATGTAACAAAATTACAGTTGCACTCCATAAATTTATAGAAATAAAATAAAATAAATTACATTTTAATAGAGACACTATCAGAGAAATACACCAAAATGACTGGACTGAACTGGAAATGGAAAAGGTAGAAATCTCATTTTCTCTTCAGAGACTATTGCAAATTTGTATGTATGTAATACACTAATCACATCAGATGCCAGTTTTAAGTACATATTTTCCTCCACTGTGTAGATTTGTTTCAATAAGGAAACATTTCAGAACATACATAATCAATACAAAGCCATTCTCAGTAATTTATTTTCATTCCATGCCATGTTACTTAGGTTTACATTTACTACCTTAGAAAACATTATGTACAAAAACTTTTCTTTCTTATAGTGAATTAAATCTCCAACTGCTTTTGTTTCTATTTTAAGAAAGTAAATATTATGACATAAATGTTTGCAATGTTTTTGTTTAAATAAAGTATTTCTAGATTTCTCTTAATTCATAGTTACGTTGGTTTCTTTATTGATGTTCAAACACAGACTTTTAAAAATTCATATTTTTTTAAAATGTGTGACTATTTACTTTCTAGTTCAATTTAAAAAGCATTTACCATAAAAATGGCAGTATCTTTTTGTACAGATGCTACCTCTGAATCAAAGCCTTTCAGCAACTGGCAACAGGAAGCTCTAATGCACTTTATCCCTAATAGTTATAAAATATGCAATCATCTGAAATCACATATTGATTTCATATTGATTTCCACTTCTTTTCTAACTACGGTTATACGTAAATATTTCACTTTCAAAAATAGATCTTTGCCTTTTTATTTAGTTTTTTTTTCCTTGGCTTAGAAATAGTTTTTATGAAATATTCAAATATAAAAATAGTCTGTAAAAGCAAAGTATGGTTCTTTTTCAGCCAAAACACTTTCCCCTAAGCATTTCATTAGTTATATAAGTGATAAATGTTTTTCTGAATGGGAATTTACCTAAAGTGTTTCAAAATTAGGTGACCATTTGTGCTTTCCAAACCATACAGAACTTTATATTTATTCCTGGGTAAATCACCCATTTCCTTGTTCATCAAGATCAGGTGAAATGATATCCATATGAGATAATTAATTCCTCTGCTATCTATTTTATTATACTTAGTTATCCATTGAAAATAAATATCTACTATAACAAGTAAAATATATAATAGTGTAGAAGACAACAAGAGTATGTGTTTGCAGTATGTGTAATAGAGTTAAATATATCTAAATATAGTATGTCTGTATTAAGGCAATGAACATCAATTTTAGCTAATCACCCTCATTAAAGCAAAGGGCACTACCATATGTGACATAGTTATCATTGACAGTCTGATAAATCTTGTAGCTGAGGTAACGGACAGGGAAGAGTTTGTGATAGTGAAATTTGTAGAACTAAGATCAAATTACCAAATACGTAGGCATTATTAAACAAATTCTCACCAATTACTTCAAAAATATTGTAACTTCTATTTAATATTTCTTGTTTTTAATCTTAAAAACTCTAAATTGAGTAGAATTTGAAATAGCAGTAAATTTCAGGTTAATGGAAATAAAATCACACTTGTTATTATTGTTCAATTTTTTTTATTAAGTCTGAAGAAATATTTAATTGAATATGACATCTAAGAATGATGGACAAAAGCTTTTTTTCTTTCCACTCCTTTTTCTGAAAGCTTTGATACAAAAATCATTTGACACAAATGATTTTTTTGTGTGTGACAGGATCTTACTATGTTGCCCAGGCTGAAGTGCAGTGTGCTCATGCAATCCTCCCATCTCAGCCTCCTGAGTAGCTGGGACTACAGGCACATGCCGCCATGCCCAGCTAATTTTTGTATCTTTAGTAGAAACAAGATTTTGCCACATTGCCCAGGCTGGTCTCCAACTCGTGGGCTGAAGTGATCTGCCCACCTTGGCCTCCCAGTGTTCTGGGATTACAGGAGTGAGCCACTGTACCCGGCTGATGCAAATGATTTCTATTATTAATATCTTGCAGTTATTCTTCCATCAGATAACCATCAATGTCAAAATAAAGATTATTAATTACTGAAGGACTGAAAAATCAAAAATCAACTTCATGAGATGCTTTACAAACAAGTGATCTCTTTTAATATTTGACTCAGTAAAATTTTTTAAGAAAAGTTAAGTTTGTGTTTTTATTTGTGTATACTCTCTAGTGCTTAAATGTATCAGGATAGAACTTTTCTAAACTAGGTCAGTCTTTTTTCTATATCTATGGTTGAATACTTCAGTTAAATAAAGCAATGGTAGATAGCAAACTATGTTATAATTGGCATTTTGGGCACTTGCTGCAATTAATTGCCAAAAAAAGCATATCTCACCACAATTGATCTCTCATTTTTCCACTCTCATTTATTTCCCTTCACTTTCTTCTTGGCTTCTGCAAAAGCATTTGTTTTTCCTTTTTCTTTCTTCTTTAAAAAAATATATTTGAAGAGATTTACTCTAAGCCAAATATGAGTCACCATGGCCAGTGACACAGCATTCAGGAGGTCCTGAGAACATGTGCCCAAGGTGGTTGGGAGGCAGCTTGCTTTTATACATTTTAGAGAGGCATGAGACATCAATTAACTACACTTGAGAAATACATCAGTTTGATCCAGAAAGGTGGGACAACTCAAAGCAGAGGGAGTGGGGGTGGGAGGGGTTGGGGGTGGCAGGGGGGTTGGGGGATGGGAGGGTATTGGGGTTTGGGGGTTGGTTCCAGGCTATAGGTGAATTTAAACATTTTCTGGTTGATAATTGGTTGAGTTTGTTTCAAGACCTGGGATTGATAGAAAGGGAATGTTCAGGTTAAGATAAAAGATTGTGGAGACCAAGGTTCTTTTGAAGTCATAACAGTGGCTGCCGTTAGAGACAATAAATGACAAGTGTTTCCTATTCAGATCTTTAAAAGGTACTAGACTTTTAGTTAATCTCTTTAGGACTGGGAGGGCCGTTTTTACATATTATAATTTATCTCCTTCATGTCTGTAACGAAGATAGGAATCGCTATAAAGTGTCTTCCCAGTTTCTGCCTAACCACATCCCTGGATTTCCTGGCCCCTGGCTTGGCATATGTTTGGGGTTAGCCTTCTCCCACTGCTAATTTGTATGCCATAAGATGGTTGTTTTGTTCCTCAGTACATTTATGTCAGATATAATTGTTACTGTAGTAAACAACTATTGTGTAAAACAATGATAAGTGAGTGTGAAAGTAAAAAAACAAATCAGAAAATGAAGCAGAATGTAAATAATTGATAAAGACAAGTTCTGAAAAAATGTCAAATTGGATTTAGGAGTCAGACACCTGTAAGAGGTTTATTTGAGGGGCTAAGCGTGCTGGTATTTACACACATATTACTTCTTGTGTCTCTTCAATTTATTGGTTCATTTCAAAAAACCAAAGCTAAAAATCATAAAATATTCATTATGTAAAAAAAAGAATGTTCAATGAATCCATACATACATACCGAAGACCTTTGTCAGATAGTTGACAAGTATATTTGCATATATGTTTTCCAAGGTAAAAGAAAATTTGTGGCTGGGCACGGCAACTCATGCCTGCAATCCCAGCATTTCAGGAGGCCAAGGCCGGTGGATCAGCTGAAGTCAGGCATCCAAGACCAGCCTGGCCAACACGGTGAAACCCCATCTCTACTAAAAATACAAAAAAATAGCTGGGCGTGGTGGCTGGCACCTGTAATCCCAGCTACTTGGGAGGCCGAAGCAAGAGAATTGCTTGAACCCGGGAGGCAGAGTTTGCAGTAAGCTGAGATCAAGCCACTGCACTACAGCCTGGGCAACAAGAGTGAAACTCTGTCTCAAAAAAAAAAAAAAAAAAAAGAAAAAGAAAAAGAAAAAAGACAATTTGTAGGATATGGATAAGTAATTCATTTTAGAAGAATTTTTTTTTGTAGAATGATTTGTGCTAAAGCAATACATCTCTTTCTATCATATACTGATATCTTGAAAATTTTATAACGTTTCTTGTCACTTTCAGTATTTTAAAAATAGGATTGATTCTAAGTTTTGAGTTTATGGTGCATTTGAATATTAGAGATATTATCTCATACATTTCAAAGTTTTGCTGCATTCTAAACTCAGTCCTGCCTTAGCCTTAGTAATGGCAATGAAGTGCGGGGATAGAATGTTCACTATTTTTTTATGTGCTGTTAAAATTTCATACCTCCTGTTCTATCTTGAAGTCTTACAGTTTTGGAATGGTGAGTGGGGGAAACAAGCATAAAACTATTACATAATTCATGTAGTTTTCACTGGGCAACAGTATCTATCCTCTGAATGGTGAAATGGCTACTTTTCATTTATTTATTTTTTTCTTTCCTGGGGTAAAACGCTTGAAAACTGCACCACTGGGAAATTGCAGCTATAGTCCATGTTTCAACATAGTCCATGCTTCTTTGAGTTGGCCACTTAATGTTTACTCTCATCTCCTTAGGTTTAGCAGTAAAGACCAGTAAGATTTCTTCTGTTAGGATCATCTAGCCATTCCAAACATTTCTCTTAGATTTGATTCTTTCAAGACAAATCAACCCAATAAAAAGCTCATAAATAACGGTGATCTAGCTACCACATTTGATGTTCTCATCTGACCAAACCAAATTTTATGTATACATTCAATTCTCAATCCAACCTAGTCTGTTTGCCTAAACCATTCCAGACAAACTTCCACTTCGAAGGTTTTAAATGCATAAGTCAGATAGCAATCCTTCAGTTGCCCCAGAGGCACATCACGTTCTTTGAATGCTTCATTATAGTCCTCTTCATTTAGCAATCAGTGAGGCAATACACTGGCATCATGATCCCTTTTTTTAGGAACTCTGTACAAAATTCCCTTTGAAAATATAAATTTTGGAAATGAGTGATGAGCAAAGGGGTTTCATTAACATTATCACAATCTCTTGATATATCTGCTTGATAATGTAGCACCTATTATTTGGGGCCATTAGGACCTTGGCTGAAATTCTGGTAAATGTAAAGAAACCACATTTAACATCCAGTTAATTTAATTTTTGTTTGTTTGTTTGTTTTGTTTTTGTTTTTGTTTTTGAGACGTTGTCTTACTATGTCACCCAGGCTAGAGTGCAGTGGTGTGATCTCGACTCACTGCAACCTCCACCTCCACCTTCTGGGTTCAAGCAATTATCTTCCTCAGCCTGGGATTACAGGAACCCACCACCATGCCCACCTAATTTTGTATTTTTAGTAAAGACGGGGTTTCACTATCTTGGTCAGGCTAGTCTTGAAGGCCTGACCTCGTGATCCACCTGCCTCGACCTCCCAAAGTGCTGGAATTACAGGCATGAGCCACCTTGCCTGGCCTCAATATTGTTTTTAATAATTTCTGCTTTACTTGCAGTTAATCCTATCAGGCCTTCTACCATACCCAGTTGTGTCAGCAAGATCTGTACAATGATAAGTAACACATGGCTCCCAGGGCTAAACATATTCCTAACACTTATATAAACACTTTTTCAGAAATTTGACAATATTTTATAATTAAACAATATCTTATTTTACAAGAAAAGATATGGTATCACAATACTCTGAGCAAAGAGTTAATTTGCTTCTCAAATTTCCTAGATAATGAAGTAGTCCTAAAATATTTAACTCAGTATTGGTAATAGTTTCAATTTGAGGAAGTGTTCTGAATAGCCTTTTTAATGCTGATGTCATAAGATTGTGTTACAAACACACTTTCATTTAAAGACACTTTATTTTTAATTTTGTTCTAAAAACTAAAATTATATATAAATACACATGCATCCTAAACTATATATGTATAATATACATATATGTATATATATACACACAGAGAGAGAGAGAGAGAGAAGGAGAGAGAAACAGAGACAAAGAGAGCCATAAATCCTGAATTTGTTGTTGTCAGTGGTGTTTGATAGCATCACTTTTTAACTCAATAGGATGTATCTGCACAAAGCTAAAATTAATTTATTTTTGCCATACAAGGCAAGTGTATCTTGTTGATGTCTATAGAGAAAATAAATCACCCTCTAAAGAACGGTTTATAAATAAATAATTGATATCTGAAAATTCAGAAAAAAATACCACTATCATTTTACTTACCATATTGCATTGAAATTATATGTTTATGCTTCTCTTGCTTCTACCTCTCTGTGAATTCAAGGTTAGAAAAGGAGAAATTTTTATCTTAGCATTCCCAGGACCAATCACAATATCTAATACTTACAGCATGCAATAAATGTTGGTTGAACTAAAATAAATCTGATATAAAAACAAATAATGCTTTAGGGAAGTGATTTTTCATTTGAGATTATTTTCTCAGAAAAATTAACATGACCAGGTTGTCATCCTATGCAAACATTAGTATGCCTTATTGATTTTTCACTAAGTTATATAGCTTATATTATAAGACTTTTTTATGGGTGTCTCTACCTATAGATTCCAGGCACTAACAAACGTGTAGAAACTCATAAATTTAATGCATTTTATCAAGTTGATTAATATAGCATGAACATTTTTCAACTGGCTTCACAAATCATTTATTGTTAAATGTTATTCTTATACCTGTATTAGAGAGAAAAAAGCCAGAGGTGGCAAGGTGATATACAGATCAACTGGAAATCCACAAGTTTTGGTTTGGAACTCTTTGGAAAATTGAATAAAGAGTCACACCTTGCTCAAAACTGAATCAGTAAAAGTGATGTACATATCAATAAACAAACTAATAAAAAAGCATTAAAAATATAGTCAGCATATATTTTTCTGGAATATAAAATTGAGGAACTAGAATAATTCAACTTGAATAAGTGTAACTAATTCATTTTCTGCAAAATATTACCCAGAGATTGAGTATTTTTCTATTTATTCTATTGGAAAAAAATGATATACCACTGTACTGGAAATATTCAGAAAAGTTTGTCTATTTTTTAAAATTGTACTTATTATACCTTTATAACCGTGAGATAATATATTTATTATTTGAATGAGAATAAATGTTTATGATTTATACAAACATGCCTGACACAGACTACTATGCCCACAAAAGTTGAATGGTTGTTTTTAGCTTATATATACCTATACGGGTTAATAGATATATCTTTACTTCTTTTTTCTTTTTTTTTGAGACAGAGTCTCACTCTGCAGCCCAGGTTGGAGTGCAGTGACATGATCTCGGCTCACTGCAACTCCGCCTCCCATGTTCACGCTATCCTCCTACCTCAGCCTCCTGAATAGCTGGGACTACAGGTGCCCGCCACCACGCCCGTCTTATTTTTTGTATTTTTAGTAGCGATGGGGTTTCACCGTGTTAGCCAGGATGGTCTCAATCTCCTGACATTGTGATCTGCCTGCCTCAGCCTCCCAAAGTGCTGGGATTATAGGCGCGAGCCACCGCACCCGGCCAATATATCTTTACTTCTTATAAGAAATGAGTAACTTTATTAATTCTACCAACAGATAACATTCTTCCTCTCAGAGAGTAATATGCAATCATTTCCTAACCTTATTTTATTGCGCTATATTTTAAATATAATAAACGTGTCAAAAATGTGGTTTCGTACTTTTTATAAATTGATATATTTACCTAATTACACTAAATCTAGAAAATACTATTGTGCTTATTCAAACTTCTCTTCTCTTCTTCAGAGGCAAACCTGTATAACTTCTTTGGTTTGTTTGTTTTAAGACGTAGTCTTACTCTGTTACCCAGGCTAGAGTGCAGTGGTACAATGTGAGGTCACTGCAACCTCCGCCTCCCGGGTTCAAGCGATTCTCCGGCTTCAGCATCCCAAATAACTCGGATTAAACCCTTATAATTTCTATCATGATTGATTAATTTTGTTCATCTTCAAATTCCAATAATTAGAATTCCTACAGGATGTGTGTGTGAGTGTGTATCTGGTTTATTTTCTTTAGCATAAATAAATATTTGAGATTTAGCCAAATATTTGTGTGTATCATTTGTTTATTTTTCCTCATATTTCTGAGTTGCCTATGTATTTGTCAGAGTTTGCTTATTCATTAGTCTGTTAGTGAATATTCAGATTGCTTTCAGAATTAGCTTTTACAAATAAAGGACTTAGGTGCATTCTCAAACAGGTTTTTGTGTAAATATATGCTTTTATTTTTGTTGGATAAATTTCTAGAATTGAAATTGCTGTGCTATAGGGTAGATATATGTTGGCCTTATTTAGAAGCGAATTATTTTTCAAAGCGGTTGTTCCGCTTTTTTTTTTTTTTTTTTTTTTTTTTTTTTTTTTTTGAGACAGTCTCGCGCTGTCGCCCGGGCTGGAGTGCACTGGCGTGATCTGGGCTCACCGCAAGCTCCACTTCTCAGGTTCACGCCATTCTCCTGCCTCAGCTTCCTGATTAGTTGGGACTACAGGCGCCCGCCACCACACCCGTCTAATTTTTTTTTTTTTTTGTATTTTTAGTAGAGACGGGGTTTCACCATGTTAGCCAGGATAGGCTCGATCTCATGACCCCGTGATCCACCCGCCTCGGCCCCCCAAAGTGCTGTGATTACAGGCATGAGCCACCGCGCCCAGCCGGTTGTTCTATTTTACACTCTCACAAGAAATAGACATGACTTCTAGTTTCCCCACATATTTGCCAATATTAGTATTATCATTTTAAATGGTAGTCTTTCCAGTTTCAATGCATTTTGGTTGCATTTCCCCTTATCTAATAATATTGAGCATCTTTTCACATTCCTATAAGCCACTTGTATCTCTTGTTTTGTGAAATACCTGTTCAAGATTCTTATAACTATTTAGTGGATCTCAGGAGTACTCTGTGCGTTTTGAACACGCAATTTTTTTCTCATACATATATGGAATAATTTATCACAGTCTATGGCTTAAAATTATATTTTCTTACATTTTGCAGTTTTATTAGGATACATTTTTAATTAATATCTACAATTTATCAATTTTTAATCTTATGATAGTGCTTTCTCTGTTCAGAAATATTTTTCCTATTATAATAGCTCACAGATATTGTTTAATTTTTTTCTTTTAAAAGCTTTCTGAATTTTGCTTTTTCATTTTTATGCCTACATTAAAAATATCGGATTAGTTTTGTGTATACAAAGGACTGATGCATGTATTTTTTTAATATGAGAATGCATTTATTTCAAAAGCCTTTGTTAAAGACTTACTTTCCCCACTGAATTATCTACATGCCCTTATAAACATTTAATTTACTGCATAGGTGGAGGTCTAATTTTGAACCCATCTTTATCCTTATTATTTTTGTGTTATGATGCTTTGATACTGCAGCTTTCTTAGATGTCTGAAAATTGGCTCTATTTTTTTCTCAAAATTCTAGGTCCTATGAATTTTCTAAACAAATTTTGGAAACAGCTTGTGAATTTCTCTCAAAATGTTTGCCACAATTTACTATAGAGTTGTAGTAAATAGATATAGAATTCATTGTAGTCAATAAATTACAAACTATAGATTGCATTGATGCTTTTTTTTTTTTTTGAGACAGAATCTCACCTTGTCACCCAGGTTGGAGTGCAGTGGCACAATCTCGGCTCACTGCAACCTCAGCCTCCCAGATTCAAGCAATTATCCTGCCTCAGCCTCCTGAGTAGCTGGGAATACAGGCCCGTGCCACCATGCCTGGCTAATTTTTTTGTATTTTTTTTTAGTAGAGACAGGGTTTTATCATGTTAGCCAGTATAGTCTTGATGTCCTGACCTTGTGATCCACCCACCTTGGCCTCCCAAAGTGCTGGGATTACAGGCATGAGCAACCGCGCCCAGCCCCTACTGCATTGATTCTAAAGATTAACTTCCAGAGAATTCACATCAAACAATGTTGCATCTTCAAATCTATGAATATGGTAGTTCTTTACATTTATTTAGGTCTTCTGTAATGTTTCTCTACAAGAAATTTTAAAAAGTTTTAGAGTGAAAGATTTTTAAAGGTTTCACTTAAATTATTCTTAACTATTTTTATACCATTAAAATTTTACTTTTAAATGTATTCTCAATTGTTTATTTCTAGTATTTAGAAATTCCATTAATTTTACATATTGTATTTTATGTATTGACCTTGCATTCTACACATTCTGCACCATTATTGAATTTGATTCTTATTATTCACAGCTTTTTAAATAAATGTATTAGGATTTTCTTCATACACAATATACATACATAAGTTCTGTGAATAAAAATATTTTTTCTTTTCACTTTTCAATTTTTATGCTTTTCATTTCTTGACCCCATGCAAATCTGAAATCCAGAGGGGCAGCCAAATCTTAAAGCTCCAAAATGATCTCCTTTGACTCCATGTCTCACATCCTGATCATGCAGATGCAAGAGGTGGGTTCCCATGGTATTGGGCAGCTCTGCCCCTGTGGCTTTGCGGGATATAGCCTGCCTTCTGGCTGCTTTTGTGGGCTGGTGTTGAGTGTCTGTGGCTTTCCCAGGCACATGGTGTTGTTGGTGGATCTAACATTCTGAGGTCTGGAGGATGGTGGCCCTCTTCCCACAGGTCCACCAGGCGGTGGTGCCCCAGTAGGGACTCTGTGTGGGGGCTCCCACCCAACATTTCCCTTCCTCACTGCCCTAGCAGAGGTTGTCAATGAGGGCCCCATCCCTGCAGCAAACTTTTGCATGGGCATCCAGGTGTTTCCATATATCTTCTGAAATCTAAGCAGATGTTCCCAAACCTCAATTCTTGATTTCTGTGCATCCACAGGCTCAACACCACATGGAAGCTGCCAAGGCTTGGGGCTTCCACCCTATGAAGCAACAGCTCAAGCTGTACTTTGGTCCCTTTTAGTCACAGCTGGAGTGGCTGGGATGCAGGGCACCAACACCCTACACTGCACACAGCATGGGGACCCTGGGCCCAGCAAAACCATTTTCCTCTAGGCCTCTGAGACTGTGATGGGAAGGGCTGCTGTGAAGACTTCTAACATGCCCAGGAGACATTTTCACCATTGTCTTGGGGATTGACATTCAGTTCCTTGTTACTTATGCAAATTTCTGCAGCCAGCTTAAATTTCTCCTCAGAAAATGGGTTTTTCTCTTCTATCACATTGTCAGGCTGCAAATTTTCTGAACTTTTATGCTCTGCTTGCCTTATAAACTGAAACTGAATGCCTTTAAAAGCACCCAAGTCACTTCTTCAATGCTTTGCTGTTTAGAAATTTCTTCTGTCAGATACCCTAATTCATCTGTCAAGTTCTAAGTTTCACTAATCTTTAGGGCATGGGCAAAATGCTGTCAGTCTCTTTGCTAAAACATAACAAGAGTCAACTTTGCTCTAGTTTCTAACAAGTTCCTCAACTCCATCTGAGACCACATCAGCCTGGATCTCATTGTTCACATCATTATCAGCGTTTTGGTCAAAGCCATTCAAAACGTCTCTAGGAAGTTCCAAACTTTCCTGCATTTTCCTGTCTTCTGCTGAGCCCTTCAAACTGTTCCAACCCCCGCCTGTTACGCAGTTCCAAAATTGCTTCCACATTTTCAGGTATCTTTTCAGCAGCATCCCACTCTACTGATACCAGTTTACTGTATTAGTCTGTTTTAATGCTGCTGATAAAGACATACCCAAGACTGGGCAATTGACAAAAGAAAAAAGGTTTAATTGGACTTACAGTTTCATGTAGCTGGGGAAGCCTCACAATCATGGTGGAAAGCAAAGAGGAGCAAGTCATAACTTACATGGATGGCAGCAGGCAAAGAGAGCTTGTGCAGGAAAACTCCCCCTTATAATAACCATCAGACCTCATGAGACTTACTCACTATCAGGAAAACAGCACAGGAAAAGCCTACCTCCATGATTCAGTTACCTCCCACCAGGTTCCTCCCAAAAGGTATGGGAATTCAAGATGAGATTTGGGTGGGGACACAGCCAAACCACATCAATGAAGCTCTCTGTCGTATATGTTAATGCTGATAATGTTTTTTTGTTTTGTTTTTGAGGAGATCTTAGAGACGAAAAAGGGGAAGCTCCATTAAAATTGGTAAAGGAAGAAACATAATATGAAAGGAGGGAAATAATGAGGTAAAAGATGCAGAGACTGCTTTCCAGACAAAGTAAGAATGAACTTCACTTTGGAATAACAAAGCAGTGCTTGCTTGGCAAGGTGAGTCTTAGAATCTGACTAACATCAACAGGGCAGAGTCTCAGGTAATTAACAAAACCAGGAAGGAACAGGGAGCAGCAATGCTAAAACACAAGAAACCAGGTTACTTTGTCCTACTTCATAGTTGTTATTTTCCTAATCATTGGAGATAAGCTATGATTAACAGAAAAACTACCCATGTAAAATATTGTCACCCAACTTTTAAGAAAAACAAGAAAGAAGATACAAAACTTAGCAAACAGAATAAGTAATTTCAGAGAATCAGAATTAAGACAAGAAACAAATGTAATTACAGTAAGTGTAATTCATATCTTCAGAGACATGCAAGAAGAGGTTGCATTTTAGAAAATACTGATAATAGCTCTTGGATTAAAAACTCAACAGATGTTCTGAAGAGAACAATAGACATAGTTAAATATAGATCTAGCAAGTTTGAAGTTTAAAAGTTGAATAATTTTCTCTGAATCCAATGGCTAGGATAAAATGAAGAAAGGTAAAGGGAGGTAAAGTGAAGATAAAGAATTGTTGACGTAAAGTTGTTTAAAATGCTAGAAAAAAAAGGAAAGTAAACATAAAGATGGAAATAATTAAAGAACTAATTTAAATATTTTTTAGAACTAGAAATACTGTAGACTTGAGATTTAAAGTTTTCATAGAAGTATGAACTTATATTAATGGAGAAATTCTACTGATAGACATCTCTTGAAGAAGCAATGGGATACTAACGATTAGGACAGAATCATAAAGACTTCCAGAGTAGGAGGATAGAAAGGTAATTTTCAATGGAATAAGAAGTAGATAGAAAAGAAAATTTATTCTTAAACATGTAGATGTTGTTAATAACTGGGACAAGACCATCAATGTCTGAAGAAATTCCAAAAATAAAATAATAAAATTAACAAACAGATTTTTAGAATTACATCTGGCAGTCATAGAGCGCAATAGCATACTTGAAAATAAGGAAAATATGGCCATTTTAATGATATTGATTCTTCCTATCCATGAGCATAGAATGTTTTTTCATTTGTTTCATCCTCTCTGATATCTTTGGTGTTTTTAGTTCTTACAGAGATCTTTCACCTCACTAGTTAGCTGTATTCCTAGGTATTTGATTCTTTTTGCAGCAATTGTGAATCAGATTGCATTCCTGATTTGGCTCTCCGCTTGACTCTTGTTGGTGTATGGGAATGCGAGTAATTTTTGTATGTTCTTTTTGTATCCTGAGACTCTGCCAAAGGTGTTTTTCATCTTAAGGAGCTTTCGGGCCTTAAGCTTTTGGGCCTATAAAGTTTTCTACATATAGGATCATGTAATCTACAGACAGGGATAGTTTGACGTCCTTTCTTCCTATTTGGGTACCTTTATTTCTTTCTCTTGCCTAACTGTTTTGGCAAGGACTTCCAATACTATGTTGAACAGGAGTGGTGAGAGAGGGCATCCTTGTCTTGTGCACAAAATACACTAAAATAAAATTGCTTAAAACTAGTGATAAAGAAAAATTCTCAAAGCAGCCAATGACAAAAACACGGTTTGCACAGAGGAACAAAAAATGCCAGCAAACATTTTATTGGAAACAAAGAAAATTAGAAGATAATGAAGCAACATCTTTAAAGTACTGGAAGATAAACATTGTCAGCTGGAAATTGTAGACTCAGAGAAACTATCTTTCAAGATGTAGGTGAAATAAAGATTTTGTTCTGGCACTTAGAACCTGAAATAAATCATCACCAGTAAAACAGCACTATAAAAAATGTTAAAGAAAATGTTTCAGGCAGACGTAAAATAATATCAAAAGGAAATTTGGATCTACATAGAAGAATGAAAAGCACTGGAAATGGTATCAACATGGTTAAATATATAAGATCCTTTTATTTCTGTTTGAATTCAATTGATTGTTTAAACAAGGGGTCAGCAAGCTATAGCTTCATGGGTGGACTGCCTGTTTATGTGAACAAATTTTTACTGAGATACATTCATGCTCATTTGTTTATGTATTATCAATGGGTGCTATAGAATTACAAAAGCAGAATTAAGTAGTTGTAACAGAGCCTAATGGCACACAAGCCTAAAATATTTAGCTTTTAAGGAAAGCATGTCCGGTTCTGGTGGCTCATGCCTGTAATCCCAGCATTTTGGGAGGCCGAGATGTGCGGATCACGAGGTCAGGAAATTGAGACCATCCTGGGCAACATGATGAAACCCCGTGTCTACTAAAAATACAAACATTAGCTGGGTGTGGTGGCATGTGCCTGTAATCCCAGCTACTCGGGAGGCTGAGGCAGGACAATCTCTTGAACCCGGGAGGCAGAGGTTGCAGTGAGCTGAGATGGCACTACTGCACTGCAGCCTGGTACAAAGCTAGACTCTGTCTCAAAAAAAAAAAAAAAAAAAAAGAGAGAGAAGAAAACAACATTATTAACCTCTAATTTAAACAAGAATAATAACAATTTATAATGAGTTTACAACATATATAAAAATAAATCACATGACAATAACAGAACAACAGTTAGGATAAAATAATGAAAATGTTGTTATTCATGATACTGTATGTAAAGTAGTATATTATAATTTGAAGGTAGAATGTGATGAGTTAAACATGTATACTACAAACTCAAAAGCAACCATTAAAATTAACAATATAGAGAGTTTTAATTCTCAAGTAAAAAAGGAGATAAGATGAAACCGTAAAATATATTTAATTCATAGAAAAGAAGGCAAACAAGAGGGAAAATAAGCAAAAAACAGATGGGATGGTAGGGGAAGCAAAATTTTATTACCATCTTCTTAGTTTTTTTTTTCCTCTGCTAAGCCTGAGAATTAAATTGATATAAGACAGATCAACAGGAAAATGCATACAAATTTATTTAATACATGTATTATGTGGCATGAGAGATTCTTTAAGGAAGGAAGACTCCATGACATAATCACTTATGTTCTGAAGTAGACACAGAGTAGTAAATTGTGAAATATGACAACACAAAGGAGCTGGAACTAGTGTAGTTAATTGGGTGAAGAGGTGATTAACAGGATAAGGGTTGGTTTAACAAGGTATGTTTGTACAGGTTTCCCTTGCCTCAACTTCTCATCCTGGGTGATGAGACTGTTACTTTCCTTCTTGTATAAAGAGGGCAACTTTCATGTAGAAATTTTACCTCCTACTTTTAAGAAAAAGGAAAATCAGAGTGCTTTAAAGGAAAATCAGAGTGCCTTAAAGGAAAATCAGAGTGCTTTAAAGGAAAGTCAGAGTGCTTTAAAGGAAAATCAGAGTGCTTTTCTTGCACCTGCTATTTTTCAAGTGTCTTTAACTCAAAAAAATCAATATGCCAAAGTGGCACGTTTCGGGGTATCTGGTTCTGAATTCCTTCAGGAAAGATAGAAAGCAAAAGCAAAATAATAGGTTTAAAACTAAAAATATCCAGGTGCGGTGGCTCACGCCTATAATCCCAGCACTTTGGGACACTGAGGTGGGCAGATCATGAAGTCAGGAGTTCGAGACCAGCCTGGCCAACATAGTGAAACCCTGTCTCTACTAAAAATACAAAAAATTAGCCAGGCATGGTGGTGGGCACCTGTAATGCCAGCTACTCAGAAGGCTGAGGCAGGAGAATGGCTTGAACCCAGGAGGCAGAGGTTGCAGTGAGCCAAGATCATCGCATTGCACTCCAGCCTGGGCAACAGAGCCAGACTCTGTCTCAAAAAAAAAAAAAAAAAAAAAAAAGAAAAAAAAAATATATGCACACATAACCACATTACATATAAATGGTCTAAATATACCAATTTAAAAGCAGATTGGATGAATAAAACAAGATCTAAGTTATTACTGTCTAGAAGAAATTCAAGAATATCCTAATAAAAGATATCTATGTAAAAACAATAGCTGGCATCATACTTAATGAAGAAAAATCAGTTTATTTCCCCCTATTTCAGGAACAAGATGAGTCCATTAACTCTTAGCACTTTGTTTTAACATTCCACTAGACGTTCTACCAAGTAAAATAGACAAAAAACATAAACAAAAGAATTACAGATGGGAAAGGAAAATGTAGATTGGTTTTATTTATAGACGGCATGTCTCTGTAGAAAGTCCACTGAAATCTACAAAAACACTGCTGGCTATAATAAGTGAGTTAGCAACATAAAAAAGAAAAAAAGCAACATATTAAACTAATATTTCCATATACCAGCAATGAACAATAAAAAATTAAAATAAAAGTACTATTAATAATATCATGAAAAATGTAGAAGAATTAGGAATTAATCTATCAAATGATGTGAGTCTGGTACACTAAAACTCAAAACACTGCAGAAAGTTAAAGAAGACTTAAATAAATGGAAAGATGTAATATGAATATGGGTTAGAAAATTCACATGGTAAAATGTGATTATCCCTAAATATAGATTCAATACAATACCAATTAAAATATTATTAGGCATTGTTTATAGGAATTTACACACTAATTTTAAAACTTCAGTAGAAATGCAAAGAGTCTAAAATAGCCAAAATAATTCTTAAAAATAAGAATATTTTTGAAGGATTAGCACAATCTAATGCCAAAGCTTATAAGGCTACAGTAATGAAAATAGTGTGATATTGGCATAAAGATAGACAGAAATGTCATTGGAAGATAATAGAAAATTCAGAAATATATGTACAGAATTTTGGTAAATTGGTGTTCTCCAAAGATACAAAGGTAATTCAGTAAATAAAAGATAGCCCTTCAACAAATTCTGCTGGAACAATTAGATGCTCATATGCAAAAAGTAGAACTTTAACACGTAACTCATGATACAAAAATTAATTTAGTACAGATCATATGCCTAAATGTAAAATGTAAAAACAAAGTGAAAAAAAGGAAGAAAAATTACGTATAGGAGAAAATATAGAAAAGTCTTTGACCTCAATACTACTTAGACATGACACAAACACCATGTTTCATCAAAGTAGAAATTGACAACTCGAGTTCATCAAAATGTAAAACATATGTTCCTCAGGAAACACTGTAAAACAAATAGAAATATAAGACACTACTGAGAACAATATTTGCAAAATATATGTCTGGCAAAAAAGTTGTGTCCAGAAAATATAAGAACTCTCAAAACTTGATAATAAATGTAGCAACTCTAATAAAAGTAGGCAAATGGCTTAAATGAATACTTCTTCCCTAAAGAACATATGTAGATAGAAAGTAAACACATGGAAAGATCCTCAATATCATTAGTCATTAGGGAATTGATCTGTGTCTGTCAAAAATGGGTTGGGTACAGTTGCTCAAGCCTGTAATCCCAGCACTTTGGAAGGTCAAGGCAGCAGGGTTTCTTGACCCCAGGAGTTAGAGAGCAGCCTGGGCAACGTAGTGAGATCCTGTCTCTACAAAAAAGAAAAAGACATGGCATGGTGTCTCTATTTAGCTAGGCATGGTGGCACATGCCTGTAGTACCGGCTACTCGGAAGCTGAGGTGGGAGAATCACTTGAGCCCAGGAGGTGGAGCCTGCAGTGAACTATGGTTGTGCCAATGCACTCCAGCCTGCGTGACAGAGCAAGAACCCATCTCAAAAAAGAAAAAAAGAGGCCAGGCACAGTGGCTCACACCTGTAATCACAGCACTCTGGGAGGTCAAGGTGGGTGGATCACCTGAGGTCAAGAGATCGAGACCAGCCTGACCAACATGGGGAAACCCCATCTCTACTAAAAATACAAAAATTAGCTGGGCATGGTGATGTGCGCCTATATCCCAGCTACTTGGGAGGCTGAGGCAGGAGAACTGTTTGAACCCAGGAGGTGTAGATTGCAGTGAGCCGAGATTGTGCCATTGCACATTGCACTCCAGCCTGGGCAACAAGAGTGAAACTTCATCTCAAAAAAAAAAAAAAAAAAAGAAAGAAAGAAAGAAAAAAGAATGGCTAAAGTTAAAAAGGCTGGCCATGCCAAGTGTTGGCAAAACTATAGAGGACAACCAACATACATGCACTGCTAATGGTAATGGAAATTAGTACAATGACTCTGGAAAAAGCCTTGTCAGTTTTTAAAATATTTTGACGTATGCACCTATCATATGACTGCCAATCAATTTGTAGGGAAATGAAAGTATATGTACATAAAAAACTTGTACCAAAACATTCACAGCACTTTTTTATGGGAGAGAGGGGCTAATAGTGAAGAGCATGTAACAATCAAATATTCATTAACAGATGAATGAATAAGCAAGCTTTGATATATCCATATTTTGAAATACTACAAGCAATAAAAGAAATGAAACTTTCATCCATACTATAAAATAGATTAATCTCAATAAATATGCTAATTAATAGATGCCAGATCAAAAGAGAACAGTATGATATCATTTATATAAAAAGAGGCATTAGAGCCTAGTAGTTAAGAGTGCAGCTTCTGGAAGCAAAATCCTTAGTATGATTTTGGCTCATTGTCTGCAGCATTTATTTTATGTGCGCTCTTGAGGTTTTTACAGAAACAATATGCCTCAGTTTACTCATCTATATAATGACTATATCGATAGTCATCTACTTTATAAAATATAGTATTTTATAATGTAATACTTTATAATATATATTTGATATATATTTTAAAATGTCTTTATTATATTTTATAAAGTATAAATAATATAAAATAATGTCTATAGTTGTTGACTTATAAAAATAAAGATTAAATAAACAAAAATATGTGAAGCACTAGTTTACTACCTAGAAAATGGTACATTTTAAATATTTTCATGATTGTAATAAATAAATGTATCCTTATAATGTTATTTTATTAATAATAAACAAAAATTTATTTTTAGAATAATGAATATTATAATTATTTTTATTTTTAGAATAAATAATAATGAATAATATTATTATAATAATATTATTATTCATTCTTATATACCTTTGAAAAATCATAGGGTAAGATGATTGAAATTCTGTGTATAGCATCTCAGCAGATGAGATATATAAGAAAGAACCATTGCACCCCCATTTACTTAAATCAGTTATAGTTTAAGTTGTTTGAAAAAAGTCATTTATTGGAATCACCACATGACATCAATCAAGAGCAAAGTGTGTAGAATACTGTCAAGTTTTTCTCCAAGAATTTATTTCTGTTTTCAATTTGCAACTCACTGAAGCATTGAACATTTTATGAGCTCTACAACTAACAATGCCTGGGAATTTAAATATTTTCCATGGAATATGATTACTTCAAATGAAAAAAAAGGAGCAGATATGATAATGAATAATTTACCATGCGTATATGGTACAAAGTAGAATCTTTAAAAATAAAGACACAAACAGCAACAACCACAAAAACCTCAATTGTTTCTGCTTTTGTTCTATTTTTAGTGAACTTAAAATTTTAAGAGAAACTCTTTCTCCTTGTTTTTAACACATGTAGAGAGAGGTGTGGAATATTGTAAAGCTTTTTATCTGATTCGGCCTGAGTCTCAATAGATGAAGATTCATCGAGTTTAGTAGGCCGAATAGTTTTTTCTAAAAGATATGTGACGCGTTAATCCTTGGAATCTTTGAATATAATGACACGTTAAACAGTGAATATTACCTTATACGGCAATGCTTGTGATTAAGTTAAGGACTTTAAGGGAAGGGGCTTATTCTGAAATATACTCACGGGTCTCTAATTCAATGACAAATGTTCTTTTTTTTTTTGAGATGGAGTCTTGTACTTTCGCCCAGGCTGGAGGGGTGCAGTGGTGCGATCTCTGCTCACTGCAACCTCTGCCTCCCGGGTTCAAGCAATTCTCCTGCCTCAGCCTCCTGAGGAGTGGGATTACAAGCGCCTGCCATCATGCCCAGATAATTTTTGTACTTTTATTCAAGGAAGGGTTTCACCATGTTAGCCAGGCTGGTCTCAAACTCCTGACCTCAAGTTATTCGCCCTCCTCGGCCTCCCAAATTGCTGGGATTACAGGCATGAGCCACTGTGCCTGGCCTGACAAATGTTTTTTTAAGAGTGAGTCAGAGGGAGACTTGACACACAGAAGAGGAGGCAATGTGACCAGGGAGCAGAGATTGGAGTGGCGCAGCCCCCAGAAGCTGGGGAAAAGGAATGCTGGCATGAGTAAAGGAATGCTGGCAGCCCCCAGAAGCTGGAAGATCCACAGAATGGATTCTCTCTAGGGACCTCAGAGCGAGTGTGGCCCCACTGTATTTAGGACTTCTAGCCTCTAGAACTGTTTTAGAATACATTGCTGTTGTTGAAGTCATTTAGTTTGTGTCAATTTGTTGTGATAGCCTAGGGAACTAATATAATGAAGCATGGAGAGAGAGAGAGAGAGAGAGAGAGAGGATAAAAGGTGAAAATCATGTGCCAAAACTAAAGAAAAGAGATGCTGACATTTGTGATTAAATAGAATAATTGCACTATTTAAGATTAATCACTTGAGCCTGGGAGGTGGAGGCTGTAGTGAGTCATCATGGTGCCACTGCATTCCAGCCTGCATGACAGAGAGAGACTCTGTCTTAGGAAAAAAAAAAAATTAAGGTGGTCCAGAATGCACCCAAGGATAAAATGCAAAGATGATCTTGCCCCATGTATGTTTTAGCATACTACTTAGGTACTATTTATTTTTTAATTATCTCCTTTTTACATTTTGACAATTTTATCCCAGTGGTCAAGCCTTGTATTAGAAAAGACAGAAAGAAGGAAAAGAAAGAAGGCAGGAAGGAAGGCAAGGGGAAGGAAAGGAAGTGGAAGGGAAGGGGAAGAGAAGGGGAAGAGAAGGGGAGGGGAAGGGGAGGGGAGGGGAAACGTTGCTTTGGACAGAATAAATGGGTAAGGGTTTCTATTTTAATTAGATTAAGATTAATTAGATTAAACCTCTGAGGAAGTCTTACTTGAGCTGAGAAACTAAATATGAGAGGGAGGAGTACCACTGCATTGGTTATAGATGGGGTAGAAGTCTACAAAAGAGTTCATTGAGGAATAGAGTAGTAAATAAGTGACTTAATGAGTTTGTGGCTGGGCGCAGTGGCTCAAACGTGTAATCCCAGCACTTTGGGAGGCCGAGGCGGGCGGATCACGAGGTCAGGGGATCAAGACCATCCTGGCTAACACGGTGAAACCCCGTCTCTACTAAACAAAATACAAGAAATTAGCCGGGCATGGTGGCGGGAGCCTGCAGTCCCAGCTACTCGGGAGGCTGAGGCAGGAGAATGGCGTGAACCCGGGAGGCGGAGGTTGCAGTGAGCCAAGATCACGGCACTACACTCCAGCCTGGGGGATAGAGCGAGACTCTGTCTCCAAAAAAAATAAAATAAAATAAAAAAATAATAATAATAATAATAATAATGAGTTTGTATTGTTCTTATTTTGCAAAAGAATGCAAGATCTGGGTAGAGAAAGGGCAAGAGGGAGGACTTCCCAGATGAATCAATAATATTAACAGTATCAATCTGCCACTAATAATTATTTAAGAAAAGTATTTTTCTGCTTTCAGTTTTATTTATTAAATAGTTTCTGCTAGCCTAATGTTAAAGTCTGCCAACTAGTTCCTTCAAGTTAATCACATTCACTTTTGATTCCCTCTTAACACATTAAGATATTTTATAACTCTGTGAGTTTAAAATCTGATGCAAATTCATTGTGGTCAGGCAAGATGCAAGACCAGTCGGGCAAATACACTTCCCTTATTTTTTATGGGTCTGAAATATCTTTTGTCTTGGGAGATGTATTATTATACAAAAGATCTATTTGGCAATTTATAGTTTGCTTTTTATCTATTCAATTGTTTCCTGGTATTCTTAGAACAGAAAAGCGAACCTTTTAAGAATAATAACATGCAAATTACCTTTAATTACTCTCTAGCTCTTTCAGTTAAACAAAAAAAAACCTCTCATTTTAGGTTCAGTTTGTAACTGAATAGAACATTTTATATCTAAACCCTTAATGGAAAGGCTTTCCTATTTCCCACAATTTTCTTTTCTATTTAATGTATTCTCTAAATTTAACACATTATTTAAAATGCCATCCATATACCTGATCAACTTGAAAAGATGGAGAAACACACAAGTAAAGCTTATTATCTGTTCACATTTTATTCTATGTTTCCATTTTCATAATCAAATAAATGTAGACTGCAAAATACTTATTTACAAATCTGTCTGATTTATATAATAAACTCTGAGGAAACTGGAATGAAGTAGTGCTACAAGCAAGGGACAGAATAAAGTTTTGTGTATTAATTACCTGATTTATACTTTAGTCCCTTTAAGTAAAAGAATGTAACAAATAGAAGGATAGTTATTAATATATTTGGAGGAGAAAGAAGGATAAAATGAAAGATACAATGTTCTTAAAAACCGAGAGTTTTATCTTTTTTCAGAAGTTTAAAAAATATTTAAACATTTCCCTTTATGTTAGCACATATTTATGTTATACATTTCATTTACAAGTAATTGTATGGTAAATAGTTACAAAAACAACAAGGAAAAGCTTTGAGTTAAGGAGCTCATGATTTTCAGTGTAAAATACATGTTATTTGAGTAATTTGGGAAACTGACAGAAGCTTTCTTGCAGTCAAGAATGCTGCTCAAAAATTAATTTTAAAATAAAAATAAAAGAAAAAAAATCCTGAAAGCTTATGTAGCAAAACAAGTATTGTAGTCCATTACAAAAATTAGCCTTTTCTGAAATCATGTTAAAAAGCAAAAAGATCTTAGAGCAGAATTTCATGTACAGTTCATTTTGGGATTGATCTTACTTCCTTGATAGGTGGTCTTACTTCATCCTGTTGGAGCCCATCATGGAGAGCTGTTTTACAAATATTCTTAGCTCTACTACTCACATAAAAATTCAACCTATGACTCCTGTTTCTGATAAAGTAGCTATTTAAATTCATTAAGAATGTTTCATCATTTTAGTATGCAAAATGCATTGTTAGATTATGTAAGTGACACATACTATCTTAAAAGTTAATAAATCTCCCAGAAGAAATTAGACTCAGATGCTATATTTATTATGGAGAATTAAGAAATACCTAAGGTTACTGTGATCATCACTTACGAGTTTTGAATCAATTATATGAGAAACTAAAGAAGAAGCTTTGACTGGAAAAAAAATGAACCAAAAAGAAAAAAATTATATAAAGTCATTTTATTGGACACACATGCTAAAAATTAGAAAAACCATACATTTTACTCTATCGATCTGTTAGGAAAAACTATAGAATATGATAGTGATTGCATTGATTCTACTTAGCAAATTAAATGCAAAACTAAGATATTCACCAAATATAAAATATAGTTATTTTCTAAGAAATAAAACTCACACATTCTGGTGGCAACTGCCATTTTTAGCAGAAACCAAAACTATTTCCTGTTAACATGAAGGAAAAACCATCATTGAACACTCAAGTAATAATCAGGGGACTAGGATGGACTTTCAATAAGAAACCACTGGAATATACCTGGACTAAATCTATTCTGACAAAATTAAGTATACCAACCGAATAGTTTTGTGTGTGCATTTGTTTTTACTATATACTTTTATAATCTCAAAAGTACCTAAAAGGAGGCAAAACAAGAAAGGATTTGTCTACAGAAAGTAAAAATAAGAATGATTATAAAATATTGTTAAAGAAAAGACACTGCACAGAATAGTCATGGAGATTTCTGTACTAATCACCTTGATCATAATGAATAATCACTGAATTTCACTGGCCTATTTTCCTCCACAAGATTCTATGTTAGGTAAGCAACTTTGGGTAATTCAATAATAGGAAAGATGTTTCTTTTATAACATATCTGATTTGTACAACTATTTGAAATACATTTTATGCTATAAAATAAAAATGGTAACTCTTATTTACACAGCTATTTATTGTGAATTTGTATAAAGACAGCTCATCCTTAGAACTTAATAGACTAGGATTCTTGGTAAAGTATATATTGTATATCTGAAAAATGTAACAGTGACAATATTAAAGTATTGCCACTTAGTGCTGTGTTACCTAAAGAAATTGTCACATTCTGTCAGTCTTATCACTGACATTTAAATTTCAGATATAGGTGAATTCAATATTGAAGTGAATAGAGCTACCGATATTTGCTTTCCTAATATTCATGGAAGTTGTTGTTGACCTCTCATAGATAAATAAGCAAATAATATCTTCAAAAATATATCTAACTTGACTTCTAAGTATTTTGTCATTTGAAGGGATATGAGCAAGTTGAGAAGAAGAAATGTGGAGAGAGAAATATTCATGAAAACTAAATTTATAACATTAAACAATTGCTCAATTCTTAGAAATTTAATCACTACTTATATTTTAAAGCAAAATATTTTTGAACTTATTTAGAAAAATATGACTTCATCTCTCATATGTCCATTCAAAGTTTTAAACAAAGTATAAAAGGAAATTAAACAGTGGAGGAAATGAGAAAGGTCATAGGCATTCAAGAGGTTTCAACAAATTTCTGGAGGAATGAAAGGTAATTGAAGGATGTGTTAAAATAATTTCTATTATTATCTTTATAGATTTAGTGTCCAGTAAACATTTTATAAACAATCCAACTTGCTGTTTTGTGTTCTTGAACTTTATTTAAACTGAATTATATTGTACATATCCTTTTGTGACTTAATCATACCACTGCATATTACGTTTGTGAGAGTAAGCCACATTAACATATCTAAATAAAGTTATCTATGTTTTTCTAAAGTGTAGTATTCCACTGTATGAATCTACCACATTCTACTGTTGTTTAACTTTTGCATTGCTTATAGTACTTAACTGAGCCTGTAAATATTTTGGATCACATTTCTTAATGGCCAACCACGTACATACAAAATAAGGAGTGAAAGCCAATTGCTGATTAGAATATATGGTCATCTTCAATATTACTGGGTAATACAAGCCTCTTTTTAAAACGGATATAATTTCCATTTCCAGGAAAGCATATGAAATTATTATTGCTCTATATGTTTGCCAGAAGTCTTTCTTGTCAGACTGTTTTTGGTCAATCTGTTGTATAAGTAATAATGTACATATAAAACATTTTCATTTGCATTTTTGTGTTAAAAATAAGTTAAAGTGATTCTAAATATGTATGGTGGACACTTATATTTTACATTTTATAAAGCACATGTGCAAGCCATTTTCTTTGTTTTACTGTCGGGTTTTCTGTAATTTTTACCTGGGTTTACATTTAAATATTGATCACCAAGGAATTGATTGTTACATATTATATAAGGTAAAGAATCACTTTAATTATTTTCCATATGTATAGCCAGTTTTCTCACTCTCATTTATTGGCAAATTTATTTTTCACCACTGATCTATAATACCAGCTTTCTTACATATCATGGGTTCTTATATTTTCCTTACTGTAGTCTACCTATTCCATTTCATTGATTATTTATTACTTTGTTAATACCACATTGCATTAAGTCTTATAATATTTCCTGTAATATATTCTTCCTTCCTCAATAAATTATTAACTGAATTTTAATATTTTTAGAGTTTACATAAATTCTAGAATTAGCTTGTCAATATCTAAATCAAACCTTACTGGGTTTTACTTTGGATGCACTAGTTACAAAGATTAATTTTGGGGAGAAGTGATTTCATTAAAGTCTTTCAATTCAAGAATATATTTATGTCAATGTTATGTCTATGTTTATTTGAACTTTATTTAAACTGAGTTATACTGTACATATTCTTTTGTGACTTAATCATACCACTAAATATTATGTTTGTGAGAGTAAGCCACATTGACACATCTAAATAAAGTTCTCTACTTATATGAAATGCATTTCAATATTGCATAATACGTTTGTGTCAAAGCATCTTGCTAAAAGCTCATATTCATTAGTATAATGTATCTTACAATCATTTTGAATTGTCTGTGTACTTAGTGTCATCGGTAACATAGTAATCTGTTTTCTCTTTCATAATTCTTATTTTTTTAATATTTACAATCCTATCCCAGTGTCTAAGACCTGCAAAAGGATAAATAAAATTGCTTGTACCATCTATGTTTATTTTGTTCCCAATCACAAAGGAAATATTTTAACATTCCATTGTTAAGTGTTATAATTTCAATAGAACTTTTGAAAACAAATGTTATTAGTTAAACTAGATTCTCTTTTAATTTTGGGTTGTTAAAATGTATGACTTTTTAAGAAAATAAAATTAAATATGCTTATAATATTGTTAAGTTATTTGTTGTGGTGTATCATATTAATTGATATCTTTACATGAGGCCATTATTGCTTCCCAGGGTTTCTTAGAATAAACATTGGCTGTGATGTCTTACATTTTAATGCATTGCTTATTTCTGCGTGGAACTTTTTTAAGTTTTCCTTCATTATTTTCATAAATTACATTGGTGTTTAATTTACTTTCCCTTTACTATCCTTGTCAGGTTATAATATCAGAGTCATAATAGCATAATAAAATGAAATAGAGTATGTTCTTTCCTGTTTCATGCTCAGAAAGAATTGTATGTAAGACTGGAATTATTGTTTTGTTTCATGTTTGAAACAACTTGCCAGTAAAGTCATCATGGCTTGAAATTATCTTTATGATATGATTTCTGACTACAGATTACATGCATTTGTTGTAGCACAATTCAGATTTTTCTTTTCACTTTAGGTTACTTTTGGAAAAATGCTTGTTTCAAGTAATTGCACACATTTTACATATATTTCCAAATTTATTGAAGGTTTTCATACTACACTAATTTACCTTCTTGATATTTGTATTATTTATAACAAAACTCAATAAACGGTGGCAAATAAGCCAGACAGTATTTATAAATAAAGTATTACTGGAACACTGTCATGCTCATTCATTGACATACTGTCAATTTATGCCACAACAATAGAATTGATTAGTTGCAACAAACCATATAGCCCAAAAACCTAAAATATTTACCACCTGATCCTTTCCAAAAAACAAAAAAAATTCTTGACATCTGATGTATAATTATTTCCTATTTTGATTCCTGAGATTGCATACTTGTTTCTTCTCTTAATTTTATCAAGCCATTTCTCCAGAGTTTTGTTATTGTATGGCTCCTACAACAACTAACAAACTTTTGGCCATATTTCTTGACTTTTCTTTCCCTGTATTCTTAATCACTATGCATGTATTTTTTATTTCCTTTTATTTCTGTTGATATTTCTAACTTCTTCCAATAAATTCAAAACATTTTAAATATTAATTTGTTGTCCTCATAAAATAAGAATTTAAGGTTCTACATTTTCCTCTAAAATGACACATTTTATAATGTAGTATACATTTTTTAATTAAAAATATTTTATAATTTCCATTATGATTTGCTCTTGGGTGTTGAGTTACTAAGAAGTATATTTGTGAGGTTTTTCTTCAATATGACTGACTATAGATATTCGAATCTAGTTATTCTCAGAAAGAGAAAGCAAAGTTATGGATAAATAATCATTAATTCCAATATCTATATTGACGGGAGTGCTAGAGCACCACAAGAAGAAACTTGAACACAGAAAAATAAGGAAGCAAAAATCCAGCAGAGATTATACTCTGAGGGACTTGATGTTCCATGGAAAAGCATAGGTGGGGGTGTCTTTTGCTCCTCTCACCCCTGTGGCAGACTGCTTGTTTCTGAACTGTTGGAGAGCCCTCCATTCTCACAAGCCCAAGCACTGGTGTGGGCTGCAATCTTGGAACAACTTGAGGACAGAGAACAAGGCTACTATTTCCTGCAGTGCCACTTGCCCTTCACCCAGCCCCAAGATGAGGTGGTGGGCACCATACTAGATATGCCTCTGTGGTGGACCTCTATACTGCCTTTGAGTGAGAGAGAGGCTTGCCCCATCCCGTTGACAGCTTCCTTCTCCATCCCTGCGTCGAGCTATGGCTAGATTTCTCCATGAGGGCAGAGGGCGAGAGGCGTGAGAAGCATCTTCTGGAAGGTCTGCGGGCACCCTCCTGCGGGTGGACAATAAGCGCCTGGGAGGCTGTTGTCCTTGGTTGGGGAGCGGTCGTCTGGATCTAGCCTAGCAAAGAGGCTGCTCCGGATGGGGAGGGAATGAAAGCCCCTGCGGCTCCCACGCAGATGCCCACGTTGCCCAGGCCTTCACAGACCCCCAAACCGGAACCGCCGGGAAAACGATTGCCAACCGGCCACAACACCCAGGCAGGGACGCGGGGAGAGGCTGACCAGAAGAAAGGCCGACGTGCAAGAAACCCAGCCTCCGGCGCACAGGGAACATGTGTCCCAAGGCGCACGCACACACAGACGGACAGAGACAGAAAGAGAGGGCGACGGAAAGAGCGAGAAGGGAGAGAGAGAGAGAGAGAGAGAGAGAGAGAGAGAGAGAGACTTAAGAGAGAGACAGTAGTGGGCACACAGACACGCACGTGCGCGCGCGCGCACACACACAGACACACAGACGCGCACACACACCCCCATAACGCACACAGATATACAGCAGGTAACACCCACCCCCAGGCAGCCCCTGAAGCTGCCGGGTTCTGCTCTCCGCGACTACGAGCCACCGGTGAGACAGCAGCCCACGGGCACACAGCGAGACCTGTCCTCGACATCACAAGGCCGCCACTTTTGGGGAGACTCACCCGCACACCGTCCGCGCACGCCTGAGGCTGGGATCCCGCGCTGCCTCCCCGGCGATCTGTCTGAGGTTTCTTCCTCCTGGGGTTTCTTCCTGCTGGTGGACCCTCCGCGAATCCCGGCCTCCGGAGACCGTCCCGGTAACTACCCTGGCCGGGGCTGGTCTCAGCCCCGACTCTGACGCACGATCACACAGGGCTCCCACTTCGCCAAGTCTCAGGGACCCATCCCTTGGCAACGGTGGCGGTCACTGTGACCGAAGCGGCGGCTCGGGCCTCGCGCATGCGCGCTGGCGAGGCCGACTCACCCGCCCCACCCCCCCTTACTCGGCAGTCAGGCTGCGGACCCTTTAAAAAATGGCGGCGACGCCGCGGCTGCGGGGACTGGGGTGGCGGTGCTGGAGCTTGCGGCGGCGGCTGTGGTGCAGCCCCAGGCGGTGGGTGGGAAGAGGACTACCAGAGGGGCCTGCGGGAGACCCAGGGTCGGACCCATAGGAGTCCTGTCGTCAGGACCTCCTTAATCGGTCTTCTGCTTGGGTTCCCGGTGAAGGAGGAGCTTCGGGGTGCCGGCTGGGCTGCGCGGACTCCTCTTGGGATCCGATGATGGATCCCACCCGGTGATCGGGAATGGGGTTACAATGCAGTGAGGCGGAAAGGCGCTCGCCAGGGCGCAGAAAGATTCCCCAGGGCCGCAAGGCGTGCTGTCGGCTGCAAAGGCACTGACCCACGAGCCCACTGCCTCCCTCCTTCCTGGGTGGAGCAGGGGCCTGCCTTCATCTCCAAGGCCCGGGGGCTCCGGCATCTCGACGCGGCTTCCGGCGACACGGGCAAAGAGAGACAGAGGGTAGTCCGAGCCGGAGCCAGTGTGACCACACGTGGCCCTGATGTCCCCCAAGAGCACATGCAGTGAGCCCGTGTCTCTGAGGCCGTAGTGGGCGACGACGAGACGGACAGTGATGTCCAGGCCTGCGCCCGGGGGCCACTGGAGACCTGCCCCTCAAAGCGGAGGAAACGCCAAGCGCACCTGAAAACCTGCGAGACAGGGCCTGTGCGCGAGTCCAGTACTCCTACTTCGCCAAGTCTCAGGGACCCAACCCCCAGCAACGGTGGCGGCACAGAGAGGCGCACGGCGCCGGCGCAGGTTCAGAGAGATAGGAGGCTGATGGGGGGGAAGTTGAGGCACCTGGGGCAGAGAAGAAAATGCATCGCCAAGCGGTTTCTGGGTCATACACGGACGAAAATGTCTTCCCATCAGCCCTTGCGCTGGTCCCCAGGGACCCTGGCATCCGTCGTTGGCGCCCAGGGTTCGCGTCGGGCCACTAGGGGTACCCCAACTCGGACAGAAGGCCCATGAGTTGAATTTGAAGTTTGTGGGAATAGAGGTGAGGCACCAGGGGCAGAAAAAAAAACAGGAGACCTCGCCTCAGACAAGCAGGGCCTGGGTCCCCCATGGATGAAAGTGCCTTCCCATTATGCTGTACGCTGGGCAGAGTGGACAGTGACGACCTTAGTTCGAGCCCAGGGTGCGCTTCGGGACCGCTTGCGGTACCAGAAAGCGAACAAATGGTCCATGAGCGGAAGGTGGGCACCTGAGGCAGAGAAAGTAAAGAAACGCGCTGCCGAGAAGCAGTGCCTGGGTCCCTCACGGAGGAAATTGTCTTCTCGTCAGCCCGTTCGCTGGGCACTGACATCCCTGGCGTCTCTGGTTTGATCCCAGGGTACGCCTCGGGCCACTAGTGTTACCCCAAGGTGGGCAGAAAGCCCATAAGGGGAAGGTGAGGCACCTGGGGCAGAGAAAAAAAAAACTTCGCCGCAGAGAAGCGCGGCCTGATTCCCCACGGACGAAAGTGTCTTCTCATCAGTCCCTGCACTGGGACCTGGGGACCCTGGTGTCCCTGGTTCGAGCTCAGTGTGTGCCTCAGCCGCTAAGTGCACCCCAAGGGGAGCTTTGGGAGCACAAAGCCCATGAGGGAAGGTGAGTTTTGAGGGAGGAGTGGTGAGGCACCTGTCACAGAAAAAGAAAAAAAAAACAATACGCGCCACGGAGAAGCAGGGCCTGGGTCCCCCACGATGAAAATGCCTTCCCATCAGCTCCTGCTCTGGGCCCTGTGGACCCTGGAGACCCTGGTTCGAGCCACGGGTGGCCTCGGGCCCGCTAGGAGTACCCCCCGTGCGCCTCTCTGCGCCTGCGCAGGCGCCGTGTGCCTTTGCGAGGGCGGAGCTGCCTTCTCCTCAGCACAGACCCGGAGAGCATTGCCAGGGCGGAGGTGAGTTCTCCTCTGCACAGACTTCGGAGATACAGCAAAGTGGATCATGTGCTCCTCAGCACAGACCCGGGCGGGCGGGCCAGGGGCACCGCGAGGGCGGAGCTGCGTTCTGCTCAGCACACACCCGGGGGACACCGCGAAGGCAGAGCAGCGTTCTCAGCACAGACCTTGGGGGCACTGCCTCGCTTTGGGACTACTCAGAGCCGCATCGATGGTGAATAAAATCCTTCCTGTTTGCAGCCCTGAATAATCAGGGTCAGAGACCAGTTAGAAGGGTTCAGTGTGGAAAACGGGAAAGCAAAAGCCCCTCTGAATCCTACCCACCGAGGTTCTCCCCAGCCAAGGCGAGGCGGCCGCAGTGCGAGATCCACACCGCAGCCTCGGAAGACAAGCGAGCAGAAATCCCATGAGGGGCAGTTGAGGTTTGAGGAAGGCGAGGTGAGGCACCTGTAGCAGAAAAAAAAAAAACCGCACCACGGAGAAGCAGAGCCTGGGTCCCCAACTGACAAAAGTGTCTTCCCATTAGCCCTTGCGCTGGGCCCAGGTGTCCCTGGCATTCCTGGTTCGAGACCAGGGTGCGCTTCAGGCCGCTAGGGGTACCCAAAAGCGGGCAGAAGGCCCATGAGGTGAAGGTGATGCACCTGGGGCAGAGAAAAAAAAAAAACAACCGCGCCGCGTATAAGCGGGGCCTGGCTCCCCCACAGAAGAAACTGTCCTCACATCAGCGCTTGCGCTGCACCCCAGGGACCCTGGTATCCCTGGCTCGAGCCCAGCGTGCGCCTCGGCCTGCTAGGGGTACCCCAAGGCAGACAGAAGGCCCATGAGGGAAAGGTGAAACACCTGGGGCAGAGAAAAAAATAAAAAAACTGCGCCGCCCAGAAGTGGGGCCTGGGTCCCCCACAGACGAACGTCCCTACCCATCAGCCCTGAACTGGGCCCCGGAGACCCTAGCGTCCCTGGCTCGAAACCAGGGTGCGCTTTGGACCCGCTAGTGGTACCTCAAGGCGGGCAGAAAGCCCATGAGGGGAAGGTGAGGCACCTGGGGAAAAGCGAAAAAAACAAAAACAAAAACAAAAACGTCGCAGAGAAGCAGAGCCTGGGTCCCCGAGGAAGAAAGTGTCTTCGCATCAGCCCTTGCGCTGGGCCCCGGGGACCCTGGTGTCCCAGTTTCGAACCCAGGGTGTGCGTCTGGCCACTAGGGGTACCCCAAGTCGGACAGAAGGCCTATGAGGGGAAGGTGAGGTTTGAGGGAGGAGACGTGAGGCAACTGTGTCAGAAAAAAAAAAAAAAAAAAAACACGCCGCGGAGAAGCGGGGCCTGGGTCCCCAACGGACGAAAGTGCCTTCCCATCAGCCCCTGCGCTGGGCCCCATGGACACTGGCGACCCTGGTTAGAGCCCAGGGTGCGCCTCGTGCCCAATAGGGGTATCCCAAAGCGGGCAGAATGCTCATTAGGGGAAGGTGAGACACCTGGGGCAGAGAAAAAAAAAACTGCGCCGCAAAGAAGCGGGACCTGGGTCCCCCACGGATGAAAGTGTCTTCCCATCAGCCCCTGCCCTGGGCCCCATGGACCCTGGCAACCCTGGTTCGAGCCCCAGGTGCGCCTCGCGCCCGCTAGGGTTACCCAGAAGCCGGCAGAAGGCCCATGAGAGGAAGGTGAGACACCTGGGGCAAAGGAAAAAAAAAACCGCGCTGCAGAGAAGCGAGGCCTGGCTCCTCCACGGACGAAGGTGTCTTCCCATCAGCCCCTGCGCTGGGCCCTGGGGAACCTGGTGTCCCTGGCTGGAAACCAGGGTGCACCTCGGACCTGCTAGGGGTACCCCAAGGAGAGCAGAAAGCCCATGAGGGGAAGGTGAGGCACCTGCGGCAGAGAAAGAAGAAAAACCGCGCCGCGGAGAAGCGGGGCCTGGGTCCCCCACTGACGAAAGTGTCTTTCTGTCAGCCCTTGAGCTGGGTCCCGAGGACGCTGACATCCCTGGTTCGAGCCCACGCTGCGCCTCAGGCTGCTACGAGTACCCCAAGGAGGAAAGAAGGCCCAAAAGTTTCAGCTGAGGTTTGAGGGAGGAGAGATGAGGCACCTGTGGCAGAAAAAAAAAAAAAAAACGCGCAGCGGAGAACCGGTGCCTGGGTCGAAAGTGCCTTCCCATCAGCCACTGCGCTTGGCCCCATGGAACCTGGCCTCCATGGTTCGAGCCCAGGGTGCGCCTCGGGCCGCTACCGGTACCCCAAAGTGTGCAGAAGGCCCATGAGGGGAAGGTGAGGCACCTGGGGCAGAGAAAAAAAAAACCTCGCCGCGGAGAAGCGGGGACTGGGTCCCCCCCACGGACGAAAGTGTCTTCCCATCAGCCCTTGCGCTGGGCCCCAGGGACCCTGGCTTCCCTGGTTCGAGCCCACAGTGCACCTCGGGCCGCTAGGTGTACCCCAAGGCAGACAGAAGGCCCATGAGGGGAAGGTGAGGTTTGAGGGAGGAGCGGTGAGGCACCTGTGGCAGAAAAAAAAAAAACGCGCCACGGAGAAGCAGGGCATGGGTCCCCCACGGACGAAAGTGCCTTCCCATCAGGCCCTGCGCTGAGCCCCGTGGACCCTGGCGACCTTGGCTCAAACCCAGGGTGCGCCTCGGGCGGTTAGGGGTACCCCAAGGCGGGCAGAAAGCCCATGAGGGGAAGTTGAGGTTTGAGGGAGGAGAGGTGAGGCACCTGTGGCAGGAAAAAAAAAAAAAAAAACCGCACCGCAGAGAAGCGGGGCTTGGGTCCGGCACGGACGAAAGTGTCTTCCCATCAGCCCTTGCGCTGCGCCCCGGGGACCCTGACGACCCTGATTCGAGCCGAGGGTGCGCCTCGGTCCACTAGGGGTACCCCAAAGCAGGCAGATGGCTCATGAGGGGAAGGTGAGGTACCTGGGGAAGCCAAAAGAAAAAAAAAACTGCGCCGCGGAGAAGCGGTGCCTGGGTCCCCCACGGACGAAAGTGTCTTCCTATCAGCCCTTGCACTGGGCCCCGGGAACCCTGGCGTCCCTGGTTCGACCTCATGGTTCGCCTTGGGCCGCTAGGGGTACCCCAAGGCGGGCAGAAGGCCCATGAGGCAAAGGTGAGGTTTGAGGGAGGAGAGGTGAGGCACCTGTGGCAGAAAAAAAAAACGCGCCACGGAGAAGGGGGGCCTGGGTCCCCCATTGACGAAAGTGCTTTACCATTAGCCCCTGCGCTTGGCCCCGTGCACCCTGGCGACCCTGGTTCGAACCCAGTGTGCGCCTCGGGCCGCTAGCCGTACCCCAAAGTGGGCAGAAGCCCATGAGGGGAAGGTGAGGCACCTGGGGCGGAGAAAAAAGGAAAAAACCTCGCCACGGAGAAGGGAGGCCTGGGTTCCCCACGAAAGAAAGTGCCTTCCCATCAGACCCGGTGCTAGGCCCCAGGGACCCTGGCATCCCTGGTTCGAGCCCAGGGTGCGCCTCGGGCCGCTGGGGGTACCCCAAGGCGGACAGAAAGCCCATGAGGGGAAGGTGAGGCACCTGTGGCAGAAAAAAAAAAAAACCGCGCCGCAGTGAAGCTGGGCCTGGGTCCCCCACTTACGAAAGTGCCTTCCCATCAGGCCTTGCGCTGGACCTCGCGGACACTGGTGACCCTGGTTCGAGCCCAGGGTGCGCCTTGGGCCCGCTAGGGTTACCCAGAAGCGGGCAGAAGGCCCATGAGGGGTAGGTGAGGCACCTGAGGCAGAGAAAAAAAAAACTATGCCGCGGAGAAGCGGGGCCTGGGTCCCCCACGGAAGAAAGTGTCTTCCCATCAGCCCCTGAGCTGGGCCCACGGGACCCTGGCATCCCTGGTTCAAACCAGGGTGCGCTTCGGGCCTCTTGGGGTACCCCATGGTGGGCAGAAAGCCTATAAGGGGAAGGTGAGGTTTGAGGGAGGAGAGGTATGGCACCTGTGGCATAAAAGAAAAAAAAAAAACCGCGCCACAGAGAAGCAGGGCCTGTGTCCCCCAAGGACGAAAGTGCCTTCTCATCTGCCCTTGTGCTGGGCCCCGGGGACCCTGTCATCCCTGGCTCGAATCCAGGGTGCGCCTCTGGCCTGCTAGGGGTAACCCAAAGCGGGCAGAAGGCGCATGAGGGGAAGGTGAGTCACCTGGGGCAGAGAAAAAAAAAAACAGCACTGCGGAGAAGCGGGGCCTGGGTCCCCCACGGGTGAAAGTGTCTCCCCATCAGCCCTTGCGCTGTGCCCTGGGGACCCTGGCATCCCTGGTTCGAGCCCAGGGTGCGCCTCGGGCCACCAGGGGTACCACAAGGTGGACAGAAGGCCCACGAGGGAAAGGTGAGGCACCTGGGGCAGAGAAAAAAAACTGTGCCACGGAGAAGCGGGGACTGGGCCCCCACGGACGAGAGTGTATTCCCATGAACCCTTGCGCTGAGCCCCAGGGACCCTGGCGTCCCTGGTTCGAGTCCAGTGTGCACCTAAGGCGGCTAGGGGTACCCCAAGTCGAACAGAAGGCCCATGAGGGGAAGTGAGGTTTCAGGGAGTAGAGGTGAGGCACCTGTGGCAGGTGTCCATCTGTAAACTACTTATCCATGTGAGCCCTGATGTCCACCAGGGGCTGGATGTCCCCCTGGGGCTAGATGTTCGCCTGGAGCCTGGTGCCCACCTGGGGCCTGATATCCAGGAGAGGCTTAGTTATCCACCTATGGCCATCTGGAGCCAGATGCCCACCTGAGGTCTGGTGTACACCTAAGGCCCGATCTCTACCTGGGGCTTGGGTGTTCATGTGGGGCCTGATGTCCACCTAAGACCATGTGTTCACCTGGAGCCTGGGTGACCATCTGGGTTATGATGTTCAGCTGGGGCCCAGAGTTCAGCTAGGGACTGGGTCAACCTTCTGCTTGTTGCACACCTGGGGACTAGGTACCCACCTGGGCTCCAGTGTTCACTGGGGCCTTGTATTTACCTAGGACCAGTGCATCCATCTGGGGTCTGAGTGCCCTCATGGAGCCTGGAGTTTTCCTGGGGACTGGGGTCTGCCTTAGGCTTAAGTGTACATCTGTGGCCTCATGTCCACCTTGGGACAGATGTCCACCTGGGGACGGATATTCAGTAGGGGCCTGAGTGTCCACCTGGTTTTTGATGTCTACCTGGGGCCTGGTGTTCATCTGAGGTGTGATATCCACCTGGGGCCTGGACATTTGCCTGGAACCTGATGTACAGCTGGTGCCTGAAGTTCGTCTATGCCTGGTGTCTCCCTGGGGCCAGGTAGTCAAACACAGGGCCTGAATACCTTCTAGAGTTCAGTGTTCACCTGGGGTCCGAAGTCCACTTAGGGCTTGGGTGTCCAAATAGGGCCTGGTGTCAGCTTGAGATTTGTGTATTTACCTAGGGCCTGGTTGTCCACTTGGGGCTTGATTTTTCACTTGGTTTTTGTGTTAATCAGGGGTCTAGTGTCCACCTGGGGCCTGGGTATCCACCTAGGGACTATTGTCCGGCTGGAGACTAATGACTAACTATGGCCTGGTAATCACCTAAGGCTTTGTTTCACTTAGGTACTTGGTGCCAAACTGTTGCCTGCTGTTCACCTGGGGTATGGTGTCCACCTGGGGTCTGGATGTCAGCCTGGGGCTTGTTGTATACATGTATCTTAGATATCCAGATAAGGGTCTGTTTTCTGCTTAGGTGCAGCAGTCCATCTGGTGCTTGAGTGTCAACCTAAGGCCTGATGTCTATGTTGGACCTTGGGTTCACCTGAGGCCTGATATCCACCTGGGGCCTCAATGTCCAAATGGGGCCTGATGCCCATCTGGGTCCTGGGTGTCCACCTGCAGCATGGATGTCCACTGGTACTTTATGTCCACCAGGGGCCTAATGTCCACCTAAGACCTGGTGTTCACCTGGGGTCTGATGTTCAGCTGAAGACAGGATGTCCACCTGGAGCCGAGGAATCCACCCAGGGACTGGTGTTGAACTGGGGCCTGATGACCACCCGGGGACAAGGTACACATCAGGCTTGTTGTCCACCTGTCACCAGATGTCCACCTGAGTCCTGATGTCCATCTTGATCCTGTTTGTCCACATTAGGCCTGATGTCCAGCTGGGGCCTAGGTACCCACTGGGGGCTTCCTGTTAACCTGGGGACTGGTGTCATTCTGGGGCCTAATGACCACCTGGGTTGTATTATTCACCTAGGGCCTGGTGTCCACTTGGGGCTTGAGTGTAACCTTGGACCTGGCACCCACATAGGATTGGGTATCAAACTGGCCCCTTGGTGTCCAGTTAAGACATCATGTGAACCTGGCGCCTGAGTGTCCACATGGGTCCAAATGACTACTGGGGGCCTGAATGTCAACCTAGAATCTGAGGTTTACTAGGGGCCTAGGTATCCACCTGGGGCCCAATGTCCACCTGAGCCTGGGTGTCAACCTGGGGCCTGATGTAAACCTCTAGTTCACTATCCACCTTGGGCTTAATGTCAACCTGGAGCCCGATGTCCACCTGAGTACTGATGTTCACCTTTGACCTGATGTCCACCTGTGGACTGTTTATCCACCCATGGCCTGATGTTCACCTGGGGCTGAATGTCCAACTGTGACCTGTTGTGCACCTGGAACCTAGGCATCCACCTGCAGCCTGATGTTCAGCTGGGCTGGGACCTGGAGTTCACCTGAGGCATGATGTCCACCTGAAGCTTGATGTTCACCTGGGGGCTGGGTGTCCACTTGGGGCCCAATATCCACCTGGAGACTAGGTACCCACCTGGGATCTGGTGTTCACTCAAGATTGGTGTTCAGCTGTGGCCTAATGACCACCTGGGTCACGGTGTCTACCTTGGACTGGGTGCTCACCTGGAGCCAGTGTTCACTGGGGGCCTAGTGTGCACCTGAGACTGGGGGATGCACCTGGGGCCTGGTGTCTACCTGGTGCCTAGGTATCCACTTGGGGCCTAATGTTCATCTGGAATCTGATATCCACCTGGGGCCTTGTAATTACCTGGGTTCTGGGCATCCACCTAGGGCTTGAGTATCCTCCTGGGGCCTTGAGTTTTACTAGGGACTCGTGTCTGCCTTGGACCTGGGTGTATATCTGTTACCTAATGTACACCTTGAGAGTGATGTCAACCTGGGGACAGATGTCCTCTTGGGGTCTGAGTGTACACCTGGTGTCTGATGTCTGCCTGGGGACTTGTGTTCACCTTAGACCTGATATTCACCTGGGGACTGGGCGTCCACGAGGGGCTGATGTTCAGCTGGACACTGGATATCCACCTGGGGCTTGGGGATCCATCCAGAAACTGATGTCAAACTGGGGCCTGATGTCTACCTGCGGACTAGGTATCCATGTGAGGCTTGATGTTCATCCACGGCCAGACGTCCATCTGATGCTTGATGTCCACCTTACTCCTGGGTGTCTACTAGAGACCTCATGTCCAACTAGAATTTAGGAACCTACTGGGGGCCTCGTGTAAACCTGGGGACTGGTATGAAGCTGGGTCCTAATGATCCCCTGGGTCATATTATTCACCTAGGGCCTCATGTCCACTTGGGGCTTCAGTGTCAAACTTAGGTCTTGTGTTCATCTTTGACCTGGTGTACACCTGGGACACCTACGGACTTGGTGTCCAATTGAGGTGTCATGACCACCTGGGGACTGAATGTCAATCTGGGGTCTGATGTAAACCTCTAGTTCAGTATCCACCTGGGGTCAGATGTCTTCCTAGAGACTTATATTCACTTTTGACCTGATGTCCACCTGGGGACTTGTTATCCATCCATGGTCTGATATTCACCTGGAGACAGATGTTCAACTGTGGTCAGAAGTGCTCCTGGGGTCTGGGCTTCCACCTGGAGCCTGATGTTTAGCTGGGGCTAGAGTTCACATGGAGAATGATGTCCACCTGAAGTTTGATGTTTACCTGGGGCCTGATACCTACCTGGTGCCCAAGTATTCTCATGTGCCTAACATCCACTAGTTGGCCTGATGTTCATCTGAGGGCTTGGTGTCAACCAGTGGCTTTATGTACACCTGGATTCTAGTGTCCTCCTGGGGTCTTATGCCTACCAGGAGTCTGGTGTACCCCTGGGGTCTAGTATCCACCTGCAGTCTGGGCGTCCACCTGGAGCCTAATGTTGAGGTTAGACTGAGTGTCAGCCTGAGGCCTGATGTCTACTAGGGCATAGATATTCACCTGGGGCTTGTTGTTTACCTGGGGACTAATGTCAACCTTGAGCCTAGGTATCCACCTGGGGAATAGTGTCCAGTTGCAGCCAGATGTCCACCTATGGCCTGAAGCATGGTTGTTATCCTAAGTCCTTGTATTAGTCCATTTTCACACTGTTATAAAAAACTACCTGATATTGGGCAACTTATGAGGAAAAGAGGTTTAACTGACCCACAGTTCTTCAGGCTTAATAGGGAGCATGACTGGGCGGGCTCAGGACACTTACAATCATGATGTAAAGCCCTTTTTACCATGTGGGAGGAGGAGGGAGACAGAAGGGGGATGTGCTACACACTTTCAAATAACCAGGTCTCGTAAGAACTCTATCACGAGAACACCAAGTGGGAAGTCTGCCCCCATGATTCAATCACCATTCACCAGGCTCATTCTTCAACCCATGGGGATTACAATTCAACATGAGATTTGGGTGGAGACATAGAGCCAATATCAGGCCTGATGCCCGCCTGGAGTCATGTCTACCTGAGGCCTAATGTAGACATGAGGCCTGGGCATTCACCTAGGACCTCATGTTAAGATAGGGGCTGGAGTTCTTTTGGTGCCTAGTGTATACCTGGGGCCCAGATGTATAACTAGAACCTGATGTTTCAGATGGAAACCTGGGCCCCAGGTGCTCATCAGATCCCACGTGAAAACTCAGGCTTCAGGTGCACATCAGACTCCAAGTGGACACATAGGCCCTAGGTTGATACCAAGATTTCAGGTAGACTCTGGGTCCCAGAAAAACACCCCGCCCTAGGTGGACAGCTGAACCTGAGTAGACATCAGGCCCCGGATTGACATCTGGCCTCAGGTAGATTCCTAGGCCCAAGGTGAATACTCAGTCTCCTGCCCTAGGGGAATTCAGTCTTAGGTGATTAAGGACTGGTGTTCCTCTGGGGCCTCATGTCTACCTGGGCCCTGGGAGTGCACATGGAGCCAGATGTCTATAAAGGGCCTGAGTGTCCACTAGGGCCTGAGGTTCACCAGGAGCATAGACATCCACCTAGGACCTCGTGTCCACCTAAAACCTGGTGTTCACCTGGGGCCTGGGTGACAACCTGGGATCTGATGTTCACCTGAGGCCCAGAGTTCAGCTGGTGCCTATGTCAGCCTGGCACCTGATACACACGAGATGACTAGGTGCCCACCTGAGGACTGGTGTTCATGGGGAACTGGTGTTCAGCTGTGGCTTGATGAGCAACTGGGTCCTGGTGTCCTCCTGGCAACTGATGTCCACCTGGGACTTCATGCTTACCTAGGGCCTGGTGTTCCCCTGGGGCCTGGTGTGCCCCTGAGATCTGGGGTCCACCTGGGCCTAGTATCCACTTGGGGCCTCATATCCATCTGGAACATCATGTCCACTTGGGGCCTTGTAGTTACCTAGGGACTGGGTGTCCTTCTGGCACTTGGGTGTCCTCCTGGGGCCTGGGGTTCTCCTGGGGCCTGGGTGTACATCTCTGGCCTGATGTCCACCTTGGGTGGATGTCCACCTGGGGACAGATGTTCACTTGTGGCTTGAGTGTCCATCTCGTGTCTAATGTCTACCTGGGGCCTGGTGTTTGCCTGAGGCCTTATATCCACCTGGGGCCTGGGCATCCATTTGAGGCCTGATGTCTACCTAAGACCTGGTGTTTAACTGGGGCACAGACTTCTTCCTGGAGCCTGACGTTCATCTGGAGCCTGAAGTTCACCTGTGCTTGTTGTCTACCTGAGGCCTATGTGTCAACCTAGTGCCTGATGACCACCCTGAGTTCAGTGTTCACCTGGGGCCTGACATCTGTCTGGAGTCTGGGTGTCCACATAGGGCCTGATGTTGGCTTGGGACCAAAGTATTTACCTAGGGCCTGGGTGTCTACTTACAGCCTGACTTCTACATGGTTCATTGTGTCAACCTGGGGCCTGATGTCCACTTAGGTCCTAGGTAAGCTCCTTATGACTAAAGTCCACATGGGGGCTGAAACCATCTCAGACCTTGAACCTAGGGCTTAGTGTCGACCTGAGACCTGGTGACCCCCTGGGGTCAAGGTATCCACCTTGGGCCTGATGACCAACTGGGGTTTAAGGATCTACCTAGAGACTGGTGTCAACCTGGAACCTGATGTCCACTTGGGGTCTGGTGTACACCTTGGGCCTGATGCCCACCTTGGCACAGGTGTACACTTTGGGCCTAGTGTGCACCTGAAGCCTGGCTGTCAACCTGGGTCTTGATGCACACCTTTAGTCAAGTGTTAAACTGGGGCCTGATGAAATACTGGAGCCTGATTTACACCTGTGTACTGGGTCTCCACCTGGGGCCTGATGTCCACCTGCAGCCAGATATCCACCTGGCACCAGATGTCTTTGAGGAATCTGGGTGTCCACCTTGAAAATGATGTATTCCAAGAGACTAGGCATGCACATTGGGCCTGGGGTGCACCTAGGTCCTGATGTCTACCTGAGGCTGGTATTGAGCTGGGGCCTGTGTGTTCGCTTGGAGCCTGATGTTCATTTGGAACCTGGTGTTCACCTAGGACATGGGTATCCACATGGATCCTGATTTTCAGGTGGGGAGTGGATATAGATCTGGGACCTGATGGCCACCTATGCTATAAGTAACCCAACCACCTGAGGCCTGATGTTCACCTGCAGCCTGATATCCACCTGGTACCTGTGTGTCAATCTAGTGCCTGGTGTCCAGTTGAGGACTAGGCAGACACCTGGGGCTTGGCGTTCACCAGGGGCCTGGTGTTCATCTTGCACCCAGTGTCCACCTGGACCCTGTGTATCAACCTGTGGCCTAGGTGGCCACTGTAGCTTTATGTGCACCTGGGGCCTGAGAGTTTCCTAGGATCTGATGACCACTGGGGCCCAGGTATCCACCTGGGATATCAGGCTTCAAGTGTACACCCAGGCTCCATGTGGACACCAGGCCAGGAGAATGCCAGCCCTTATCTGAACATCAGGTCCTAGATAGACGCCCAGGCTCCATATGTACATCAGGCCCCAGGTATACACTGGACTCCAGGTGGACACCACACTCAATTGGATACACACACTTAAGGTGGATACCAGGCCCCACGTGAATTCCTATACTCCAGGTGAACATCAGGTCCCAAGTGGATACCTGGACCCCAGATGAATACCAGTCTCTAAATTAATACCAGGCCTCAGATGGTCCTTAGGAACCATGTGGGCATTAGTCATCAGGAAGTTACCTAGGCCCAAAGTGGACATCAGGCCCCATGTTGACACAGATCTAGTTGGAAGTCAGGCACCAGGTGGACACCCAGGCCCTAGGTAAATACTTAGGTCCCAAGTTGACAGCAGGCCCTATGTGAACACTCAGAACTCAGGTGGACATCAGGCCTCAGGTGGACATCTGAGTTCATCTGGAACCTCATGTTACAGGCCCCATGTAAACACCAGGCCTTAGATGGATACCCAATCTCTAGGTAGACATCAGAGCTCAGATTGACACAAAGACTCCACTAGACATAATGTACCAATGAATATCCAGGCGCCCGGTAAATACCCAGGCCCCAGATTGACACCATGGTCTATGTGGACACACAGGCCCCGGGTAGTAAACAGGCCCAAGGTGGACACTGGACTGGACATCAGGTCCTAGGTTGACAACCGTGCTCCAAGTTGACACCAGGCCCCAAGTGAACATCTGGTCCCAGCTGGACACTAGTCCCCTGGTGAATACCTGGGCTCAAGGTTGACATCAGACCCTATGTGAACACTAGACCCCAGATAAACACTTATGCCCTAAGTGGACATCAGGCCTCAGGTGGTTACCCAGTCCCAAGGTGAACATCAGGACCCCGATGGGCACCAGTTATCAAGTGGATTCCTAGGCCCCAGGTGAATATCAAGCCCTAGGTGGATACCGAGCCCCAGGTGGATACCTGGATCCTGGTAGACATCAGGTCCCAAGAGGACACTAGAACCCAGGAGTACATTAGGCCACAGGTTAACACGAAGGCCCCAGATGAATACCAGGCCAACTTGTGGACATCAGGCCTGAGAAGGGTCCTTGGGCTCCAGGGGGATATCAGGCCCCAGGTGAACATCCAGCACTCAGATGAACATTAAGCTTCAGGTAGGCATCATGCCTCAGGTGAACTCCAGGCCCCAGCTGAACATCAGGTCCCACGTGGATGCCCAGAATCCTGGTGCACATCTGGTCACAGTTGGACATTCAACCCCAGGTGACCATCAGGCCATGGGTGAATACACGGTTTCCAGGTAGACATCAGATCAAAGGGGAACATCAGTCCCCCAGTGGACATCAGGCCCAAGGTGGACACTCAACTAGAGGTTTACATCAGGCCACATGTTGACACCTAGTCCCAGGTGGACATCAGGCCCCAGGTGGATACCTAGGCTTCCAGTGAATTTCAGACACCAGGTTGACATTCAGGCCCCCAGTGGTCATCTGGCCTCATGCGAACACTCAGACCCCAGGTGCAAATGATGTCTCAACTGGATACCAAACCCCTAGTTTGATACCCAAGGCCCAGGTGGACACCAGGTCCAAGGCTGACACTCAAGCCCTAAGTGAATACCAAACTCTAGGTGAATAATTCAACCCAGGTGGTCATTAGGACCCAGCTGGATACCAGTCCCCAGGTTAACAGAAGGCCCCCGGTGGGCACCTAGGCACCAGCTGGACATCAGGCCCTATGTAAACACCCAGGTCTCAGGTGAACACCATGTCCCAGGTGGACATCAGGCCCTAGGTGGACACGGGGCCACAGGTGGACATCTAGCCCCTGGGCAACATCCAGCCCCAGGTGGACATAACCATTTCCATGGATAAACCATTCCCAGGTGGATAGCAGGCCTCAAGAGGATGGCAGTCACCAGGTAGACATCAGGCCTCAGATAGACACCAAGGTCCCAGATGTACAGCAGGCCCCAACCGAACCCCAGACTCATGTGGACATCAGGCCACAGGTAGACACCAAGCCTTAGGTAGATACCTAACTTCAGGTAGACATCAGACCCAAGGTGGACACCCAGTCCCCAGGTGGACAGTCAGGCCCCAGGCACACATCAGGCCTTAAGTGGTCACCCAGGCCCCAGGTTAATATCCAGTTCCCAGGTGATCACCAAGCCCCAGGTAGACACCAGGCCGTAGGTGAGCAACAGGATGCAGTAGGTCATCAGGCCACAGCTGGATACCAGTCCCTGGTGAACACAAGGCCCCAGTGGGACACAGATCTAAGGCAGACATTAGGCCCCAGGTGGATCTGGGTGGAATTCACCCTGAGGGGGACATTCGGCCCCAGGTACGCATCAGGCCTCAGCTGAATAACCAGTCCCCAGGTGGACATTAACCCACAGGTCAACCACAGTCCCCAGGTTGATACCTTGTCCCCAGGTGGCTACTCAATCTGCAGGGTAACATTAGGCCCCTGTAGGATCCCAGGCCCCAAGTGGATTCCTAGGCCCCTGGTGAACATCAGGTGCAGGTGTCCAAGTAGGCCCTGGGTGGACATAACTGTGTACAGGTAAGGAGTTGACCTATGGGGAGGATGAGCAGTCAGAAGCCCACTGGGGTCCTGCGTAGGTCTTCTGGAAGGGGGAGGCTGAGGGGATGGAACCTTAAAGAAGCAACCTCACTTCTTTGGCAACAGACCCTAACAGAACTTAGAATTCTGGTAACCAGGCCAGGCACGGTGGCTCACACCTGTAATCCCAGCACTTTGGGAGGCTGAGGCAGGAGGATCATGAAACCAGGAGATCGAGACCAGCCTGAACAACATGGTAAAACCACATGTCTACTAAAAATACAAAAAGCAAACAAGGTCAGGAGATCAAGACCATCCTGGCTAACACAGTGAAACCCCGTCTCTACTAAAAATACAAAAATTAGCCGGGCGTAGTGGTGGGCGCCTATAGTCCCAGCTACTCGGGGGGCTGAGGCAGGAGAAAGGCATGAACCCAGGACACGGAGCTTGCAGTGACCCAGATCACGCCACTGCACTCCATCCAGCCTGGGTGACAGAGCGAGACTCTGTCTCAAAACAGACAAACAAACAAACAAAAAACAAACACAAAAAAACTAGCCAGGTGTTGTGGTGCATGTCTTGGGCCTGTAATCCCAGCTACTCAGGAGACTGAGGCAGGAGAATTGATTGAACCCAATAGGCGGAAGTTGCAGTGAGTCGAGATCATGCCACTGCACTCCACCCTGGCCAACAGAATGAGACAATGTCTCAAAAAAAAAAAAAAAAAAAAGAATCCCGATAACCAGGCACCCACATCCTAGAGTTAGCCCTGTAGCCAGCTCACTTGGTGGGAGATGCTCAAGAGAGCAAGACGTTCTTGTGCTGCATCCCCACAGCTCAAGGCTCCTGCTTCAGGAATGGCAGGAGTGAGAGCCTTTCTTTTCCAACGATGCCCTTGTAAGCTCATCGCTCACCCCAGATGCCTCTGGCCATTTGACAGAAGGTCCCCCCAGGTACCACAGGACAGGAGTCACCAGGTAGACATCAGGCCCCAGATGGAGCTACCAGGCCAGGCCTCACCAGTGATCCCACCAGGGCCACATCTGCACATTGTCCTTGTCCAGCTGGAGCCTCTGGAGCTCATTGAGACACAGGCACATGGTGAGGTCACCTGCAGTCTGGAAGTCTTTCCAGGGACAATGTTTTCAGGCTGAAATTCCTTTAAATTCAGTGAGGTTGTTTTCATGTTTGGAAATTCCAGTGGAAAGTGAGTGATATTGGTGACCTCTCTCCTTTTGCAGCTCCTGCTTCAGGTGCAGAAACACAGCTATTTCCAGTGCCAGCTGTTGAGCCAGTGCCAGCACCAGGGGCAGAGCCCCTTCCAGGGACAGCGCTGGAGCTAGAGGAAGCTCCAGAGCCCTCCTGCCGCTGCCCTGGGACTGCACAGGACCAGCCTAGTGAGAAGCTGCCTGACTTCATGGCACCTCCTGTAGAGCCACTGGCCTCAGCCCTGGAGCTGAAAGTGTGGCTGGAGCTAGAGGTGGCAGAGAGGGGGTGACCAGCACAGTTCCAGCCAGCAGCTCCCACACTGCTCCCAGTCCTGGGCACAGTGGAAGCTATGGAGGCAGAGACCAGGGTGTGCAACCTGGGCTCCTCTGCCTCACTGGAGAGGGACTTCTCTCATTCAGCAGAGCAGCAGCCCTGCTGCTGAAGGCCCTGCCGCTACTGCTGCTGGAGGTGTTTGCCTGCCTGCAGGAGGTGCTGGAGAGCAAGAAAAGGAGCCTGTGAGCAGGGGTTCCAGCAGGTCCTCCTGCTCCCAGAGGCGACCTCCTCCTCCAGGAATGGAGGTTTGCCCTCAGCTGGGCATCTGGGCCATTTGCCTCTAATGTGCTGCCCAGGATGGCCTCTTCTTGACAGGTGGACAGGGGTTGAGGGGGCCAGGGGGCATCTCCAAAGGAAGCTCTTAAACTCAGCAGCAGCACTCCAGAATCTCCATGCCTGCACCTGCCCAAGGATTTATTCATAGCTTAACTAAGAATTTCAAATTTCTACCATAACACTGAAATAAAGTTTGACTTTTTGAAACTTCCATGACTTCTTTCACTCCCTAATATTGTAGATGGTGTTTTTGAGGTGACGTTGAAAACCTCTGATAGTTGTGTATTTTGTTGTGGTTCTTTGGGTGATTAAATTACCATCTGATCAAGTGATATTGAAAACCCTTCAGGTATGGCTTTTAGAAGACTTTGACCTATTTTTGCTTGTGTTGACTCTCCCTCCAGCTTTGTGGAAAGAGGGATCATGTAGGTTCATTTCTCAGGCAGATCAGTCACCTTTTGCTATCAAAGTTTTAGCATCCATTTCGAAAATTTGATGTACAAGTTGATATTTTGGTGTTTTTAGCTAATCTGGGGTCAAAACAGAATGCCATAGATGAGGAAGCTTATAAACAAATTTGTTTCTCTCTGTTCTGGAGATGGCAAAATTCAAGGTCAAGTGGTTAGCAGATTCCATGTCTGGTGTGGGCTTGCTTTGTGGTTCATAGACAGCCATGTTTCTACCATGTCCTCACATGACAGAAGGGATGAGGGAGCTTTCTATGGTGCCTTCAATAGGGGCTACTAATCCCACTCCTGTGGTCCCTGCCTTCATGATCTAATCATTCCCCAAGGCCCTACCTCCAAATATCATCACATAGGGAATTAGATTTCAGCACTTGAATTTGAGGGGGACAATAACATTTGGTCTGTAGCATCAGGTTACCCAGAGCCTTATGCATTCGGAGGAAATCCAAAATCTTCTATAAGTGTTTGCTGGTCCCCTCCGGGCTTAGGGGAATCTTTAATTGCAGCTCTTGATTCAGCTTGGTCCAAGCCGAAATTCTACGTTTGCCTGAGTAACTTGTTCATGGGACAGAGGGAAGTATAGAGGCAACTGACCATTTGGAGTTTAGGACAATTGATGGAAGAGGGCTTGGCATCTGGATGAGAAGTGGAGGGAGAATAGAACAAAGGCACAGAAGGAGAGAGCACAATGAGAAAGGGGAAGAGGGACATCTGGACATAAGGGCCAACTGGAGGGCAGGGAAGGTAATTTTCCTTGCATTTTAGACTCAGACCACATATCACATCAGAATCACCTGAGGGAGACGTTTTCAATGCATATTCCTGGGTTTCTTCTCTTGGAAATTTGTATTAAATCTTGAGTTGTGCTGATTTATCCATATTTATCATAAGAATTTTGGATAATTCTTACTTTGAGAGGCCCAGGCAGTGGATCACTTGAGGTCAGGAATTCAAAACCAGCCTGGCCAACATGGTGAAACCTCATCTCTACTAAAAATACGAAAATTAGCCAGGCATGGTGGTACATGCCTGTAGTCCCAGCTACTTGGGAGGCTGAGGCAGGAGAATCACTTGAATCAGGGAGGCAGAGATGACAGTGAGCTGAGATCACACCACTGCACTCCAGCCTGGGCAACAATAAGACTCCATCTCAAAAAAAAAAAAAAAAGAATTGTGGATAATTCTGATGCAATTAGAAAACAAAGCAGAGCTTGACAACCACTGGGTTGGGATGTATATCAGGAAGACATTTGATTATGTAAAATAACTGCAAAGCAAACTGAAGGGGAAATATTTTAAACTGCTTGAATATAATTAGATAATTCAACTCTTCCTATGTATGTAGTTTGACCACGTATTTGATGTCTGCTATACTAAGATTGGAAATGTGTAGAAGTGTTTTTAAAAATCAGGTAGAAGCACAGAAAAAAGGAGTTGGAGAGAAAAGAAAACTAGCTATTGTCTGGTAACAAGAGAAGAGAAGGGAAACGAAGTAGCATATTTTTGTTCATTGTTTGATGGCATCTAAATTATAATCCCAAATATTTTTTTCTAAGAAATCCAATAATACAAGTATTCAGAGTGGAGTACCAACACTGATTTACTGGGAAAGAGAAGTGTAATCTGTTTTGCTGCATAATGTTGAGGGAGAAGGAAAGGAAAATTAGTTGAGTAAACAAGTAAGAGACTGGTCCTCAGGGAAGCTGTCTGCCTGAAAAATCACAACTACTGCACCTACAGATAAGCCCTGAACAGATAAGCATGCAGGGTCCAGCACCGATGCCTTCTGTTCTTTGTGTAATTGGCAAGCTCCCAGGTAAAATTTTCCTCCCCTTTTCAGGCATATACATGGCGGCCTCTGTGGGAACTTGCACAGGGAGGAGGGGGGCTTACCTAAAACAAACCCACAGTTATACAAACAGGAGAAGCCCACTTTGTGCTTGACTAGAGACATACCCACAGCTGGATATATAAAGAGAATTGTGCAGACAGTTTTATATATAGCTGAGAGGAGTTTCTTATAAAAGCTTTTTGATTCAACTGTAAAAACGGCAATCCACTTGGACGCCCTTGTCTGCTGCAGAGAGCTTCCTCCTTTTGCTTATTAAACTTTCACTCCCACCTCACCCGTGTGTCCCTGTTCCTTAATCATCTTGGTGGTGAGATGAAGAACTCAAGGTGATACCTCACAAGAGAGACTGCTACATTGTGTTGCATTGGTGAGACTGCAACTTTAAGAAGTGTGACTTTTATTGCTGCTGAATTATTTTATCTCCTACCCAGTTGAAAATAAAGGATATAAAGTGCTTAGGTTGAACACAAAGTCCTCTGCTCTAGGTAACATCTTCAGCAGCCACATTAGCAGAGGCATGGGTGGTAATGGTGGAATAGATGTCTCTTTGCTTCTGACAGGGTGTCTGCTTATGTGTTAAACAAAATAGTATGGTATATATTTCATTAAGAAATCTGCTAAAAAATGAAGTAAAAGAGGTTCATGTTCTTAAGAGGCACAGGATTTGCTACGGCAGCAAGACCAAAAGGCTTAAGTAACAAAAATGTGCATAGTAGTTACAAACATTTTCATCTAAACAAAACAATGTGAGCATCTGCATATGACAATAACTCATGCAAAAATATTTTTAACTGAGATTGAAATCATTTTATACATAACGTGTTATCACTGTATTCTCAGGTAATATATTGTTTGTATATAGATGTTATAAATAATAACTTATTTAAGTTATTCATCATTTATACAACAAATAATTCTTTGGAATCTACAAAATGCTGGTTTTGTTCTAGTCACTGAATGTACAAATTGATTTAAAATATGTGTTCTTAGAGTGTGGTAGATTAAAAAATACAAAATAGGCCGGGCACAGTGGCTCACACCTGTAATCCCAGCACTTTGGGAGGCCAAGGCAGGTGGATCACCTGAGGTCAGGAGTTCGAGACCAGCCTGACCAACATGGTGAAACCCCATCTCTACTAAAAATACAAAATTAGCCAAGGGTGGTGGCACAAGCCTGTAGTCACAGCTACTCGGGAGGCAGAGGCAGGACAATCGCTTGAACCTGAGAGGTGGAGGTGGCAGTGAGCCGAGATTGCACCATTGCACTCCAACCTGGGCAACAAGAGCAAAATTCTGCCTAATATATATACATATATTGTGTATATACACACATATGCATATATGGTGTATATACACACATATGCATATATGGTGTATATACACACATATGCATATATGGTGTATATACACACATATGCATATATTGTGTATATACACACATATGCATATATTGTGTATATACACAGATATGCATGTGTGTATATACACCATATATGCATATGTGTGTATATACATATATGCATATGTGTGTATATATTACATATATGCATATGTGTATATATATTACATATATACGTGTGTGTATATTACATATATGCATGTGTGTATATATTACATATATACGTGTGTGTATATATTACATATATACGTGTGTGTATATATTACATATATACGTGTGTGTATGTATATTACATATATACATGTGTATGTATATACATATATACATAATATATAATGTATGCATATGTATAATATACATATATATCTGTCCAATATATATACATAAATACATATATTAAATATATATACACATATATATTGGAAGTTGTACTGCTGAAAACAAGAGCTACCAACAAAAAAATTTCAGGAAACCTAGTGTGATTATTTTTAATAGAAATCAATATTTTAATACAGGTCTCTTGTTTTTTCTTGTGGAAATAAATGACAAGATGGAATTTCTGGGTGTTTGGTATCTGAATATTTAAGTATAGCAGGTATGGTCAGTTTTTCAAAGACATTTTACCATCTTACTTGTCCATCGGCAACTCATAAGATATGTGGAACAACGTCCTCTCCAACAACCTCTAGTATCAGTCTTTGTAAAGTTTGTCAATTAAATGGGTGTTTTTTAGTTTTTGTTTTTGTTTTTCTTTTTCAAACCGTCTCACCCTGTGACCCAGGCTGTAGTGCTGTGGCGTGATCTTAGCTCACTGCAGTCTTTGCCTTCCAGGTTCAAGTGATTCTCCTGCCTTGGCCTCTCAAGTAGCTGGGACTACAGGTGCCCCCCACCACACCCAGCTAATTTTTGTATGTTTAGTAAAGACAGGGTTTCACCATGTTGGCCAGGCTGTTCTCAATCCTGACCTCAGATGGTCCACCTGTCTCAGCCTCCTAAAGCGCTGGGATTACAGTCATGAGCCACCGCACTTGGCTGGATTTTCTTTCTCTCTCACTCTTTCTCTCTCTCTCTCTCCTTTAAGTTCTGGGATAAATGTGCAGAACATGCAGTTTTGTTACACAGGTATACATGTGTCATGGTGGTTTGCTGCAACATGGGTGTAGGTTTTGCAGGTAATTATTATATTATTAAAAGATAACAGAATACCTAGCTAAAAAAAAAATGCAAGGAGGCATTGATGGGCACATGTTTACTGAGCACATCCTGACTCCAGAATTAAAAATCCAATTTATGCCTCTGTAGTCCAATAAAATTTTTCCTTAAGAATCCAGGGATCAGACTTTCATCTCAGCAACCACTCCAATATGGTTTCTCACCTACTCATTCCAACGAGCTGCTCATATCAAAATATAAGTGCTATCCATATTGTTAAATTATAAATTGAACCATAACTTCTCGGCCTTCATCTTAATTTATATATCAGCAGCATTTCACACAGTTGATCTCCACCTTCTCTTTGTAAAACTTTTTTATAGAATTCCAGAACACTTAACTTACTTTCCCCCCACCACGTTTTTGATAATTACCCCTAGTCCTTTTTTGCAGGTTTCATCTTTACTATTTTTTAAATGTTAGAGGACCATTAGGCTCAGGACTTTGACTTCTTATCTTTCTTATCTTTGCTTTCTTACTAATTTTTGTGTCATTAATTTCCTGATATTTCATATTACACCTAAACACTGGACACTACACCCAACACTCCCTGACTTTTCCACGTGGATGTCAGTTAAGAATCTCAAAATTAATATGTCTGTATGGAGCCACTGAAACTCCCAAAATTTGCTCTTCCCCATTCTGTTTAATGGCAACTCCCATTTTATAGTTTCTCAGCTCAATATTCTTGGTGTCCCCTTTTAATTCTGTCTCTGTAGCTCTGTCACTCTCTTCCTGTATCTGTCTGATTCTCTCCCTCTCTCTCCTCTCTCTCTTGCTCACTCTCACTCTTGCTCTCTTTCCCTGCTTCACACACACACAAACACACACAGACAGACACACACACACACACACACACATTTTCAGATCTGATGTGTATGGAATTCCTGCCAGCTTTACCTTTAAAGTGTAGTAATTCCAAATGTTGTTGAAAATTCACCTTCCCACCCCCACCACTTGGTAACTATAGCGCTTTCCACACAAGGCCAAGTGCACAGATTTCTTGGGGAAATAATGAGAACTATTATACACTCTTATTTCAAGGACCCTTAAAATTATAGGATTGCCATATTTGATACTAATTTAAGCTTCTGTCATTGCCCTTTTTTCAATCCAGTCTCCACACAGCTACCACAGTGTGCAAGTAGAAGTCTCAGCCATATCACCAAACTCCTGCTTTAATGTCCCTACTCCATTGCTTCTTTTCTCCTTCAGAAGAGTTTAAGCTTAATGAAGCTGGGCAACTTTACATATTTTTCCATGAGCTGGAGATCACTTGGTGTAAGGTAAAAATGATCAGTAAATATTTTCAAATAACAGAATCTACGAATAATAGTCTTGTTTCTTTGAGAGTACATTGACTTTTAAAAATCAAGAAAATAGATTGGTCAAGAGAATTCTGCTTGTTTTGATTTTGTTATCCCTCGATTAGATTAACTGTGTTAGTATAAAAGTCAGTGTGGAAAGCTATAAGCAATTCCTAAACTTTAAAATGAAAGGCATGGAATTTAAATATCTGTTCCTTTTATTCAAGCAACCAAAAAACATAACTTTTTAAATATATTTTATGTATGTATGAAATCTAAATTTATTTTTCTCTCTTTATCCCTGAATACTTTTTAAAGTTATTCATGTCCTCATTATTTTTTAATCCACTTCAGTCACATTTTAAAATATATTTTCGACTTCATTAAGAATATCTTTGTGTTCCACTGAATAGCTTGCCAAATAATAAAACATTAGCAGTATAATTTCCTCATAAACTTTATTTAATTTGCTTGGTTAAACATAGATTTCCTACTCTCAACTCATAATTTCATTCAAGTATAATATATTCTACTTGACATTTGCAGGGTTTTCATACCATGCATTTGTCATTGAAATTGGTTTTTGATATTTGAACCACTAGTTTATAATTGTCTTGTTGGTTAGACTGGTCTGTAGAATCTTTCTTTGTTTTGATTCTGTGGTTTATTCATTATGGAATAGCTGTGCTACTGTAAATTTTGAGGTCAAAAGCTTAAAACATTTTATGTATTTTAAAACAAAGTGGATGGCATTTAAATATCTATTCCTTAAAATTTGGAAGAAAGGTTAACACCATATAAACCCAGAGCCTGTTTTTTAGATTAGTAGCATGTAGACATTTTCAATTTCTTCTAAAGTTGAAAAAAATAAACATTTTATATTCATAGAATGCTTGATGAAGGTAAATATTTAATTTTCACTTAAAAGAAATTTGGTTACATTGAAAGGAAATTTGGCTAATATAAGTGAGATACATATCTAATTAAAACAATAATTTAAGATAAATAATGCTCAAAGAACAGTGGTCGTTGCATTTATTCCAGAGAGAGGACAATTATCCTGATCTGGCTGTAATAACGTAGTAGGTAGAACTGCTGGCGTGGACACCCAAGCAAGGAAGGAAAGCTGGTGTCTCAAGGGGTCCCACTGAGATGGAAAGGGCTCAGGGCCCAGACTGTTGATGTCACCTGGACCCAACCACCACATCTTGGAAGAAGAAATGACCCTCCCTTCCTGGTGTTGCCCCAAACAAGGAGCTTAGCAGTGTTGCACACAGGATAGTCCTTGCAGGAGACATGTTTGACAAGCTGCTGAGGTGCCTGATGGGGCCAGGCTTTTTTTCATGAAATGAGTTTGCATCCTGAGGAAGCCTCTTTATTGGAAACCTGGCAGGGATCCAATTTCCCCTTTGCCTTAACCCCGTAGGAGCATAGTAGATAGGGAGGAGGTCACCCAGGTGGCTGTTCCTGCTTGGCCCCCACTTCCCAGAACCTTCCAGGCAGGGAGAGCCGCTGAGATCACTCCATGGGCTGCTCACATGGGGTCTGGACCCAGCCGCCCTCCTGTGCCTGGCAGGCAGCCCCTGGGCCATCACAGGACCCACTGTGTGGTGATCAGTGGCCCACCACCTGCCCTTGTGGTGGGTGCGGTTCACAGGTGCTGCCCCAGTCCTGGCACACTGGCCTTCCCAGCCTGGCCCAGGATAGGGGATGTGAATGATCCTTGCCTGTGCCCCTTCAGACCATGTGAGGTTGGACACTCACTGCAGAAGTCCCTCCAGGTCCCTTTTCAACTGAGTTGTGGGGGACTTGCTTAGTCCTCATGCCCAGGGTCAGGGGAGGGGTGCAGAGTCTGCACCCTAAATCCCCTAGGGCCTGAGGGAGGTCTCCCAGGTTATCTCTGTCCTCTCCAGTGACATGAGTCCTCCCAGATGGCCTCAGCCCTCTCAGGTGACTTGCTTCCATGGTGACTCTGGCTCTTGCAGGAGGTGGGCTACTACAGGGACATGAGCTGCCTAACTGCCATCCTCCTCCTGTATCTGCCAGAGGAAGACACCTTCTGGGGACTGAATCAGCTGATGGCTGAGGAGAGGCACTCCCTGCAAGGTAGGCGGACAGCTACCCCCAGGGCCTCATGCAGCCAGGCCATGGGACGGCCACCCTGGCTGGGCGATCCTGACTTCCAGACAAGGCACCTTCCTTGCTTTCCAGCTTGTTAGGAGCCTTCAGGACATCCCTGCTGAGGGTCCCACAGGGGCCCAGAGCTGAACAGGGACCCTTTCACTTCAAGGCAGACACCTTTCATTCCCAACAGCAGAGGCCGCTGCAGCCTCCCCCTGGCCACCCTGTGTGTCCCAGAGCCACAGCCCTCTAGCCCTGAGTTCATGCAGGTGACTCTCACTTCCCCAAGAGTCCTCCTACCTCCCAGCTGGCCACACTCCCAGCTGCCCCCCCAGCCCACAGATGGGCCGATGAAGTCAAGATGGCAGTGTCTGCCCATCCCATGTCCCCTAGCCAGACCCCATGTCCAGGAGATGGCCATGTAGTCCCTCGGCACCCACCCGGTTCCCTCCACTGGCCACTGCCTGCCGCAGCCCTGCCTCACAGCCTCAAAGGCAGGCCTGCCCTCCTGGTACCTTTACCCAGGATGCTGCTGTGCAGTGCCTCCAGCTAGGGCCCACCTCTCTAGAGCTGAGGCCACATGGTAGGGTCACCTGATGGAAGGGAGGAAGGCCTCAGGGTCCGGGGTCCCCTGCCACTGCCCAGCTCTTCCAGCTGATGGCTCCACATCTTGGGAGTGGGCTCTGATGCATGATGGGTCAGGGGCTTCTCAGGTTTCTACAGCCCAAATGCTGCCCAGCTCTGGAGGCTCCTATCCCACCAGGGGCAGGTATAACACAAATCCTTCCCAAAGATCATGCGGTACCTGCTGAGTGGATGACACCCTCAACTCTTTCCCAGAGGCCCAGGGTCTCATGGGGCAGGGAAACAGGGGAAGATGGAGCTCCTTGCAGGCCTGACAAAGGGGCTGAGTCCCAAGCCAAGGCCTCACCCAAGATGAGGATTCTCCATGGGTTTGGAGTTGGGTTTCCTTTTCCTGCCCTGGAGGAGGAGGAAGAGGTACTAGGATGGGGGCTGAGCTCCAGCTGAGCAGGGTTAAGGGAAGTGTGTCCACCAGGCATCTGTGCATGGGGGAGTTGTTGGGAAAGCACTGGCCACTGCCCAGTGTTCTGCCCCAGGGCAGCTCAGGGGGCCCTGAGCACCTAGGGTCCAGGAAGTGCCGTGCATTGAGGTTTGTTGAGTTGGCTCCTCTGGTGTTTTGTTGATGTGGTAAGGAGACAAATGGAGACCCCAGGACAGGGACTCTCCTGTCCCACAAGTGCCCAGCTCCCCCAGGAAGACCTGGCTCACCCCAAGTCAGCAGGAAGCACAGGAAAGTTTCTGCATGGCACAGAAGCCAGGCCCTCCTCAAGAGGGGGCATCACACAGCAGGGGTCAGGATTCAGGCCCGCTGCTATTTCCACATTATTCATTTTATAAGGTGATATGGTTTGGCTGCGTTGCCACCCAAATCTCATCTTGAACTGTAATTTCCATAATCCTCATGTGTCCTGGGAGGGACCCAGTGAGAGGTAACTGAATCATGGCGGCAGTTTCCCCATGCTGTTCTCATGATAGTAAGTGAGTTCTCATGTGATCTGATGGTTTTATAAGCAGCTGGCATTTCCCTTGCTTGAGGTGATGAATGCCCCATTTACCCTGATGTGTTTATTACACATTGCATGCCTGTGTCAAACTATCTCATGTACCCCATAAATATATACACCTACCATGTACTCATATAAATTAAAAATAAAAATAAATTTTTTAAAAAAGTGTGAGTTTTAAAGGTGAGGTTTGCCCTCCAGCGCTGGTGCCTGCCAGGTGTGACCTTCACATCATCTTTCCACATGGTCCAGGCCCCCATCTGCAGAGGCCAACAGTTCCCAGAGTGACCTTCCTCAGAAAACAGGGTCTTGGAGGAGACAGTCAGAGGAGGGGGCCTCGTCCTCCCCACTGCACAGCCCCTTGTGGGGATTGGAAGTGAGGGTCTCTGCCCACAAGTTATCAGTCACCCTAAGCTGTTTTGTGGGAGGAAGCATAGGGAATATAGGTCAGTGCTGGGACAGCGTTTCCTGATCCTGACTTGGAGAAGGTGTTAAAATCTTGACATTCCCGACACCTCCTTTGTGAGAGCCCCTGTCCTGCAGGTCTCACAGGGTTGTTGTGAGGGTCACCTGTGGTGATGGGTTTGGAAGTGCTTTGTGAATGACACAGTGGGCCTTCCTATTCCTGTCATTGGCCTTTCGACCTTCAATACTAATTGCCTGGGGATCTCCAGGCCTCAAGGTCTAATCCTGGAAGGGTATGAGATGTCCCTAGTGGAATATTCTACACCTCCTGGGAGGTCTCTCACTTCAACCTTCACCTGACATAACCCCTGCTCCTGTTCCCTCAACCTGGAGAGCTTGCCCAGGAGCACATGGTAGTACTGGACTGACCTCTTTGGAAAGGGTGATTACATCCTCATTTCAGCTCTCCCTCCTCCTAGCTTTCCACGTAGAAATCCAGGGCTCCATGCAGCATTTGCTGGACATGAGGGGAAAACTTTTAGGGCAGGGATCTGCCCTGGGTGGGGACAGAGGAGTATCCTGGAGTCTGAGTGTCAGGAGTGTGAGACCTGCCCAGCTGGCCAGCCCCTGTCCCCATGCTGCTCGATGCATGATGTTTCCTGCACAAGCTTCCTTTAGAGGGAAGCTTCCGGAGTGACTGCAGTGAGGGCCATGCTGTTGGGGGTGACAGAGCAGCCCTGGAGGCCCTCTGCTCTTACCCTGGCAGGAGGTGGCCAAAAAGAAGCAGGCAGAGGAAGCTTCTCCAACACGCTTGGAAAGAAATTTCCACATATCACTCACGTCACTCTTGCCACTAGAAGGAAAATTTCTACAGTGGAGTGGAAGAAAATGACTATGCTGTGAGAGAGAATGGATGCATCCAGAAGAGCAAGGCAGGAGGGAAATGTGCCCATTGCCATAATTTTGTGTCTTTTGAAGACATTTGCCAGAATTCTACTTTTGAAGGCTGCCCCTTTTGACAGTCACTTACTGAGGAAGCTGTGGGACATTTTCAAAGCCTTTTATATAGAAAAAAAAACACAAAATATACTGCTGTGGGTCTGTGTTCAGAGACTACGAAGAGCACAGATGCCACTGTTCTGTGTCGCAGATGCTGTGGGAAGTGCCTTAACACACAGAGGTTTGCTTCATGCAACCGGGTGAGGAACATCTCTAAAACATTTTACAGTCAAGGAAATTCAGTGTTCAGGAGGTTGAATGCGTTATCCAAGATCACACATATGTCCTGACAGATTCGGGGTTCAATGAAGAATTATGTATTTTAATTAAGAATTATGTATTTTGATTAATAATTATATATTTTAATTTCACATTTTAAATTTCTGCAGTTTTCTTCCATCACTTTTCACCATGCTTTCTACACTTGGAATTACTTTTTTTGACTTCTTGATCTTCTTTACTTGTATGTTATTGATTTTCTACAAGTTTTAACATATATGATTAAAGAGTATTTCTTAATGTTTTAATAATTATCCTAGAATAAAATATATTTACTTTGATGTATGCATTGGATATTACAGTGTATTGTGTACATTTTCAAACACTTTGTGTTATACCAGAAGCATTATTCAACAGTGGTCATTTTTTTACCTGAACTATGTTCAGAAAATCTTTCCACCACAGTACAAAAAGATCGACTTCATTTTGTTAACAGATGGATGTGCCATAGTGCAATTAACTGTTTAATTATCCTGTTATCCTGTTGTGGATATTTAAGTTCAAACAATGCAGTAATAAATATGCAAGAGTGCTTTTAGACATTAAACAATGTGGCTCTAAATTAGGAACTAGTGCCTGTAATCCCAGCACTTTAGGAGGTCGAGGTGGGTGGATCACCTGAGGTCAGAAGTTTTAAGACCAGCCTGGCCAACATGGCAAAACCCCGTTTCTACAAAAAATACAAAAATTAGCTGGGTATGGTGATGCGCACTTGTATCCCCAGCTACTCGGGAGGCTGAGGTTGGACAATTGCCTGAACCCACGAGGCAGAGGTTGCAGTGAGCTGAGATCCTGTCACTGCACTCCAGTCTGGGGGACAGAGTGAGACTCTGTCCCAATAATAAATAAATAAATAAATAATCTAGAAGTACAATTGCTTAGCCAAATTTCTTATGCATTTTGAATGATAAGAGTTACTGCCTAATTTCTGTTACAAAGGCTATGGTAATTTACACTCAAAACACAGAATAGGTTGGTTGTTGTCACATATGGAGTCTTACTGTTGCCGAGACTGGAGTGCAGTGGTGTAATCCTAGCTCGTTGTAGCCTCCAACGCCTAGGCTCAAGCAATCCTCCCACCTCAGCCTCCCTCCCAATTAACTAGGATTACAGGTGCATGCCACCACACCCGGCTAATTTTATTCTTAGATATGGGATCTTGCTATGTTGCCCAGGCTGGTCTTGAAATCCTGGCCTCAAGGTGACCTCAGCCTCCAGTGTAGCTGACATTACAGGCGTGAGACACTGTACCTGGCTGAATGAGTGCCTCTATCCTGACACTTGTGTCCCCACGGGATCCTGCAGAATTCAGGACCCTGTCCACACAGGGGAAAACTCTCTGTTGCAGTCCTGATGACTGAGAAGGGAGCTTACCCATGGCTCTCTTGGTCATTTTTATTTAATAGTGAGCACAGAACTTCACATTTTCTGGAATGTTCCCATATGATTTTGTGAGAGAAAAGAGAATAGAGACCCCAACCCCAAGCTCACTGTGTCAAAGGGAAAATTAAGCTTGGGAACTGAGTTACGCAATACTGCCTTCCTTGTTCTCAAACACATAGCCATAACTTCACAACCCTGTGTCATAGCCTCATCCATAAGCCAGGTTCCCACAGTGACAGAAGGCCACATGTCTCCTCAGATGTCCTCCCTCACAATTTGCTGTGAACCCCTAAATCTTTCAGAATGCACATCCCACCTGTAAACTATCCCTAAAAGTGAGTCGGCTCAATTTCACCCTGACAATCTCAATTACCAGCTTATTTTCATAGTTCTGGGACAAGGTCAGGACCAGAAATCATCCCTCTGCCTACCCTGAGATGAATGAATCATTGAGTTTTCCTCTACTCCACTCCCTCTATTCACATGCTTACTTTATCTTATGTAAAATGGAGATTTACTGAATGTGAGATGAATGCATAACTGTTTCCTCTGCTCCCTCCTTTCCTATGTAAAATGTAGATATCCTGATGCTAATCAGAGCCACACAAGAATGCAAGCATTTGCTTCACTGCCTACCTTCAGTCTCATGGGAGTTCTCTGGATTTCTTGTATCAGCATGTGGACCTCTTTAGCAAGATTGAGGACAGTTTCCTGAATTATATCCTCAAAAACATTTCCCAAGTTGCTCACTTTCTCTTCTTCTCTGTTAGAAATGCCAATAAGTCATCCGGGCACAGTGGCTCATGCCAGTAATCCCAGCACTTTGGGAGGCCAAGGTGGGAGGATCACCTGAGGCCAGAAGTTTGAGACCTAACTGGCCAGCATGGCGAAACCCCATCTCTACTAAAAATACAAAAATGAGCGAGGCATGCTGGCACACGCCTGTAATCTCAGATACTTGGGAGGCTGAGGCACGAGAATTGCTTGAACCCAGGAGGTGGAGGTTTCAGTGAGCCAAGATCATGCCACTGCACTACAGACTGGGTAACAGAGTGAGATTCTGTCTCAAAAAAAGAAAATTCCAATAAGTCATAGATTTTGTTCCTTTACCTAATCCTACATTTCTCAAAAGTTTGGTTCATTATTTTTAAATTCTTTTTTTATTTTTGTCTGACTGGGTTGATTCAAAGGTCTGGTCTTTGAGCTCTTAAATTATTTCTTCTATTTGGTCTAGTCTGTTGCTAAGGCTGTGAACTGTTTTTTGAAATTCCTATAGTAAATTTTTCAATGCAAGAAGCTCTGCTTGGTTCTTTCTCAAAATGGCTATGTTGTCATTCAAATCCAGGATCGTTGTTATGGGGTTGTTGTTGGATTTCAACTTTCTGTTGGATTTTGGTGATTTTTTTTTGCCACTTATATCTTGAATACTATACCTGTCATTTCAGACGTTCCATTCTGGTTAGGACTCATTGCTAGATTGCTGGTGTAATCCTTTGGAGGTGATGGAACATTCTGGCTTTTTGTATTGCCAGAGTTCTTGTGATGGTTTCTTCTCATCTGAGAGACTTGATGCTTCCTTTGTTGAATTTGCTATCATTTGGAAAGAGGTTTTTTTTTTAAATTTTTCATTCTTTCTTTCTCTTAAGGGTATGACTGTGGTGTATGTTGTATAGGATCATTTTGCTTCATTTCTGGGTACTTTCAGAGGACCAAGGCTCTGTACAAGTTCCTTGGTTGCAGATAGGCTCCTGTAGTGGCTTGGTGTGGTGATGTATTTTTGTTTGGTGGTGTAATTCAGGCTTCAGTCCAGTAGACGGTGCTTAAGAGTAACAGCTGGCTGCAGGGTCTTCTCCTCTGTGTACTTGTCCTCGACAGGTGCAGAAGTGACGAAGTGCCAAAAGCACCCTGTCCCAGTGTGTACTAGTCTTCAGCAGGGGCAGAGCTGCTGGAGAAACCTAAGAAGCAGCCTCTTTCAGCCCATGTTCCTTGGGCCCCAACAGGATGACCACTGCTGGATCTGCAGCAGTGCACTAGGAAGGGGACAGAGGGCAAGAGATGACCACCTCTCTAAATCTGTTCCCAGGCTTTGGTGTGCCCCTTTCAGCAGCTGATATCGTGATCATGTTTCCTTTGACCCAAGGGGTGGCTTTGGCAAGCTGTATTCCTCCTTCCCTTAGGGCTGGTCCTCACCAAAGTTTAGGTCTCCTGGGGAATGGGGTTCACCTCCCTCTTGTTTCTTGGAGCTGATGGAGTACTCTCTCAACTGACCAAGGGAGCAGGCTGAGACACCCAGCAATGACACACACAGACCAGTTCCAGGTTGCAAAGCTGTTCTTGGCTGCAAGTCTCACCATCCTTGAGAAACCTCTGCTTTAGCAACTCTCTTCCCACTACAGTCCTGCAAGAGGAGAGAGCCTAATTCCAACACTTACTGCTGGGGCACTTTCCACACTTAACACTCAATTCTGGCTGTTGAGGCTGCTCCCCTGCTCCAGAGCAAGCACTCCAATTCCTAGCCCAAGATTAAAGTGTCTGCAGTGGCCACCATTGCCAGGCACCAAAAAATGATTGACTTTGTATGAGCCCAGATTAAAAAGGTCATCCTTCTCTCAGTCCCAGGTCTGGGGAAATGCCTGCAGCTTTTCTGAGTGTCTTTCCTCTTTCCCCATCTCTCAGCCACTTTTGTGCTAGCTCCAAGGCTTGGGAGAAACAGAGTGCTCTCCCTTAATCTGGATTGCACAGATCCCCAGTGAAAATGTGAGTTGCAGAGGGAGACTGGCTGCTCTTCTCTTGTACTGGAGTTTCACTCCCTTTTATGAACCAAATGCTATCACAGAGTCTGCTTTCCCACCTCCCCCTCCACAGGGTCTGGAGTGTTTTTCTGTATTCCTGTGAATTCCTATTTTTCTTCTTGAATTGAAGCTCACAAAGTTTATCTTTATGCTTATTTTTCTACTTCCAAGTGGCTGAGGCACACTGAAAGCCCCTAATCCATCATTCTAGGAAAAAAGGATGGTTTAAATAAAGGAATGTTCACATAAAATATATATTAATTAGTGCAAACATATTTTATTTGACATGAGTTAGGTGAATCTTTGATATATTAATTAATTTTAAAATTGTTAAATAAAATTAGAAATATCTTCGAATTTGCCAAGGTATGTTTCTCTCCTGGGATTACTGGTCAGTTTTATTTTTTCCTTGGATAGACATTTTAAGCCATAAATCTTGACATAGACCTGATGTAGACCTCCATACCTTTCCCAGATGTGGGACGGAGCAACTGGGACAGGTCCATCCTAGCACTAAGGGATGATTAAACCTAACTTGTAGTCTTTGTACAACTATAAACATGGTTGATGCTTTAAGAGAAAGATCTTGATGGAAAGGGTTAAATGTAAAAATTGATCATATGAATTGGGTCATTCTTATCACACCAAATAAAACCAACAACAAGCCAGGGGGAGGAGGCATTCAGGGCAAAAACACCACTCCAAAAGCGTAATTCTCTGCATGCCTGGCTGCTGAAATTACCTGCTTTAAGCTGAAACCAGTTTTATCAAATGGTTACTGAAACAACTTCTTGAACACTAAGACTAGCTTTACCCACCACTGTCCCTCACCTATCAGAGCCTGCCAGCTCTCAAAAACCTTACTGGTGCCAGTGAACTTTCTCAAAGAGAAATACATACCGTTTTTCTCTCTGTCTCCCTTTTTTATAAAACCTCTAACTTTCTCTTTATGTTTTGGACATACTAAAGACACCCATTCTGCATGTATGTGTGAAATTGTAATACTTGTATCTCAAATAAAACATTTTAATTTCAGATGTTTGTCTCTATATTTATTTGACTTTGACAATCTGATATTATTTAGCATTATTTCCAGTCTCCCAAATAATGTCAAAATTTTGTTATGTTAGATAGGAATATCTTGTTATTCAACTTGAAGGTAAACTGCTTGATCAATGCATGTAATTCCTTGACAGATTGTCAGCACCTCTAAGACAACATGTAGATATTGCTCATTATTAACACATTTCATCTTTTCATGATAAATTACAAAAATTTAATTTTCATTTTTAAAATGCAAACCATTATGCCTTGTATTATGGCATTCTTGCGTTACTATAAAGGAATACCTAAGCACTACATAATTTATACTGAAAAAAAAGATTGACTTGGCTCACAGTTCTGCAGGCTGTACAGGAAGCTTTGCATTGGCAGTTGCTTGACTTCAAGAAGGGTCCTCAGGGAGCTTTTACACATGGCAGAAGGTGAAGCAAAAGAAGGTATGTCACATGGCCAGAGCAGCAGCAAGCAGGGAGAGGTGCCACACACTTTTAACAGCCAGATGTAATGAGAACTCACTCACTCTTGCAAGGACAGTGCCAAGAGGATGGTGTTAAACATGAGAAATCAGCCTTCATGACCGCATCACCTCCCACCAGACCCCGACTCCAACACTGGAAATTACAATTCGACATGAGACTTAAAGGGTACAACATCCAAACTATTTCATTCCATCCCTGGCCCTTCAAATCTCATGTTCTTCTCACATTGCAAAATACAATCATCCCTTCTCAATAGTCCCCCAAAAGTCTCAACCTGTTTCGGCATCACTCGAAAGTGCAGTTTCTTCTGAGACAAGGCAAGTCCCTTCCACTGATGAGCCTGTAAAATCAAAACAAGTTATTTACTTCTAAGATAAAATTGGGGTACAGGCATTGGGTAAACATTCCCATTACAAAAGGAGAAATTGGCCAAAAGAAAGGGGCTACAGGCCCCACACAAGTTCAAATCCCAGCAGGGCAGTCATTAAAACTCGATGTTCCAAAATAATCTCCTTTGAAACCATGTCCCACATCCTGGGAACATAGAGCGTTCCCACGATGCATAGGGTGGGCTCCCAAGGCCTTGGGCTGCTCTGCTCCCACAGCTCTTCTACACTGAAGGCATGAGCTGCTGGTGGCTCTATCATTCTGGGATCTGGAGGGCAGCAGCCCCCCTCCCACAGCTCCACTAGGCCGCCCCCCCAGTCAGGACCCTGAGTGGGGCCTCCAACCCCACATTTCCACTTGGCACTGTCCTAGAAGAGGTCCTCTTTGAGAGCTCCAGCCGTGCATAGTCTTCTCCCTGGGCATCCAGCCTTTCTCATACATCCTCTGAAATTTAGGCAGAGAATGCCAAGCCTCCTTCACTCTTGCACTTTGCTTACCTGCAGGCTTAACGCCACATGGAATCCACCAAGGCTTATAGTTTGCACCCACTGAAGCCATGACCTGAGCTCTATCTGCAGCCCTTTGAACCAAGGCTGGAGCTAGAAGGGCCAGGATGCAAGGAACACCCTCCTGGGGGTGGTACAGGACAGTGATGCCCTGGCCCTGGTCCAAGTGGAACAGGAATTAAAAGAAATTAAAGAATGTGTAAGCAGAAACTCAGTTGTATGTGAGAAAACCCAATTCCCCCTGAGAAAGAGAAAGAGCTGGAGCCCTTTACAAATTAACTGCCTGTTTTTCTGTGGCTAGTGAGCTTCATCTCTCCTTCTTTCCCAGGCATTGTGAAGACCCTGTTTCCCTAGCTGTGCAGCTGCAAGGTCACTAGACAGATAAACTCAAGTCGTAAAACATGTTTTTCCTTGAAAAGTAAGAAATGATATAATGCATGTCTCAATTAATTGAATAACTGTCTTTGTTTCTCGCTTCTGTAATATGCTTCCCCCTGCACAGATCTCCCCACTCCCCACCACCCCACAAAATGCTTAAAAGTTAACTTAAGTCTTTGTTCAGGACTCAGTCCTTTGGATGTTAATCTGACTGGGCCAGTGCACCTAAATAATAAATATCCTCCTCAACCCCATCAGTCTCTCTGATTCCTTAAAAAATCCCACTACAGCCTGGGCATGGTGGCTCATGCCTGTAATCCCAGCACTTTGGGAGGCTGAGGCAGGCAGATCACGAGGTCAGGAGATTGAGACTATCATGGCTGAGACAGTGAAAACCCGTCTCTACTAAAAATACAAAAAATTAGCCAGGCATGGTGGCAGTCACCTGTAGTCCCAACTACTTGGGAGGCTGAGACAGGAGAATGGCATGTCCCGGAAGGCAGAGCTTGCAGTGAGCTGAGATTGTGCCACTGCACTCCAGCCTGGGTGACAGAGTGAGACTCCATCTCAAAATAAATAAATAAATTAATTAATTAATTAATTAATTAATTTTTAAAATCCCACTACACAAGAAACCATTCTTTCATCCTAGACCTCTAGGTCTGTGCTAGGATGAGCTGCTACAAAGATTTCTGAAATGCCTTCAAGGCCTTTTTTTAATTGTCTTGGCTATCAGCACCTAGCTCTTTTTCAGTTATGTAAATGTCTCTAATAAGTGGTTGCTCCACAGCCTGTTAGATTCTTCCCCTGAAAATGCTTTATCTTCCTTTGCCAAATGGGCAGGCTGCAAATTTTCTATACTTGTATGGTCTGCTTCCCATTTAATTGTAAATTCCAACTTTAAGTCATTTTTTTGCTCCTGTGTCTGAGTGTTCAAACTTCCTCAGATCCCTAGTACATGAACAGACTGCAGCCAAGTTCTTTGCAAAGGCATAACAGGCATGACCTTTATTCCAAGTCTCAGTAAGTTCCTCATTTTCATCTGAGACCGCATCAGCCTATCCTTCACTGTCCATATCACTATCAGCATTTTGGTTACAACCATTTAACTAGTCTCTAAGAAATTCAGAACTTTCCTTCATCTTCCTGTATTAGGAGCAGTCCAAACTCTTCCAACTCCTGCCCATTACCTAGTTCCAAAGTCACTTCCACACTTTCAAGTATCTTTATAGCAATGCCCCATGTCTCAGTACCAATTTGCTGTATTAGGCCATTCTTACATTGCTATGAAGAAATACCTGAGACTGGGTAATTTATAAAGAAAAGAGCTTTGAAAAGAGGTTTGTATACCTGCAGGCTGTACAAACATGATTCTGGCATCTGCCTAGCTTCTGGTGAGGCCTCAGGAGGCTTTATTCATGGCAGAAGATGAAGAAGGAGCAGGCAGGCACATCACCTGGCAAGGCAGGGGAAGCACCACACACTTTTAAACAAATAGATCTTGCAAGAATTCACTCACTCTCACAAGGACAGCACCAGGGACAGGATGCTAGACCATTTCTGAGAAATCCACCCCCATGATCCAATCACCTCCCTCCAGACCTACCACCAACATTGGGGGTATCACAATTCAACATGAGATTTAGAGGGAACAACATCTGAGGTATCTCATGCCTCATGTTGTGACTTGGTATAATGTCCATAAGATTACACTGACTTTACACATCATATTGCAGTTTTTGCTAGCTCTTCTGTAGTAAGAAAATGGAATTCATCAGCAATGCCTTCTAAGTCTGGCTCTGTTTTCCCATGCAGACTTTTCCCTGAGCTCTGCTTGTCAGTCTTGCTAGAACCTCACCCTAGGCAGCAACCTCCAGTCTGAGATTGCCCTTGACAGTGGCTGAGGTTTGCATTGTTGGAATGGATTAGAAAAAACAAAGGGAAGACAGACCAAAACACATTTAAATACAGATCCCATTTGTTGAAGTTTTAAGTAATTTTAAATGTTTATTTGCACCAGCTGCCCACTCCCATTGTACTCTCCTCACCCAAAAAGGTGACTTGATATTCTAGTAAAAAGCCAAACTGTGCTTTAGAGAAACCCACTTGTTACTTCTTTAAATCCATATAATTTTGCCAAAGTGAATTTTTGTTAATATGCTCTGGCAGAATCAGTAAACTAATTATTTACACCAGAGTCACTTAACCTTTCCTCTTGGTCATTTGCATGTAAATTATTTTTATATGTATAAAATTTGCTTACTCAAGAAAGCTCTTGCTATATATATATATATTTTTTTTTTGTGGTATCTTAACATACTCTAGTCTTGTCTTGAATTCCTTAAGACTTTGAGGTAAAGAACTCTCTTGTAACAAGTTTCCAAATCAAAGTGGGAAAGAGGAAGATTAGGTTAAGCATTAGGTCATCAGGTATGTAGGACAGCTAATTCCATTATCAGAATGGTAGTGATAGCCAGTTTGCATTTTGCATATTAGTTGTAACAAAAATATTCAGCATATTAGTGACAAAACCAAAGTTATTGTGAATCAGTTTATAATTTATTTTTTGAGATAGGGTCTTAATCTGTCACCCAAGCTCAAGTGCAGAGGTGTGATCTTGGTTCACTGAAGCCTCAACCACCTGGGCTCAAGAGATCCTCCCAGCCCAGCCTCCTTAGTACAGGTGAGTGCCACCACACCCAGCTATTTTTTTCTCTACTTTTTGTAGAGATTGGGTCTCACTTTGTTGCCAAGGCTGTTCTCAAAATCCTGGGCTCAAGCAATCCTTCTGCCTCAACCTCCCAAGTGGTGCTGGGATTACAGGTTTGAGCCACCGCACCTGGCCAGTTTATAATGTTAATGGCTTTTGGAGCAGGAACCAGTGGGTGCTGCCTCTTGTCTGCAAGATGAGGAGTCTCCTCTCCCCAGAAGTGAGGCATCTTCTACCACAAGGGAGGCTTTGCCCAAACAGTCACCGAAAGGCTGAGATTGGGAAGGGAACAAAACAGGAGTGAATATGTTCCTGGAACCTAACTGCTCCCCAATTCAACTCTACTGCAGACATTCAGAATGAAGGGGACATTCAGCTGAAGAACAGGAGTTAAAAGAACAGCTGTTAAAATCTCAGATTGTAAAAACAATTTTGCTTCATTTTCCCTAAATAATTTTTAAACAATTGTTCTTAGGTGATATTCTAAACTTCGGGTAATATCTGTGACTTAGTAAATGTTCTTTAAAAGATGGGATAATATTTTTATTTTGTTTAATTATATGTGTTTTTAAACTAATTTTATAGGAAAAATAATTTCTTTCCTTCCCTGTTATACCAAATACAGCCTTTAGCTCAAGACACAAGAAATTCCAGGAAAACTGGAATGTAAGTTCAATATGTTGCACTAAGTACATTTGAAAGTGCATGCATTTTTATTTTAATTCATCATTCTCAGTCAACTATCGCAAGGACAAAAAACGAAACACCGCATGTTCTCACTCATAGCTGGGAATTGAACAATGAGAACACATGGACACAGGAAGGGGAACATCACACTCTGGGGGCTGTTGTGGGGTGGGGAGAGGGGTGAGGGATAGCATTAGGAGATATGCCTAAGGCTAAATGTCGAGTTAATGGGTTCAGCACACCAGCATGGCACATGTATACATATGTAATGTATACATATGTTAATGCACCAATTCTGCATCAAGTCAGTGCAATCAGAGACACTGCAAGAATGACTTTTGGTTTTCTTTTCCTAGTTTTTGGAAGTTTCTCAAGTCTGTCATACTGGACTCTATATTACATCTCGAATTTTTTTCACTTACTATAGATCTCCTATACGCTCAATTGTTTAGCTATTACCTTAACATTTACCCTGTGAACCCATGACATTTGAGGCTGCCAAAGTGATTATTACATGATAAAACATATACTTGGTTAAAGGCAATATTTAACAATTGTAAAACCAATAAATCAATAATTAAATCTTTCTGGCTTAGACTTAAAACTGCTTAATTTAGTCATATCTCTACCCACAACATAGAGATTCCAACAAGGGTTGAAAGTAGAGTTGGCAAGCATTTCCATTCTCTTCTGGGATAATAATTCTTACTACCAACACTGGTTCTGACCAGTGAAATTCAAAATCAGTGAAACACTACCCAGAGTCTGAGTGAACCAAAAATAGTTTCACTTTAGGAAAAAGTCTATATCCTTAGATGTGAGTGATTCTCTGTGAACATTTTATTCACTTTAATATATTTAAAGAAAATCTTTCTGAATTGGTGTGTTTTCTTTAGTTTGTATTCTGATACTTTAATGCTAAAAGCTCTTGATTTTAAGTTTTCATGGAGGGGCTATCTACATAATTTTTATACATCATTATATGCATCAATAATTAAAAAGGAGTAGAAATTTTTTCACTAATTGAGAAATATTATAGACCTAACAAAATGAGGGCAAACTATAAGCAATTTGGGGAAACTATAAGGATGTAATTAAATAGTCACTGTTTTTAGAAACCATTAACTGCATATTGAAATCTTAACACTTGTTGGGAAAACGAGGTGGTAAATCAACTTGTCAGCATGAGTACTAAATAAAACAAAATATGGTTAAGTTCAGATAGTAGTTCTGCAATTTCTGATTTTAAATGTTTCTGCAAAATAGTTTATCTGAACGATTAAACTATTATTCTGTGTTCACCAACCATTAAGAAAATCTGCTCTATGGCCAGGTTAAACCTGAAAGTGGTACAATTCAAAACTTGATGTAGGCAATAGGTATGTATAATGTATTTATTCTAATATGAGAGGGTATATCAAAGTAATTTTCTTGGGGCACAGTGTCAAAACAAAGCAATGGGATTTGGCCATGGACATTTCATTATTATCAAAGAGACTTGGACACTACCTTAGAGTAATAACTTTATTATTTAACAAAGATGTTTTATAAAAAGAACAACAAAATGAGAGGAATAGAAATCACGCAGGTAAAACAGATAATCTGATTTTGTGGGTCTCAGAGCAGAGATTAGTGTCTTTCAGTTTCAGAGTAAATGACCTCACTGCATTTCTCTGAACTGTCATGGTTGTCACAAATATACTGTGTTCTAACACACTCCATGATTTAAGGTCTACAAAGTAACAAAGGCAAAATAACCTATATGCTCTACCATATTTTCCTCAATTCTAGTGTTCTTCAAAGAGAGAATGTTTTCTCTAAATCTAATTGAGAGTAATTCTGTATGGATCGGTAAACATTTCTTCAGGCAGTTGGAGTAATATGTGTCTAGGGCTAACTCAGAGGGGTCTTTTATGTCTTTTAATAGAAGCTAACTATACTCTTGTGATATGATAATCACCATCATTGACTTACAGTTTCTAAGGTTTGAAGGTATATTGAACACTCAAGGGGCTCACATTCTTACTGATTCATGAATCTCTTCAGGTCCAGGGAACTTAGTATTTTTCAAGAGTGCAAAATGCCTAGAGACAGCTGGGAACAAATGAATGTCATTCCTGATACTGTGCTTATAGTTACTTGAGTTTCATCTCAGAAAATAAATTGTCTGGTGCAATATTTCTTACAACTTAGTTCCTAAATGAACTCAACAAACTAGTTCTTTTGTTTTATTTTATTTTATTACTATTATACTTTAAGTTTTAGGGTACATGTGCACAACGTGCAGGTTTGTTACATATGTATACATGTGCCATGTTGGTGTGCTGCACCCATTAACTCGTCATTTAACATTAGGTATATCTCCTAATGCTATCCCTCCCCACTCCCCCCACCCCACAACCGTCCCTGGTGTGTGATGTTCCCCTTCCTGTGTCCATGTGTTATTGTTCAATTCCCACCTATGAGTGAGAACATGCAGTGTTTGGTTTTTTGTCCTTGTGATAGTTTGCTAAGAATGATGGTTTCCAGCTTCATCCATGTCCTTACAAAGGACATGAACTCATCATTTTTTATGACTGCATAGTATTCCATGGTGTATATGTGCCATATTTTCTTAATCCACTCTATCATTGTTGGACATTTGGATTGGTTCCAAGTCTTTGCTATTGTGAATAGTGCCACAATAAACATACATGTGCATGTGTCTTTATAGCAGCATGATTTATAATCCTTTGGGTATATACGCAGTAATGGGATGGCTGGGTCAAAAGGTATTTCTAGCTCTAGATCCCTGAGGAATTGCCACACTGACTTCCACAATGGTTGAACTAGTTTACAGTCCCACCAACACTGTAAAAGTGTTCCTATTTCTCCACATCCTCTCCAGCACCTGTTGTTTCCTGACTTTTTAATGATTGCCATTCTAACTGGTGTGAGATGGTATCTCATTGTGGTTTTGATTTGCATTTCTCTGATGGCCAGTGATGATGAGCATTTTTTCATGTTTTTTGGCTGCATAAATGTCTTCTTTTGAGAAGTGTCTGTTCATATCCTTCGCCCACTTTTTGATGGGGTTGTTTGTTTTTTTCTTGTAAATTTGTTTGAGTTCATTGTAGATTCTGGATATTAGCCCTTTGTCAGATGAGTAGGTTGCAAAAATTTCCCCCATTTTGTAGGTTGCCTGTTCACTCTGATGGTAGTTTCTTTTGCTGGGCAGAAGCTCTTTAGTTTAATTAGATCCCATTTGTCAATTTTGTCTTTTGTTGCCATTGCTTTTGGTGTTTTAGACATGAAGTCCTTGCCCACGCCTATGTCCTGAATGGTATTGCCTAGGTTTTCTTCTAGGGTTTTTATGGCTTTAGGTCTAACATGTAAGTCTGGAATCCATTTTGAATTAATTTTTGTATAAGGTGTAAGGAAGGGATCCAGTTTCAGCTTTCTACATATGGCTAGCCAGTTTTCCCAGCACCATTTATTAAATAGGGAATCCTTTCCCCATTTCTTCTTTTTGTCAGGTTTGTCAAAGATCAGATAGTTGTAGATATGCGGCATTATTTCTGAGGGCTCTGTTCTGTTCCATTGGTCTATATCTCTGTTTTGGTACCAGTACCATGCTGTTTTGGTTACTGTAGCCTTGTAGTATGGTTTGAAGTCAGGTAGTGTGACGCCTCCAGCTTTGTTCTTTTGGCTTAGGATTGACTTGGAAATGTGGGCTCTTTTTTGGTTCCATATGAACTTTAAAGTAATTTTTTTCCAATTCTGTGAAGAAAGTCATTGATAGCTTGATGGGGATGGAATTGAATCTATCAATTACCTTGGGCAGTATGGCCGTTTTCATGATATTGATTCTTCCTACCCATGAGCATGGAATGTTCTTCCATTTGTTTGTATCCTCTTTTATTTCATTGAGCAATGGTTTGTAGTTCTCCTTGAAGAGGTCCTTCACATCCCTTGTAAGTTGGATTCCTAGGTATTTTATTCTCTTTAAAGCAATTGTGAATGGGAGTTCCCTCATGATTTGGCTCTCTGTCTGTTATTGATGTATAAGAATGGTTGTGATTTTTGCACATTGATTTTTTATCCTGAGACTTTGCTGAAGTTGCTTATCAGCTTAAGGAGATTTTAGGCTGAGACAATGGGTTTTTCTAGATATACAATCATGTCATCTGCAAACAGGGACAATTTGGCTTCCTCTTTTCCTAATTGAATGCCCTTTATTTCCTTCTCCTGCCTGATTGCCCTGGCCAGGACTTCCAACACTACGTTGAATATGAGTGGTGAGAGAGGGCATCCCTGTCTTGTGCCAGTTTTCAAAGGGAATGCTTCCAGTTTTTGTCCATTCAGTATGATATTGGCTGTGGGTTTGTCATAGATGGCTCTTATTATTTTGAGATATGTCCCATCGACACCTAATTTATTGAGAGTTTTTAGCATGAAGCGTTGTTGAATTTTGTCAAAGGCCTTTTCTTCATCTATTGAGATAATCATGTGGTTTTTGTCTTTGGATCTGTTTATGTGCTGAATTATGTTTATTGATTTTATGCAAGAATAATCTAAATTTCTCTGGTGAAAGAACCTAAACATGCCTTTTAAAAATTTATATATCATTTCTTTTGTAAAACCTAATGAAAATAACAATTTTGTCTATTGTAAAAGGCAAGTGATCGCAGCAGATGGAAATCACTTTATTTCCTATATCTTTGTAAAGATAATGACTGCTAATAAACAACATGAAGAATTTTCAGGTATAATTTTGATAAAAATTTAACGGTTTTGTGCTTCTAGGCCAAATCTGCAATACAATCCTTCATAAGATTGTACTTTGAAACTCTCGTTGTCATCTGACATATGCAGATAATAGAGAAATATAATCCCCTTTCTAAATGTTTACATTCTCTCCCTGGTACGAATTAGCTTGCTGGAAACATCAGTAATCACTGACATAAAGATCCCACTATTAAATAAAACGGATACTTTTTAAAAACATGCAGCAAATAAGCAACATTTCATAAAACAACACAGGATTTTATATGTTCCCCACTCCATTAGAGGCTATTATGCTGAATTGGATCCTCATTCCAACCTGTGTCCATATTTTAGGGTTGAAATAGTCTAAAACCCAACATTTACTGTTCTCCTGTTGTGATATCTATATATCTAATATGTTCACATTCTCTGTATTCATCTATGTTAATATATTTAAAAAGGAAAAGAAAGGGGGCTTTAGGAAGAACTTTACATCACACGTCAGAGTAAACATCAAATCAAGTTATCAATTTACTAATAAACCCATTTAAGAAAAAATATTCAGCTAGAGAGCAATTAACCTTATTGTCTTTGTGTCTGATCCATATTTCTCCACCTGATACATGGAAATAACCAGAGAGATACTATAAAATACCTCAGGTGCATTGTTGAAAGTAATTTCCTGCTTTTGTGGGATAACTGAAACATAAACGTAAATAAGATAGTTTGAAAGTTCACTTTCTCATCAATGCTCAAATAATTTATTCTAATAAAGCCCAGCAAAACTTAGCTTGTAATGCCATCAAGGTAAATATATTCATGAAGTACTCACTTGCTAAATTTTTAAACACAATACATTATCTCATCTTTAATTTTTAGTTGTTATTTCAATTATCCATTGCTGTGTATAGCAGTCATCAAACTTAGTTGGTTAAAACACAAACTCACAATTTGTTAACTTTGGTTGAGCTCAGGAGGATAATATTCGGAGTCTTGCCTAGGTTTCCTTATATGACTGACAAGGCCTACATAGTCCAAAGAGACATCACTCAAATATCTGGCAGTTCACTGGTGCTATCAGCTGGGTTCTCCTCCACTTAGTCTCTCTAGTAGAGTAGATCAGGTTCTCATTTGGCATTGGTGCCATTTTAATTTGCCAAGCCTAAATTTACTATCATTTGTCAAGTGTCTATTAAGTCAGTGTCAGAGAGGGCTATATAACGATATGGCTATGAGGAGACTTAATAAATCGAGGGTTCTTTGATATAACAGGCTACCCAGTTACATTTCTTGTTCTAAAGATTTTTTCAGATACAACAAACAATATTTTACAATTTAACTTGTAGATGAATGAGTTTCCTGGGATATAATTTAACTAAGCAAACTCTTTCATACTAAAAATCTTATGACCTCTTTACCCATCTTAGGTTTTAAGATTGATATGAGAGGTATTCTGGAATAGAAATCCAAATTTAAGGCTAGAGTCAAGAGTGCTGAAGATAAGACTCTTATCTAAAGGAAAATCAAGCAATTGCTATGTCTTGCAAAGGCCAGTGAGCAGACAGAGGGGAGAGAATGCAATTGCCCCAAATAAAGACTCACTTTGGAACTCAGTGATTATATGTGTGCATATATGTGTATATATGTATATTATACATGTGTATGCATGTATATATGTATATTATACATATATATGCATGTATATATATGAATATATATAAAACTGAAAACTGCACACATCCCATATACACCATATACATGAAAGTGAACACACACACATACATAAACATATATATTCAGTTTCAAACAATTGTTAGGGAACCTGAGGAAGAAACTAAATGGAATATAATGGTTGCATCTATGATAGCCATGGTACTAGAACTAGTAGTAGTTCTACTAAGGTGAGAATTGACATAGTAAAAGAAATAAGATACAAAGCAGTAAGAGAGAGCTACATTTTCCTTAAGGCCAGGCTGAATATTCACTAACAAGGAAATTTCTACAGTCATTATTTTAATCTGATTCATTCTCTTGGTGGGATATTCCAGAGTTACCACCTACAGAAATTCCACTTTTCCTTACTGAGGTTTTCTTTTTTTTCTTTTCAGTCCAAATATTAGTCATTTTGGTAGAGAAGGTAGAAACAATTAACAATTGAGTAATTCCTCAAGAATCATGTTAAAAGGTTTCCAAATCATGAATGTATAGTTATATTTTGTTCGCTAGATTTTAACCCACATACCTCACTTGTATAGAAATTATGCTTATTTGGATACTCAGTATATTTCTTCACATAAAGACAAAATCTATAAAATGTACACACACACAGATGCTATGGATACATGCACACATGTGCACACACAAATATGTATACATGGTTTACCATTATTTTCTAGATCATTCAGAGGTCAGTATTAATTAAAACATCATAGATCTATGGCAAATTTTGGGCCACTTCTCCTAAGACAGGAATTTAAAAAGCCTTCAATTGTCATAACAATGGGAAGAAGTCTGAGAGCTGGAGTAAGGGAAGTTGGTGCTCAGAAATATTAACTACCATTTATATAGGATATCCTTATGAGATAATCTTAAAGACAAATGAGGCTAAAATAGTAATACGAGTTATTTAGCCAAGTTTTCCAGCAGGAAGAAGGAAATAAGCAGTGAACTAAAAAGCATACAAGATACAGAGGAGCAGGTTAATTGAAGCCATTGCAGCAGAAATTGAGAAGAATAAACAGGAGTTAGAAGATGAGAGCAAGCAATTGCAAGTGGAGTGGGCTGAGCTGGAATTATGGTGTAGAAAATGACTGGTTGAGAAAAACCCAAACAAATATTTCTATAATGTCATGTGCATAAGATACCTGTAGATGTTATCAAGGTATATACATAAACTACCTGTCATTAGAGCTAATTTCTTAGCAAATTATTCATAAAAGTTTATAACTTTGTGAGGCATTACGGACACCAAAACTAATGATTTGGCATTTCCATGGGCCAATTTGTCTAAAGAACTATCTTTTACACTTTACTGTTTTTTAATAAGCAATACAGTGCTCAAAAAGTCTTTTATACCAAGTCCAGTAGGTTGATAACATTGAGTATAACTGAGCATTGCTTTGTGTCTACCCTCAGGCAAATCTGGAGATTTTCTCAAGCTTCTTTATGAAAATGGAGAAACCTCACAAGAGATGCTAATGGACAGCTGACCCTGCTCCCTGCTCCATCACAGGTTGTAGAGTATTAATTCCCAAGTTACCCAGACATTTAGTTGTGAATGTGCAAAAATGGTTTAGGTTCAAATGTTTTCAACTACTGACAAGCTCAAGAATTCAGAGGAGGTAGTACTAAGGGAAATGTAATTAATATATAATATCAAAACTTAAGCATAGCACCATAACACCTAATTTTTGATGATGTCAAATACTTAAAGTTCTCCCTTTTTATTTTCTGGTGAAAGGTGCATAGTATACAAACCTCTACTAACTTCTTGGGCTTCTGAATAAAGGAAAGGACTACCTAATGACAGTAATAGCTTGACTGCTGAAGAATTATGTCAATTAACAAAAATTGCTTCATAGGAAAAAGATGAATTGTCTCTTCAAAGTTTTTTTTAAGCATGGGTGACCAAAACCATCACATACTTAGAAGAAAATATTGCATTGATTTATACAAGATATGCTGTACACGTTACAGAAGATTCGTGTTTAATAATGCATCTTGTAAAAATCTTAGAGAGCTATAACCTTACAACATGACTTAACCCAAATACATTGAAAACCCCTTGGATTTAGACCTACAGGGAGGTGGTTTTGCTTTCTGTACCATAGCACGCATAGTTGAAGCAAACATATTCCTTCAAACATAATACTCTTACATAATAGAAAGTGTTCTCTGTTTTCTGGATGAAAAGGCATGAGGTCTTTTGTATTAGCAAACTGAAATTGTTAACTATAAAAAGTCAAAAATCAAAGGTGCTCTCACGTATTTATAAGGACCTTGAATGGCTCAGATTCATCAGGAAAAAAAAAAAACATTCCTGAGAGTCTGATCTCAAGCTGATGTTTCTTTATTGAATTTGATTCTAAACCATCATTTTGTTGAATCCTCTGTGCTTTCAGAATGCTGAAATGTAAAATATTTTTAACTTATGAAAGAGATAATTTATTTTTATTTTCTCCTATACATTTTTTTTTTCTCAACATGGTATTTATTTACATTTTTCTTTTATTATACTTTAAGTTTTAGGGTACATGTGCACATTGTGCAGGTTAGTTACATATGTATACATGTGCCATGCTGGTGCGCTGCACCCACTAACTCGTCATCTAGCATTAGGTATATCTCCCATTGCTATCCCTCCCCCCTCCCCCCACCCCACCACAGTCCCCAGAGTGTGATATTCCCCTTCCTGTGTCCATGTGATCTCATTGTTCAGTTCCCACCTATGAGTGAGAATATGCGGTGTTTGGTTATTTGTTCTTGCGATAGTTTACTGAGAATGGTGATTTCCAATTTCATCCATGTCCCTACAAAGGACATGAACTCATCATTTTTTATGGCTGCATAGTATTCCATGGTGTATATGTGCCACATTTTCTTAATCCAGTCTATCATTGTTGGACACTTGGGTTGGTTCCAAGTCTTTGCTATTGTGAATAATGCCGCAATAAACATATGTGTGCATGTGTCTTTATAGCAGCATGATTTATAGTCATTTGGGTATATACGCAGTAATGGGATGGCTGGGTCAAATGGTATTTCTAGTTCTAGATCCCTGAGGAATCGCCACACTGACTTCCACCATGGTTGAACTAGTTTACAGTCCCACCAACAGTGTAAAAGTGTTCCTATTTCTCCATATCCTCTCCAGCACCTGTTGTTTCCTGACTTTTTAATGATTGCCATTCTAACTGGTGTGATATGGTATCTCATTGTGGTTTTGATTTGCATTTCTCTGATGGCCAGTGATGATGAGCATTTTTTCATGTGTTTTTTGGCTGCATAAATGTCTTCTTTTGAGAAGTGTCTGTTCATGTCCTTCGCCCACTTTTTGATGGGGTTGTTTGTTTTTTTCTTGTAAATTTGTTTGAGTTCATTGTAGATTCTGGATATTAGCCATTTGTCAGATGAGTAGGTTGCAAAAATTTTCTCCCATTTTGTAGGTTGCCTGTTCACTCTGATGGTAGTTTCTTTTGCTGTGCAGAAGCTCTTTAGTTTAATTAGATCCCATTTGTCAATTTTGTCTTTTGTTGCCATTGCTTTTGGTGTTTTGGACATGAAGTCCGTGCCCATGCCTATGTCCTGAACGGTAATGCCTAGGTTTTCTTCTAGGGTTTTTATGGTTTTAGGTCTAACATTTAAATCTTTAATCCATCTTGAATTGATTTTTGTATAAGGTGTAAGGAAGGGATCCCGTTTCAGCTTTCTACATACGGCTAGCCAGTTTTCCCAGCACCATTTATTAAATAGGGAATCCTTTCCCCATTGCTTGTTTTTCTCAGGTTTGTCAAAGATCAGATAGTTGTAGATATGCAGTGTTATTTCTGAGGGCTCTGTTCTGTTCCATTGATCTATATCTCTGTTTTGGTACCAGTACCATGCTGTTTTGGTTACTGTAGCCTTGTCTTCTATACATTTTTAAGTAGTACCTTAAAAACTAGACAAATCCATACAGGGTCAAAAGAACTCAACTGAATTCTCTATCACTGTGAAAATAGACTTAGTTCTTCATTACAAAAGCACTACAATAACTACAAAAATTATATCTCCTGGAGTATATATTTACATATCCATGCAAAAGGGGAATAGATTAAAAGATGTTTATGAATGTCTAAAACCTTAAGTCAGTTTAAGTTTAACGTAGTATTATAAATCAGGTTTGTGGGTGATATTTTGTCTGCTTCTAGACTTGTGAGCAAGTTATTAAGTTTTAGGTTACTTATATTTAAAATTCAAAAAGGAAATGATTGTGATTGCATTCAAAGAAAGAGAGGACATTTTGAAGCTTCTTTTTTTTTACTAATATCAAAACATAATATCACATTTGCAAAACACGTTGATGGCTTACAACCAAGTAAAATACCTCAATACCCCACTTTTCAAGATC